>NC_000023.11:16682942-16985972 GCF_000001405.40 Homo sapiens
GTATAACTATATGATGAGTCCTGTGAGTTCTTCTGGTGAATCGTAAGTCCTGCAGGTGATCTCAGGGACCCTTTAACAAAACTTGCCCCTCTGGAACATGTGCTATTGGCATGAATTACTGAGATAGCCAAAAGACCAGGCCAGGACTCACCATCAGATTCAACTTGTGGTTGATGGCCAGGGCTGAGTGTTCCAGGGCTTTGAACACAGAGGCGTAGCAGTCTCTGAGCTTGGTGTATTTGCCAACCAGGGCTATGGAGCATATTTTCTGTAACCTTTCATACCTGGGAAAGAAAACAAACTCAAAGGTTATATGCACATAACAGAACATCACAAACAGAACAATGGCAGCTGCTGCTCTTACTCCAAGGCACTTTTTAAATCCTCGGGAGCAGCTGTAGTCCTAGCTACTCAGGAGGCTGAGGCGAGAGAATCACTGAAGCCCAGGAGTTTGAGACCAGACTGGGCAACATAGTTAGACCCCGTCTCTACAAAAAAATACAAAAATTAGCCAGGCGTGGTGGGGCATGCCTACAATCCCAGCTACTCAGGAGGCTGAGGTTGGAGGATCACTTGAGCCCAGGAGACCAAGGCTGCAGTGAGCTATGATCACACCACTGCACTCCAGCCTGGGCGACACAGTGAGACACTGTCTCATAAAACAAAAACAGAAATCCCAACGTTGTTTTACACAAGCAGATACAGATAAAAATTCAAGTATATCAGAGAAAAAGTTAAAAGCATTAAAAGTAAAAATTGAAAAGCTATCCCAATCTCATAAACATGAGCTATTCTTACATTGGTTAATAAGGTGACATTGTATAAAAAAAATGCATTCTGCGTGTCAGTAGGAAACATTCCAATATTAACTTTGTAAGGTGACATTGTGTAAGAAAATGCATTCAAAGTGTCTACATTTAAAATGGTTACATTCCCAGCTGACCCACAAAAGTCTGGTTATTCATGGCATGCCTGAAGAATGGTGCTGAGAGAACGATTTAAAATATTACTAGCCATTTAGATCATTTTTATGAGAAAAATTCCATTCTACAGAAGACACTCGATCACATTTTACCATTAGAGACACAATTTTTAGTGTTGCTTTTGTCAGGAAATCTGTTCAAAGAACATGAAAAATATCTGGTTTGGTATTAGGTACGTGGAAATGTCATCTTGGGGCTGAAGGTGTTTTAGGGCTTTGAAGCAAACCCTTCCCCAAACACCTTAGAAAAATGTTACCATGATGACGAATATCTCTCTTGAATATCAACATCTGCAAAGAGTGGCCGGGCACGGTGGCCCACACCTGTAATCCCAGCACTCTGAGAGGCCAAGGCAGGTGGATCACCTGAGGTCAGGAGTTCGAGACCATCCTGGCCAACATGGTGAAACCTCGTCTCTACTAAAAATACAAAAATTAGCTGGGCGTGGTGGTACGCACCTGTAATCCCAGCTACTCAGGAGGCTGAGGCAGGAGAATCACTTGAACCCGGGAGGCAGAGGTTGCAGTGAGCCGAGATCGCACCACTGCACTCCAGCCTAGGCCACAGAGCGAGACTCTGTCTCCAAAAAAAAAAAAAAAAAAACAAAAACAAAAAGAACACATATCTGTAAAGAGTACAAGAGAAACTAGATCACAAACAGGCTATGTGTGGGAATAATGCACAAGAAGCTAAGAAGTCAAAACTGACAGGGAAGGTAACTTTCTAGAAAGATGACTAAAATAGCTGATAAAAGGTCACTAAAAGGTGACTAAAATAGTTCAAGCTGCTAACCCTTGAACTCACTACTTTATTTTATGTTGCTCTGGAGGTTTCACAGCTGTCTGTATCTCACACCACCTCTCCATAAAGTATGCAGGTAACGGGCCGGGCGTGGTGACTCATGCCTGTAATCCCAACACTTTGGGAGGCCAAGGCCGGCAGATCACTTGAGATCAGGAGTTCCAGACCAGCCTGGCCAACACGGTGAAACCCTGTCTCTACTAAAAATACAAAAATTAGGCTGGCATGGTGGTGCACGCCTGTAGTTCCAGCTACTCAGGAGACTGAGGAAGGAGAATCACTTGAATCCAGGAGGCAGGGGTTGCAGTGAACCGAGATCATGCCACTGCACTCCAGCCTGGGCGACAGAGCCAGACTTCTTCTCCAAAAAAAAAAGAGGATGCGGGTAACAGAAAGCAGGATGACAGCACACCAAGTAGTAGAGATGATGTCAGAGGCAGGCAGGCAGAGCCGCATTTGAGAACAGCAGATTTGGCTTCACCCCCTTCTCCCTCCTCCATAGACAGAAGAGACAACATCAGCTCTGCCCCCGGAAGGAAGCAGCACTGGGGTCAGTATCACAGGTTACTCCTACGGCTCACTCACAGCTGGTCTTCCCAGGGGAGGAGTCACTGGGCAGCAGGTGGTACAGGTGAGTCCACTGGGTCACACCTACCAGGGAGCTCTCATTCCCCCTTGGACCTGTACTTCCGAGAGCAACCAAGGTCTCCCTCATGTGCCCCACTCAGCCATCAGCCATCACCGAATGTGAGGCAAGCATGTGATACTACTTCAAGCTGCTGTGGGAGGGGGAGGGGAGTCCTCTTTGCAGGGCCACCCCCAAGAGTCGGGTCTCAAGAGAGATGAAGAGGGCTGGGTGTGGTGGCTCATGCCTGTAATCCCAGCAGTTTGGGAGGCCGAGGTGGGCGGATTACGATGTCAGGAGATCAAGATCGTCCTGGCTAACATGGTGAAACCCCATCTCTACTAAAAAAATACAAAAAAAAAAAAATTAGCCGGGCGTGGTGGTGGGCGCCTGTAGTCCCAGCTACTCGGGAGGCTGAGGCAGGAGAATGGCATGAACCCAGGAGGCAGAGCTTGCAGTGAGCTGAGATCGCACCACTGCACTCCAGCCTGGGCGACACAGCGAGACTCTGTCTCCAAAAAAAAAAAAAAAAAAAAAAAAGACAATGAATAGGAGGAGGTGGAGAATTGTGCCCACCTTGACTTCGGGTCCCAGGCAAGCTGTCCCTGTTTAATCAGGGACCCCTGGCCTCTGAGCAGCACTGGGCCTCCATGATAGAGGCTGTTCCTTTGGCCTCCGTTTGGCTCCTTGCACCTCTCTACAGGCTATACTGAGAGGACCAAAGCTAAAGAATGGACACTTCGCATCAATTAACAATGTCACCACCAATGTGATGCAGAGGGAGGCCCAGTGCTGCAGAGGCACCCATGCACAATATCTCCTTGCTTGAAAATTGTCAACAATTTATTGTGCATTCTTAAATAAATAAAAGAGTATACTTGGATTGTTTGTATTGCAAAGAAAGGATAAAGGCTTGAGGTGATGGATACTCCATTTACCCTGATGTGATTATAATGCATTATATGCCTGTACCAAATATCTCATGTACCCTACAAATATATACACCTACTATGTACCCATAAAAATTAAAAATAAAAAGGCTGTAGTGAGTTGAATGGTGGCCCCCCCCCAAAGAAATTTGTCCCCAAAACCTGTGAATGTGACCTTGTTTGGAAAAAGGGTCTTTGCAGACATAAGTAAGGCTCTCCAGCTGAGATCATCCTGGATTAGGGCCTGCCTTACATCCAATGACAAGCATCCTTACAAAAGAAGAGAAGGGAAGAAGACACAAGTGAGAAGGTGATGTGAAGATGGAGGCCTGGAGGCCAAAGGCTGGGCATGGTGGCTCACGCCTTTAATCCCAACACGTTAGGAGGCTAAACCAGGTGGATTGCTTGAGCTCAGGAGTTTGAGACCAGGCTGGGCAACATGGTGAAACCCTGTCTCTATAAAAAACACAAAAATTAGCCAAGCATGGTGGCATGCACCTGTAGTCCCAGCTACCTGGGAGGCTGAGGCAGGAGGATCACTTGAGCCCAGAAGTTCAAGGTTGCATTAAGCCCTGGTTGCACCACTGCACTCCAGCCTGGGTGACAGAGTGAGACTCCATCTCAAAAAAAAAAAAATAAATAAGGAAATAAAAGATGGAGGACAAGATTGGAGTGATGTGGCCACAAGCCAAGGAACACCACTGATTGCTGGCAGCCACCAGAAGCCAGGAGAAGGGGTGTGGCAGAGAATCTCCTGCAGAGCCTCTAGAAGGAACCAACCCTGTGGATGCATTGATTTTGCACTTCTGACCTCCAGGACTGTGAGAGAATAAATTCCTGTTGTGTTTTTTTAAGCTGCCCAGTTAGTGGTCATTGTTATGGCAGCCCCCAGGAAGCTAATACAAAGACCAAACATGTGGCTTTAAAAAGCACAGAAGCGCCAGGCATATGGCTCATTCCTGTAATCCCAACACTTTGGGAGGCCGAGGCAGGAAGATCACTTGAGCAAGATGGCAAAACCCCGTCTCTACTAAAAATACAAAAATTAGTTGGCCGTGGTGTAGCGCACCTGTGGTCCCAGCTACTGGGGACGCTGAGGCAGGAGGATCGCTTGAGCCCAGGAGGTCGAGGCTGCAGTGAGCTGAGATTGCACCACTGCACTCCAGCCTGGGCAACAGAGCAACACCCTGTGTCAAAAAAAAAAAAAAAAAAAAGAAAGAAAAGAAAAAGAAAAAAAGCATAAACGCATAGAGTATAATTTAGAGCTATTTCCAATAAAAAGAGTTAAAATATTAAAACTTCTAGTGCTTAAAGTGTATCAGCCCCAAGCTACTTAGAAAATTCCTGTGAAATGACTGGCACTTTAAGCACTCTAGAGAGCAAGGGTTTTAGAGAATCTAAGCTCAGAAACTGCTCTTCCTTCCTGATTCCACTTGCCCCAGAAAATCTAAAGCATTTTTTAAAATTGTAAATGAAAGAGCAAGAGAGCCTCAATCTGATTAGTCATCTACCAAGGGTCAGTAATTTTGTCACCATCATTTTAATTATGGTTACCAACATCAGCAACCGATACTTATTATAGTACGTGACTCAATGTTAAGTCTTTAAGGTTTCCTCTCATAATTGCCACTAGGTAGGCACTGGTATCCCCTTATTATATACAGAAGGGAAAAAAAGCCTAGATAGGTTAAGTAATCACCCAAACTCACACAGCTGGTAAGAGAAGAGGCCAGGATTTGAGTCCAGAACCTACATACGTAACAGCTGCACCTACTGGCGCTCACCTAAGCTGCCCAAGAAGTCCCATCTCAACTACATTTAGTAAAAGAAAACAGGGCCGGGCGCGGTGGCTCACACCTGTAACCCCAGCACTTTGGGAGGCCTAGACAGGCGAATCGCCTGAGGTCAGAAGTTCGAGACCAGCCTGGCAAACATGGTGAAACCCCCGTCTCTACTAAAAACACAAAAAATTAGCTGGGCATGGTGGCGGGCGCCTGTAATCCCAGCTACTCAGGAGGCTGAGGCAGGAGAATGGCGTGAACCCAGGAGGCAGAGGTTGTAGTGAGCCAAGATCGCACCACTGCACTCCAGCCTGGGCGACACAGTGACACTCCATCTCAAAAAAAAAGAAAACAAGTGACAGGGACTTAATTTCCCTTTTTTTTTTTTTTTAAGATACAGGGTCTCGCTATGTTGCTCAGGCTGGCCTCCAACTCCTGGGCTCAAGTGATCCTCTCACCTCAGCCTTCCAAGTAGCTGAGACTACAGGTAAGTGCCACTGCACACAGCTTAATTTTCATATAACTTCAAAATAGAGAAACTTTGCTTAAATTAATATACTTGTCTGAAAGTTAGAATCCATCAGGAGTTTTAATAATTATGCTGAACAGTTAATGAATGCAGGATGAAACAAAACTAGCATAGCCAAAAGTTCCCATCCAAAATGATTTTCTTTAGGAAAAGTTAGCCAAATCTTAAAAACAAGCAAAACAAAACAAAACAAAAAACCTGTGAAGTTTAAAACTGTTTAAGGCCAGGCATGGTGGCTCATGCCTATAATCCCAGCACTTTGGGAGGCCAAGGTGGGCAGATCACTTGAGCCCAGGAGTTCAAGACCAGTGTGGGTAACATAGAAAAATCCCGTCTCTACAAAAAAAAAAAAATATATATTAGCCGGGTGTGGTGGTGTGTGCCTCTAGTCTCAGCTACTCAGGAGGCTGAAGTGGGAGGATGACTTGAGCCCAGGAGGTGGAGGTTGCAGTGAGCCGAGATCGTGCCACTGCACTCCCGCCTGGGTGACAGAGCAAGACTCTCAAAAAAGAAAAAAGAAAACAAACAAAAAAAAATTTTAAATATTCAGAAACTAAAAAATGAACTAGCAAATAAATCAAATAAATCAGAATCCTTCCAGAGCTAAAAAAACATTCCTTCCAGAATTCGAATTCCTTTAATTCACTTTGGTTTATGTATAACAAAATCAAAGGCTCCAGAAATCTTCAAATAATACAGCAAAGCACCGCAACAGTATGCTCCATCTTTAGACATATCCAGACCAAAATGTGCACACGCAAAATGCCAAATACACACGCTTACCCTTTCAAGTAGGTCTTAGTTCTACCCCCAAACTCAAAAATTATTAAAGATTATACAAGTAATTCCTTTCGCTTACCTGTCAGCCATATTTCTCCACTTAAAAAGCAAATTACTTGCAGAATCACCGATGGGCAGGTGCAATCTCTCCTTAAAATATTTCACAATGCTTTGTTCCTCTAAAAGCACAGGAACTCGGTATGTGGAAGAAACATCATGGATACATATGACCTAAGTGGCGATGAGAAATCACCATACTTAGATGGATCTATTCAAATATGCCACCACAAGAATGAAACAAAATTCAGCAGAGACTGGCAGTTTATTTACACTGATATAACACACACACACGCACACACAAAAACCCAGCAACCAAAGCTAGCATCAGAATTTGCACAAGGTTAGCTTCATTTAATTAGAAAACTAATCCCAGCACTATGGGAGGCCGAGGCGGGCAGATCACCTGATGTCAGGAGTTCGAGACCAGCCTGACCAACATGGTGAAACCCCACCTGTATTAAAAATGCAAAAATTAGCTGGGCATGGTGACATGTGCCTATAATCCCAGCAACTCAAGAGGCTGACGCAGGAGAATCGCTGGAACCCAGGAGGCGGAGGTTGCAGTGAGTCGAGATCGCACCATTGCATACCAGCCTGGGTGACAGAGCAAGACTGTATCTCAAAAAAAAAAAAGAAGTGTACACAAAACGATTGGACAGGTCAGGTGTGGTGGCTCACGCCTGTAATTCCAGCACTTTTGGAGGCTGAGGCAGGCGGATCATCTGAGGTCAGGAGTTCAAGACCAGCCTGGCCAACATGGTGAAACCCCATCTCTACTAAAAATACAAAAATTAGCCAGGCATGGTGACACACACCTATAATCCCAGCTACTCAGGAGGCTGAGGCAGGAGAATCGCTTGAACCCAGGAGGCAGAGGTTGCACTGAGCCAAGAGTGCACCACTGCATTCCAGCCTGGGTGACAATAGTGAAACTCTGTCTCAAAAAAAAAAAAAGATTGGACGCAAACAAAATGGCATGACAACATATCAACATACAGATGCAGAAGTGTCCCTTCAATCTGCCATCACATTTTTCAAAGTAGTTCAGACTTCGGCAATGACTCTGAGGCATCAGGCAGGGGGCTCTCCATCAGACTATTTTCCAAGATGCCAAAATTCAATTTGATCATTTTTAGACTTCA
Source organism: Homo sapiens (assembly GCF_000001405.40). Lineage (NCBI taxonomy): Eukaryota > Metazoa > Chordata > Mammalia > Primates > Hominidae > Homo > Homo sapiens. The sequence goes on from NC_000023.11 coordinate 16,690,573, forward strand.
GAGAACCCAGAGTTATAATCTGAAGAAAAGATTTCTGCCAAACCTCACCCTTTTCCTGAGCACCATTTATATCACTCTCTTTAAACTATAGGTAACTCCAATCCCTTATAACCAAGCCTTATTGGAATCAAGAGACAGAGATGAGAGAAGGAAAGAAAAAAGAAAAGCGAATTATCAGAATACCAAGGTGGAAAGCCCTACAGAGCAGAGAACCTAAGCCCAAATCACAGTACAGTTTCTGTACCAATGAAGTCAACTGAGCCCACTGATGGAGTCAGAAGAGCTAGTGCGAATGTCAACGTGCTCGTGTGTTTGGGGTGACTTAAGCTGCCACAGGTAGAGAGGAGAAATGAGTGAAAGCAGTAAGTGTTCCAGAAGGAAACACAAGATAAAGAGATGATAAGTAGGCTTCATGTGGTTCTCTCTCTAGAGGTTTGACTGTGAGTTAAACACCCACCCTGGTACTGGGCACGATGGCTCACGCCTGTAATCCCAGCACTATGGGAGGCTGAGGCGGGCGGATCATCTGAGGTCAGGAGTTCGAGACCAGCCTGGCCAACATGGCAAAACCCCATCTCTACTAAAAATACAAAAAAATTAGCCAGGCGTGGTGGCGCATGCCTATAATCTCAGCTGCTCAGGAGGCTAAAATAAGAGAATTGCTTGAACCCAGGAGGCAGAGGTTGCGGTGAGCTGAGATCATGCCACTGCACTCCAGCCTGGGTGACAGAGTGACACTCTGTCTCAAGAAAAGAAAGCCCACCCTGGTTTTGTGACATAAGTTGAGTGATCATGCAAAGAAACATGCATCCTATCTCACTTAAGGGCTAGGGAATCATGGTTGGATCAGGGTTCCCCAGTGCTTGCATAAATGCCGTGAAAAGTAATATGATCATTGAAGAGGTACAAAACACTGGCATCAGCAGAAGTGCCTGCCAGACAATAAAATCTAAAGAGCAGCACCAACCTGTTCAGGGTTCACGTGACAAAACATAGAAATCTTCTCCTTCACGGCCATCTCAATGGGCGTTGAACTTCGGCAGACAATCTGTCAAAGCCAGTTATGCTTCAGCAAACAGGATTCACTTTCAGCAGGATGCCACATTCATTTCTTTTTACAAGAAACTTGGCCAAGTATGTACTTGTTCACTTTGGACATTCCACTGGACTATTAGAAATTGGTCTGAGCACTAATATAAGTATAATCAAATTCAGCATAAGTGTATCAGTAAGAACTCGAAACATCGAGACGTCTCTGGTGAACAGAGTCCAGGCTCACAAGTGTTGCTTCATTAACTACAAGAAAAGAGCTAGATCGGGGTTAACAAACTTTTTCTCAAAAGGGCCAGATGGGAAATATTTTAGGTTTGCAGGTGACACAGTCACTGTCCTGATCCTCAATTGAGGTGCAGTGTGAAAGCAGCTACAGACAATATGTAAATGAATGGGTGTGACTGCATGCCAATAAAACTTTACTTACAAAAACAGGCAAGCAAGTTGTGGGCTGTTATTTGTCAACCTCTGACAGAGACTACTGGTGATGACTGGATCACCTGCTATAAGGACACATCACTGTTTAGACTAAAAATAAGAGCAGCGGACTGGGCGTGGTGCAATCCCAGCACTTTAGGAGGCCAAGGCAGGAGGATTGGTTGAACCCAGGAGTTCGAGACCAGCCTCAGTAACATAGCAAAACCCTGTCTCTACAAACACACACACACACACACACACACACCACACAAAAATTAGTGCGCTGTGGTAGCGTGCACCTCTAGTATCAGCTACTCAAGAGGCTGAGGTGGGAGAATCACTTCAGCCCAGGAGGCAGAGGTTGCAGTGAGCCAAGATCACACCACTGTACTCCAGCCTGGGCAACAGAGCCAGACCCCGTCTCAAAAAGAAAAAAAGAGCAGTGATAACCCATCACAGGGTTATCATTGATAGCAGGGTCACAGGAAAATCCCAAGGTTTCACCTTCATTCTAAAGAATCCAGGAATCATATAAATGACAGGACATCACACTTGCCCAACTATCAATGTGGCCCATCAAATGAGAGCCTAGGGAAGAACAGATTGAAGCAACACTTGAGGCTAAGGGAATAAGCCTTTTCCGGCTCCCAGATAGAAAAACCTCATTGTCACAGGAGCCGTTTGAGAATGAGAAAGGACTTAGATGATGATAAAGATAAAGAAGTGAAGGGCAGCCAGGCATGGTGGCTCTTGGCTGTAATCCCAAGCACTTTGGGAGGCTGAGGCGGGCGGATCACCTGAGGTCAGGAATTCAAGACCAGCCTAGCCAACATGACAAAACTCTGTCTCTACTAAAAATACCAAAATTATCCAGGTGTGGTGGCATGTGCCTGTAGTCCAGATACTCTGGAGGCTGAGACAGGAGAATCGCTTGAACCCAGGAGGCGGAGGTTGCAATGAGCCAAGACTGCACCACTGCACTCCAGCCTGGGTGACAGAGCAAGACTCCGTCTCAAATTAAAAAAAAAAAAAAAAAAGAAGTGAAGGTCCTGCTCCCAGAGACCTTCAGGATAGACTTACCCACTGTCCTCAACTCACCAGATCTGGAGACAGGCCTAAACCCCTCAGTGCGCGGACGCTGTTTTGGGTGGGTTTGGTTTTTTGTTCTCCGGTAGCACTGAGCTGAAAAAAAATGGGGTCCCGTCAGCACACTGGACACTAGCTCCTATGGATGATTAATGGTGCCCCACTTTCAAATGCAGGACACATAGAATATCATAGGAAAACTTATCAAAGTTGCTGTCCACATACTTATCTGGAAAGCCCACCTGTGGGACAAGGCTAACGTGGATATTACAGAAATTCTCTCTTTTCGCCTTAAACTGGAATTGTCTAAACGCCTCCACAAACGGCATTCCTTCGATGTCTCCAATGGTGCCTCCCAGCTGGGAATGGAAAACAAACAAAAAAAGACACAAATGACCACACATCTCCCACAGTACACAAGCTAATAAAAAGAGTTCTTAATAAACCGAGCATGAGAACTAAAGTTTGATGGTTACACAGAGGTTTATAAATACGTTCAAAATCACTAAATTGTGGCTGGGTATGGCGGCTCACACCTATGATCCCAGCGCTTTGGGAGGCCAAGGCAGGAGGATCACTTGAGCCCAGGAGGTCAAGGCTGCAGTGAGTCATGATCATCCCACTGCATTCCAGCCTAGATGACAGAGCGAGACCCTTTCTCTGAAAAAATATAAAAATAAAAAATAAAACTTCAAAAAAGATTTCTCCACGTGTATACTCTTCAGTAGCCCATTGCTTCATTAAAACTAACAATAAGGCCAGGCGCAGTGGCTCATGCTTGTAATCCCAGCACTTTGGGAGGCCGAGGCGGGCGGATCACAGGTCAGGAGATCGGGACCATCCTGGCCAACATGGTGAAACCCTGTCTCTACTAAAAATACAAAAATTAGCTGGACGTGGTGGGGCACACCTGTAGTCCCAGCTACTCGGGAGGCTGAGGCAGGAGAATCGCTTGAACCCAGGAGGCAGAGGTTGCAGTGAGTCGAGATCACACCGTTGCACTCCAGCCTGGGCGACAGAGCGAGACTCCATCTCAAAACAAAAACAAAAACAAAAAACTAGCATCAAATCTCCTTAATGCAGCCAACAAAAGGCTCTCAGGACCTGGCCCTTGCACTGAGTCTCCAATGCCATCTGGTCCCCTCCCCGCTGGCCTCTTGGGTACTCCATGCTCTTCCTTCCTGCTCCTTAAGCCCTCCTACCCTCCTTCTTCATCTACAGCAACCTCTTTATCCTCCAGTCCAAGAGAGATGCATCCTCCTTGGAGGGCGGACTCTGACCCTCCTTGGAGGGCAGACTCTGACCCCCCACCTAAAGCAGCCTATATCCCACTAGCCCTTGTCACAGCACTGTACCCATCCTAGGAATTCAGCACAAGTTGCCTCTATTTCATTTCCGTCTTTGTTTCCTGGCTCTCTACCCCACTAGACTGTAAGCCCCATGAGGGCATGAGCCCAGTACCCTGCATGCAGCACTGGAGGTTTAGTTTAGTAGTCGGGCCAGGACAGAAAGGTCCTGAAATTCAATATAAGCCCTAAGGAACAGTGTTCTAGTACCTGTTACCAAAATTACAGCAGAACCAAAGCCAGGGCTGGGTGCAGTGGCTCACACCTGTAATCCCAACACTTTGGGAGGCAGGTGTATCACTTGAGCACAGGAGTTTGAGACCAGCATGGGCAACAAAGTGAGACCTTGCCTCCACAAAAACATAAAAAATTAGCTGGGCATGGCGGCACGGCGCCTATGGTCCCAGCCACTCAGGAGGCTGAGGTGGGAGGATCGCTTGAGCCTGGAGAAGTCCAGGCTGCAGTGAGTCATGATCATACCACTGCACTCCAGCCTAGGGAACAGAGTAAGACACTGTCTCTTTAAAAAACAACAACAACAACAACAACAACTCAACGAAATGAAAACATCACATGCAATCAGGAACTTGGCAGGGGTGAAGTGAGTGTAAGTACCCACTAAATACAAGGCACCAAAATCTAATTTTTGAAAATCATTTATTTTTTCTAAGGAAAACCAGAGGTCTGCACTTAAACTAAACCGTGTGCTTCCATCTTGTGTTTTGATGGGGATTCTCTGGGGGGTCAATAATAGTGAATGCCAAAAGGAGGCCAACTTCAAACATTATCAGCTTCTGCCCTCACGTGGTCAGCAGCGGTACTACAGTCTCCCTGCTAATTCAGAAGTTCCCATTACCATACCTCTAGGTCACCCACATTATCGTGTTCAGAAACCTTCAATATTACTACTGGAATAGTTTGAAGTTAACTGTTGCCCCAGATAAAAGGGAAAATATCACCTATAACAATACTTTATGCTGAAATGGAAGCAGCAGCAAATTTATGAGATGTGCAAAGTTGTTTTTGCCTTTGTCTTTAATGAAAGTCTTTTTTCTTTTTCTTTTTTTATTTTTATTTATTTATTTATTTATTTTTGAGATGGAGTCTCGCTCTGTTGCCCAGGCTGGAGTGCAATGGCGCGATGTCGGCTCACTGCAAGCTCCGCCTCCTGGGTGCACGCCATTCTCCTGCCTCAGCCTCCTGAGTAGCTGGGACTATAGGCGCCCACCACCACGCCCGGCTAATTTTTTGTATTTTTAGTAGAGACGGGGTTTCACCGTGTTAGACAGGATGGCCTCGATCTCCTGACCTCGTGATCCACCCGCCTCAGCCTCCCAAAGTGCTGGGATTACAGGCGTGAGCCACCACACCCGGCCCTTTTTAAATTTTTTTTAAAGACAGAGTCTCGCTCTGCCACCCAGGCTGGAGTGCAGTAGTGAGATCATGGCTCACTGCGGCCTCAAACTCCTGGGTATAAATGATCCTCCTGCCTCAGCCTCCCAAGTAGCTGGGACTACAGACCTGCACCACCACACTTGGCTGAGTCTTCTTTTTTGGAAAATAAACAAGAAGAAAGAAAACTGTTATTCCTTTAAGACAAGCATAAATTATTTCAGGTTCATGCCAAGATAACTCGTACTAATATAAATAAAACCTGTCAGCTCCACTGGTATGAGAAGTTGAGGTCTCACTCATAAAAATGGCTTTGAAGACATTTCAACAGCTCCTCTATGATTAAAACTAAAAATCAGCTTTGGCAGTCCTTCTTCAAAAGCTTAAATGGTGCACAGACACAACTGTTGAACACAACTTACAATCAACCAAAGAGGATGGTTGACCACTAGTATCCAATAAGCAAATATAAACATCAGGGTTATAACGGAGAAGGGGTTCTGTTTGTCAGTTTCCCTGTTTCCATGAAATTTAAAATCCAGCCAATGAGCTCCTGGAGAGCAGGAGTCAGATCACACTCAACCTCACATCCTTAGCAGCTATCATCAGGGCTAGTACATATTAAGTGCTAAATTAATCATTGTGAAGACAAGTCAATTCAAGGGTAGAATAAGAAATAAAATTAAAAATTTGCCAGGCATAGTGGTGGTACACTGTAGTCCCAGCTACTTGGGAGGCTGAGGCAAGATGATTGGTTGAGCCCAGAAGTTTGAGGCTGCAGTGGGCTTTGATCGCACCTGTGGATAGCTACTGCACTCCAGCCCGAGGCAACATAGCGAGACCCTATCTATAAAAAATAAATAGCCAGTAACTTTATCAGTTCTACTATTAACAAAATGGATCTTCTACATATCATGATATCTGCTAACACTTACATTGATGACAATAATAATAGCTAACTTATGTTCACTGAGCACTTCCTAAATGCCAGACATTGCAAAGTGCTCTGATACATTGCATTTAATCCCCAATCCTGTTATTATCTTATTATTATAATATTATATTATTACATTATTACAAATGAGGACGTTGAAACTGTGAGAATTTTCCAAAAGTCATACAGGCATCTTAATAATAGCTAATAATTTTTAAGCACTTACTATATCTGTGACACCATTCTAAGCACTAAGTGTAGAGACTTATTTAATCTTCAAAACAATGAGTTACAAATGAGTTAAATGAGTTAAAGAGGCACAGAGAGGTTGAGCAAACTTGCCCAAGGTCACCCCCTCCTCCCCATAAGTGACCTTGCTAGGCTACAAACCCAGACAGTTTGCCTCCAGACTCTTAATCACTGAGCTATACGTGGCTCAGGGGTCACTGCAGAAATACAAACTGAGGCAGCCTGACTCTAAGAACCAAATTGGTCATTATTCTGCTCTTTCGCCCGGCAATTAAGCCAACTGACATTTAGAGGAGGAGGATATGGATGTTATTGTCATTCTGCACGTGGAGAGGAAGGGAACAAGGTGAAGGAAGTAAACAAGTGGCAAGTTCAAATACGACTTTTTTTTTTTTTTTTTTTTTTTTTTAAATTAAGACAGGGTCTGGCTCCATCACCCAGGCTGAAGTGCTGGTGCAATCACTGCTCTCTGCAGCCTCAACCTCCCGGGCTCAAAAGATCCTCCCATCTCACCTTCTCAAGTAGCTGGGACTACAGGTGCGTACCAACATGCCTAGCTAATCTTTGTAGTCTCTGTAGAGACGGGTTTTCGCCATGTTGCCCAGGCTGTCTCAAACTCATGGACTCAAGCAATCCTCCCACCCTGGCATCTGAAAATGCCGGAATTGCAGGCATGAGCCACCTCGCGCAGCCACTAGCTTCTTTCTTTAAACAGCTGATACTAATCACTTATCACCGCTACCATCTGACTTCCCTAACCCAGTGTCTCTTTACACTTCCAAAGCACTTCGGAAATACTTTTCAAATAGTATGCACTAGAATGCAGTCTGTTGTGTGTAGACAGGGTTGTCTGCAAGCTCCCCAAGGTCAGAGACTGTGCCCATCCCAGGCCCCGGCACAGAAGAGGCCCTCACATTGACTTTATCAGCAGCTGATCAGTCTCCACAAGCAGATCACTGCACGTCCACCCAGGAGTAGGTGTGATTGTCTGTCTAATGCCAATCTTGCCCACTCACTTGTGACCACAAAGACAGAAGCCATCTATGTTGTTTCTTGCTGTGACCCCACCTCCTAGCCCAGTGTCCAGCACTCAGGAGGGCGTGTGTAAGTATTTGTCAAATAAATGAAGATCAGATGCTCAAAGACCCAGCAGGATATAATTTTATAAAGAAAGTTCTATGCTTGCCTCAATAACGCATATTTGGGGCTCTTCCTTATTACCATCCACCGGCACCTTGGCTTGATTCATAACCCACTCCTGGACAGCATCAGTAATGTGAGGGACAACTGTAGAAAGAAGTATTAATACAAAAGTTTATTCCATGCTCATGAGAAAAGAATGTGCTTTAGGCCTCCCCAATCACCTGAAAGTCACCTGGCAAGTTACCCTGACATATTTTTGGAAAATGAAAAGAAAAAAACGCAACAATTTTAAAAGAATTAGAACTTGTAGAGCGCAGGGACTGTGACATTTTCAGTTCTACTTGGTTTTTTTGGCTTTGTTTTGTTTTTTTTTTTTAAGATGGAGTCTCACTCTGTCGCCCAGGCTGGAGTGCAGTGGCACGATCTCGGCTCACTGCAATCTCTGCCTCCTGGGTTCGAGCAATTCTCCTGCCTCAGCCTCCCGAATAGCTGGGATTACAGGCATGCGCCACCATGCCTGGCTAATTTTTGTATTTTTAGTAGAGATGGGGTTTCACCATGTTGGTCAGGCTGGTCTCGAACTCCTGACCTCAGGTGATCCACTGGCCTCAGCCTCCCAAAGTGCTGGGATTACAGGCCTGAGCCACCGTGCCCGGCCTTCAGTTCTACTTTTGAGCAGTACAAAGATATTCAGCACACAGGGCTCCATAATGTCTGTGGAATATAATACCTTGCACTGTTTTCCCCAGGTAATCACCACGCCTCTCTTTATTGATCACATGCTGATATATCTTCCCCGTGGTGATATTGTTGTCTTTATAAAGATTAATATCCAAAAATCTTTCATAATTTCCAAGGTCTAAATCAACTTCTCCACCATCATTTAAGACGAAGACTTCACCTAGGATTAAAAAGGCAATGGAAAAATCAAAACTTTGCTTCCAGTAGATTTTTCAAAGATGGACATATTTTTGTTAAAAAGCTGGTAAAAGATGTATTTGTAAGCCATATTCTATCACCATCTCCTTTTTGGTGGAGATATTAACAATTCAATTATATCCAAGAAAATGCATCAGAAAATTCTATTTATAATATTCTATTGTGGTTTTTTTTTAATCTACTGAAATTCTGTCTTCAAGATTTAGCTTTTCCAAACTCAACATATGCCACATAAAAAAGACATGAAAACAGAAATTTTAAAAACAAACAGCATTTTACTTCAAAGCATCAGTATCCTGGACTCTGGAACTGCGATAAGAAACTTTTACTTGATTCTCATCTTGATTAAAGCCATAATTAGACAGTAGATGACAAAGCAAGGCCACAGCTAACCCATAAGGCAACTTGGTGAAAGTGAGGGAAAAAGCCTGTGTGTGCCATAAGCTACGTGCACAATGCACTGTCATAAAAGACAGGTGCAGACTTCGTCACACGAGGAGCACCAACTTTAACTACTAGACACGTCTGTAGATCTCTATTGTCACTTCAGGGCATGGACTGAGAGTCGTATGTTTCTAAAGCCACCTTGTAAGAATTGAACCTTTCCCCTATTAAGGGAACTATCATTTATTCCTACTGTTAGATGTCCACAGGAAAAAAGGTTGATTAACTTACAAATTTAATCAGAAGCCTTTTATATCCTAATTTATTTATCCATTCTAAGGTACATAACTGTGGTCTAGAAAATTAATTTTAAGGAAAAAAGCAAATTGATATCACAATACTTTTTTTTTCAATTTTTTTTTTCAATGTTTTTTTTTGAGACAGAGTTTCGCTGTCAACCAGGCTGGAGTGCAGTGGCGTGATCTCAGCTCACTGCAACCTCCGCCTCCTGGATCCAAGCAATTCTCATGTCTCAGCTTCCCAAGTAGCTGGGATTACAGACATGTACTACCACGCCTGGCTAATCTTTGTATTACCATTATTATTATTATTATTATTTTGAGACAGGGTCTCACTCTATCGCCAGGCTGGAGTGCAGTGGTGCGATCTCGGCTCACTGCAACCTCTGACTCCCTGGTTCAAGCAATTCTCCTGCCTCAGCCTCCTGAGTAGCTGGGATTACAGGTGTGCACCACCACACCCAGCTAATTTTTTTGTATTTTTAGTACAGACAGGTTTTTACCATGTTGGCCAGGATGGTCTCCATCTCCTGACCTCGTGATCCACCTGCTTCAGCCTCCCAAAATGCTGCGATTACAGGCGTGAGCCACCGTGCCCGGCCTATTATTTTTTTAAATAGAGACAGAGTTTCGCCATGTTTGCCAGGCTGGGTAGGAGAATCGCTTGAACCTGGGAGGCGGAGGTTGCAGTGAGCCGAGGTCACACCACTGCACTCCAGCCTGGGCGACAGAGTGAGACTCTGTCTCAAAAAAAGAAAAAAAAAATCATTAAAAAAAAATCCAAAGAAAATTTGGTGTAACACATGGCATTAGTCAATGGTGCCACACAACAAACAACCCCAAAATCTCTGCAACTTACAAAACATTTATTTATTTCTCCCTCATGTTACATGGGGGCTATGAGTCACTTGTGAGTCTATTCTTTGTGTCTTCTCATTCCAGGACCCAGACTGAACGAGAAATCTCTGAAAACCAGGCTGTTCTCATGGTAGAGGGCAGAAGCACAAGACAGACTGAGCCAAACCACACAGATGCATTTGACATTTTCTGCTTCAACAAGGCATATGTTAATATTCCCTAACATCCCATAGGACAAAATAAATCACATGGCCAAATAGAGTGACCAACCTGCTTGGTTTGCCCAGGACTAAGAGGGCTCCCAGGACACAGGACTTTCTGTTTTAAAATCAGGAACATTCCAAACAAACCAGGACAAGTTAACTATCCTACGTGGCCAAACTCCAAGGTCAAAGGGCAGGGAAATGTACTCCACAGAGGGATGGTGGGTAACATTTTGAAGCAAAAATACAATCTACCACAGACTTGAATAAGTCATTCACAAACAAAATCAAAATCAAAGAACTCTAAATTAAAACAATAAGATACCCTCTTTTTGTTTGTTTTATTCTCAGGTTAGTAAAGTTTAAAACACGATATTCAAGGCCTGGTGCAGTGGCTCATGCCTGTTGCAGTGGCTCATGCCTGTAATACCACCACTTTGGGAGGCCGAGGTAGGAGGATTGCTTGAGCCCAGGAGGTCGAGACCAGCCTAAGTAACATGGCGAAATCCCAGCTCTATAAAAAAATTACATAAATTAGCCAGGTGTGGTGGTGCACACCTGTAATCCCAGCTACCCAGGGGACTGAAGCAGGAGGATCACTTGAGCACAGGAGGTGGAGGTTGCATTGAGCCGAGATCTTGGCCACTGCACTCCAGCCTGGGCGATAGAGTGAGACCCTGTCTCAAAAAACAAAAACAGGAAGACAGGATAGCAACAAGGGACACAAACATTTTTTTTTTTTTTGAGATGGAGTCTCACTCTGTCACCCAGGCTGGAGTGCAGTGGCGCAATCTCGGCTCACTGCAAGTTCGCCTCCTGGGTTCACGCCATTCTCCCACCTTAGCCTCCCGAGTAGCTGGGACTACAGGCGCTCGCCACCGCGCCCGGCTAATTTTTGTATTTTTAGTAGAGACGGGGTTTCACCGTGTTAGCCAGGACGGTCTCGATCTCCTGACCTCGTGATCCGCCCGCCTCAGCCTCCCAAAGTGCTAGGATTACAGGCGTGAGCCACCACGCCCGGCAGGACATGAACATTTCTGTTTCTTGATCAGGGGCTGGTTACACAGTGTGTTCATTTAATGAAAATTCATCCAACTGTACACTTATGATTTATGCACTTTTTTGCTTGTATATAAAAAGGTTTTTTTGGGGGTTGGTTTTTTGTTGTTTTTGTTTGTTTGTTTGTTTGTTTGTTTTGAGACAGAGTCTCGCTCTGTCGCCCAGGCTGGAGTGCAATGGCTCGATCTTGGCTCACTGCAACCTCCGCCTGCCAGGTTCAAGTGATTCTCCTGTCTCAGCCTCCTGAGTAGATGGGACTACAGACACGTGCCACCACGCCCAGCTAATGTTTTGTATTTTTAGTAGAGACAGGGTTTCACTGTGTTAGCCAGGATGGTCTCGATCTTCTGACCTCGTGATCCACCTGCCTCGGCCTCCCAAAGTGCTGGGATTACAGGCATGAGCCACCGCACTGGGCCTTATAAAAAGTTTTTTAAAAATAGCATGTAAGGGCTAATGCCATTTTAAAAATAAATCAAATATACTCATACATCAAAATGTCACCATTAATAATAGTTACTCCAGGCAGTGGGAAATGTTAAGAGAAACACACTACCTTTATGTTAAAAATAAAACAGAATCTGTAGTGCAAAAGATACAATGTTTCCAAAAGGGATGATTAATTTGGAATGTCATCAGAGGTATGAACAATGTATCAATGACCATGAGAAAATTCACATATTCATAGCATACGATCTAGTCACTCTAAATCTGGAACTACATCCTAAAGAAATTACCCAAAATGGAAGAAAGAATGCAGTTGAGCCTAGTGCTATAAGGGGGAAGTGGTTCACTTTCGTACCGTGTTCATAAGGTGAAAAAGTGCCAGCATCGATGTTAATATAGGGGTCGATTTTTATGGCAGTAACTCGGAGTCCACATGATTTTAGAATCGTTCCAATGCTGCTGGCAATGATCCCTTTACCAATGCCTGAGATGACCCCACCCGTGACCAGGATGTACTTCATTGGCAGAATAGTGGCTGGGTGCCAACACCCAGATATAATCTGAAAGGCAATAAAATTATGGATAAGGAAAGAGAAATATTTAAAACTAGTAAAGCAGACAGTGTATTCAACCAGAATTAATTTTTTTTTTTTTTTTTTTTAGACATAGTCTTACTGTCACCCAGGCTGGAATGCAGTGAGTGGTGCAATCATGGCTCACTGTAACCTCTGCTCGCTGGGTTCAAGCGATCCTCCCACCTCAGCATCCTAGTAACTGGGACTATAGGTGAGCACCACCACGCCCTGCTAATTTTTGTGGGTTTTTTGTAGAGACGGAGTTTCACCATGTTGCCCACGCTGGTCTCCAACTCCTGAGCTCAAGCAATCCACCTGCCTCAGCCTCCCAAAGTGCTGGGATAACAGGCATGAGCCACCGCACCTAGCTCAGAATTTTTTTTTTTTTTTAAGAGACAGTGTCTCCCTATGTCACCCAGGCTGGAGTGCAGTGGCATGTTCATAGCTCACTGCAACCTTGAACTTCTGGGCTCAAGCAATCCTCTTGCCTCAGGCTCCAGAGTGGCTGGGACTACAGGCACGTGCCACGTCTCCCAGCTAATTCTTAAAACATTTTTGTAAAGACAGGTTCTTACTATGATGCCCTGGCTGGTCTCAAACTCCTGGGCTCAAGCAATCCTCTTGCCTTGGCCTCCCAAGATGCTGATTACAAAAGTGAGCCACCATGCTTCGTCTCACCAAAATTTCAAAAGCACACAGCAGTTTTCTGTCCAAACTAAATACTTGAATTTTTTGAAACAAAGTCTTATCTTCTAGGCTTTTTATTGTTGTCACTATACAGAAAGCTGTAGATACCTTCTGCAAGCAAAGTGCCTAGGTCTGTTGCCCTGGGTTTCCAAAGACCTCAACTCTATCATGCAACAAACTTCATCATGATAAACCAAATTTCTCTAGGATTCACAGGCATGCTAAAATGTTTAAGAGCTCAGACTCCAGTGTCAGACTGATCTGTACAAACTGTACCTGGGCAAGTTCTTTTTTTTTTTTTTTTCTTTTTTTTTAGACAGGGTCTCACTCTGTTGCCCAGGCTGGAGTATAGTGACACAATCTCGGCTCATTGCAACCTCCACCTCCCCGGTCCAAATGATTCTCATGCCTCAGCCTCCCAAGTAGCTGGGATTACGGGCATGCACCACCATGCTGGGCTAAGTTTTGTATTTTTAGTAGAGATGGGATTTCACCATGTTGGCCAGGCTGGTCTCGAACTCCTGGTCTCAAGTGACCACCCACCTCGGCCTCCCCAAGTGCTGGGATCACAGGCGTGAGCTACCACGCCCGGCCTTGGGCAAGTTATTTATCCTTTCTGTGCCTATTCCTTCATCTGTAAAGTGGAAAATATACAACAATCTCTAGGAATATAATTTGGTGTTAAAAAAAAATGGGCTACCAAGCCATGAAAAAACATGGAGGAATCTCAAGTGCATATTACCAAGTGAAAGAAGCCAATCTGAAAAACATACATACTGTATGACTTCAACTATATGACATTTTAGAAAAAGCAAAACTAGAGAGATAGTAAAAAGATCAGTGGTTGTCAGCGGGTAGGAGGGAGAGAGGGATGAATAGTCACAATACAAAGGAATTTTAGGGCAGTGAAACTATTCTGTATAATACTGTAATGATGGATACATGTCATTACACATTTATCCAAACCCACAGAATGGACAACAGGAAGAGCGAACCCTGATGTAAATAAACTACAGACTTTCCGCCGGGCACGGTGGCTCACACCTGTAATCCCAGCACTTTGGGAGGCTGAGGCGGGCAGATCACCTGAGGTCGGGAGGTCAAGACCAGCCTGACCAACATGGAGAAACCCCGTCTCTACTAAAAATACAAAATTAGCCAGGTGTGGTGGTGCATGCCTGTAATCTCAGCTACTCCGAAGGCTGAGGAAGAGAGAATCGCTTGAACCTGGGAGGCAGAGGTTGCAGTGAGCCGAGATCAGGCCATTGCACTCCAGCCTGGGCAATGAGAGCGAAACTCCGTCTCAAAAAAACAAAACAAAAACCTATGATCTTTAGGCAAAAATGATGCGTCAATGTAGGTTCACTGATTATAACAAATGTACCACTCTGCAGGTGCAGGATGTTAATAGTCAGGGAGGCTGGGCATAGCAGTGGGGGAGAGGGTGTATGGGAACTCTGTACTTTCCACTGAGTTTTGCTGTGAGCCTAAAATTACTCTAAAAAAAAAAGTCTTGCCAGGTGCAGTGGCTCACTGCACTCCAGCCTGGGCAACAGAGCGAGACTCTGTCTCAAAAAAATAAAAAATAAAAACTGTTTTTAAATAAGCAATATTAAAATAATTACAACTCATCTAGCTCACAGATGCTGACTGACTGAGTCCTGTTACACCAGTCAAAACTACAGCTTTTATTGGACAAGAGACTGATTTGAGTAACTTTCTCCTGATAAGACCACCAACCATGGACTGGCTCTGGCCAGTTTACAGAGGCTGTGGACTTGCGTGCCTTCATGTCCTGGAAAGATCTTTTGATGCATAGGGCTTAACTGAAATTCATTTAAATGTTAAGTCTCCATCCCCAAAGTGAACAGGGGTCATATGCTATTTTCATGTTTATTCAATACACATGAGTCAGGACCACCTTCATGAATATTCATAGCTCCTCCTGTAACCTGTTGAATATGTATATTTAGCCAACCCATTCAGCATAAAACTGAACCCTCCTTCAGAGTGCCTGCCTCTGGTTTTGGGAGGCCAAGGTAGGAGGGTCACTTGAGGCCAGAAGTTTGAGAACAGCCTGGGCAACATAGCGAGACCCTGTCTCTTTAAAACGTGTGCTTCCCAGCCTGTGGGATGGCCCCTTTGCAGGCTGTTACAGCCTGCAAAGAAATAAAGTAAACCAGGCGTGGTGGCTCACCCCTGTAATCCCAGCACTTTGGGAGGCCGAGGCAGGTGGATCACGAGGTCAGGAGTTAGAGACCAGCCTCACCAACATGGTGAAACCCTGTCTCTACTAAAAATACAAAAATTAGCTGGGTGTGGTGGTGCACACCTGTAATCCTGGCTACTAGGGAGGCTGAGGCAGGAGAATGGCTTGAACCCAGGAGGCGGAAGTTGCAGTGAGCCGAGATTGTGCCACTGCACTCCAGCCTGGGTGACAGAGCAAGACTCTGCCTCAAAAAAAAAAAAAGAAAGAAAGAAAAGAAAAGAAATAAAGTCACCAGGCACAGTGGCTCACGCCTATAATCCCAGCACTTTGGGCAGCCAATGCAGGCAGATCACTTAAGATCAGGAGTTCGAGACCAGCCTGGCCAACATGGTGAAACCCTGTCTCTACTAAAAATAAAAAATTAGCCAGGTGTGGTGGCAGGCACCTGTAATCCCAGCTACTTGCGGGGCTGAAGCACGAGAATCACTTGAACCTGGGAGGCAGAGGTTGCAGTGAGCCCAGATCGTGCCACTGCACTCCGGTCTGGGCAACAGAGTGAGACTCCGACTCGAAAGGTAAGAAAAATTTTGGCCAGGTGCAATGGCTCATGCCTGTAATCCCAGCACTTTGGAAGGCTGAGGCAGGCGGAACACCTGAGGTCAGGAGTTTGAGACCAGCCTGGCCAACATGATGAAACCCTGTCTCTACTAAAAAATACAAAAGTTAGGCTGGGCATAGTGGCTCACACCTGTAATCCCAGCACTTTGGGAGGCCAAGGCGGGTGGATCACCTGAGGTCAGCAGTTTAAGACCAGCCTGGCGAACATGGTGAAATCCCATCTCTACTAAAAATACAAAAATTAGCCGGGCGTGGTTGTGGGCACTTGTAATCCCAGGTACTCAGGAGGCTCAGGCAGGATAATTGCTTGAACCTGGGTGGAGGAGGTTGCAGTGAGCTGAGATCGCACCATTGCACTCCAGTCTGGGTGACAAGAGCGAAACTCTGTCTCAAAAAAAAAACAAACAAACAAACAAACAAAAATTAGCCGAGCATGGTAGTATGCGCCTGTAATCCCAGCTACTCGGGAGGCTGAGGCAGGAGAATCACTTGAACCTGGGAGGCGGAGGTTGCAGTGAGCTGAGATCACGCCACTGCACTCCAGCCTGGGCAACAGAGTGAGACTCTGTCTCAAAAAAAAAAAAAGAAAAGAAAATGTTTTAAAAAAGAAAGTCTCCTTTCTAAATTTATAGATCTTGTGATTTTTAAGTTGACAGTCATAAGGAAAATTTATTTGACTTTTCTGCTGCTTTCTGATTCAAACCCTTTTGTTTTATAGGAAGCCCAATAACTTGATTTTCTTTACTTTGAGTACTATTGTTTTTCCCTTGAGTGTGTACAGGGGCCTTCTGCTCTTGTAATTTCACCATGTATGTGAAAGTAGACCATAAACAGTATTATTTGTGTACTCATGGCAGGCAAATGGGCAACTGAGTAAGACCACAATATAAAATTACAGTTACAGAAAAAGAAAAATAATGCCAGGCATGGTGGCTCACATCTGTAATCCCAACACTTTGGAAGGCTGAGGTGGGAGGATCTCTTGAGGTCAGAAGTTCGACACCAACCTGGTCAACATAGTGAGACTCCCTCTCTACAAAAGAAAAATAAAACATTAGCCAGGTGTGGTGGCACACACCTGTAGTCCCAGCTACTGGGGAGGCTGAGGCAGGAGGATTGCTTGAGCCCAGGAGGTCAAGGCTGCAGTTAGCCAAGTGATTGTGCCACTGCACTCCAGCCTGGGTGACAAAGCAAGATCCTGTCTCAAAAATAAAAAGAGAGACCAGGTGCGGTGGCTCATGCCTGTAATCTCAGCACTTTGGGAGGCCAAGGCGGGCGGATCACCTGAGGTCAGGAGTTCAAGACCATCCTGGTCAGCGTGGCGAAACAATGTCTCTACTAAAAATATAAAAAGTAGCCGGGCGTGGTGGCGTGTGCCTGTGGTCCCAGCTACATGAGCTGCATGGGAGGCTGAGGCAGGAGAATCACTTGAAGCCGGGAGGCGGAGGTTGCAGTGAGCTGAGATCACACCACTGCATTCCAGCCTGGACAATAGGGTGAGACTCGGTACCAAAAAAGAAAAAATAAAAAGAGAGAGAGAGAGAGACAGTAACTAACAAAAGGTAATAACTATAAATTTCACTTTCATTTGTAATTTCACAATTTTTTTACATACTTGGAAATTCAGCACAAATGCATTCGGGTAGGAACAATTTCAGTTACCCACTTCTTATTTGTCCTCCTCAAAGGAATGCCCATTCTGATTTTGTGGTTTCCTCTGCTTACCTTTCAAAACAAACTATCTTAACTAAAGTTATCACACGTCAGAGCTGTGAATTCCATTTGAACTAGCTGACCATGGTCAGGCTGAGTAAACTGAAGCTATTCAAAATATACATGTTCCATCCCAGATGGCCTCCCTAAGTCCCTGGGCCTACCTTTCTCTACACAACACAGTTGATCACATTCAATGCCATCGCACATCTTCACTAGTCACCAGGGCACCCACCTATCTGACCTATGTTTATAGCTTAAAACATTGTCAATCCAAACCCAGAGCCAAGATCACACCATTGCACTCCAGTCTGGACAACAGAGTGAGACTCCGTCTGAAATAAATAAATAAATAAATTATATATATACATATATTACATATATAATGTTTATTTGAACATCTATTACATGCTTGACATATTTCCAAGTCCTAGGAATATGGAGATAAACAAAAAGACAAGGTCTATGTTCCACTGGACTTCACCTTTCCTGCAGGATTAAGGGGCAAATAAACTGTGCTTTAATTATACCTTATTCTGGCACTGTTATACTGTTCAAATGACTCTCTTTGTAAAAGTTACCGAAATGGAAAAATGCCGTAGAGGTATGGTGAAGAAAACTGGCATACATTCGTACAAGTCACATTATGCCTAATAAATTTTTGTATAAGAAAATGCTTCTTTGGGAGGCTGAGGCAGGCGGATCACCTGAGGTCAGGAGTTCGAGACCAGCCTGGCCAACATGGTGAAACCCTGTCTCTACTAAAAATACAAAAATTAGCCAGGCGTGGTGGCAGGCGCCTGTAATCCCAGCTACTTGGGAGGCTGAGGCAGGAGAATCGCTTGAACCCGGGAGGCAGAGGTTGTAGTGAACCCAGATAGCACCATTGCACTCCAGCCTGGGGGACAAGAGCGAGACTTCGTCTCAAAAAAAAAAGTTAAAAAAAAAGAAAATGCTTATGTGGCCGGGCACGGTGGCTCACGCCTGTAATCCCAGCACTTTGGGAGGCCAAGACGGGCGGATTGCCTGAGCTCAGGAGTTCGAGACCAGCCTGGGCAACATGGGGAAACCCCATCTCTACTAAAATACAAAAAATCAGCCAGGTGTGGTGGCGTGCACCTGTAATCCCGGCTACTCAGGAGGCTGAGGCACGAGAATTGCTTGAACCTGGGAGGTGGAGGTTGCAGTGAGCCAAGATTGTGCCAGTGCCCTCCAACCTGGGCAACAAAGTAAAACCGTGTCTCAAAAAAAAAAAAAAAGGAAGAAAGAAAATGCTTATGTTACCTGAAAAAGAGAGCAGACTATAAAATTGAATATATTATTGACTATGTTTTTTTAAACTAAGATCTAAATTTTATTTGTCACCACTAAGATTTCCATCTTATGGCCGGGTGCAATGGCTCACGCCTGTAATCCCAACACTTTGGGAGGCCAAGGCGGGCGGATCACAAGGTCAAGAAATCAAGACCATCCTGGCCAACATGGTTAAACCTTGTCTCTACTAAAAATACAAAAATTAGCCAGGCGTGGTGGCACCCACCTGTAGTCTCAGGTACTCGGGAGGCTGAGGCAGGAGAATCACTTGAACCCAGGAGGTGAAGGTTGCAATGAGCCAAGATCGTGCCATTGCACTCTACCCTGGTGACAGAGTGAGACTCTGTCTCCAAAAAAAAAAAAAAAAAAAAAAAAACAGATTTCTATCTTAATTTGGTCAAAGATACACCATGTTATGTCTTAATATATTTAGGTGATTAGGTTGTATGTGTTGGGGCTCAGAAAACAAAACCCAAAAATGAAGGCCTCAGAAGCAAAGTTTCTCTCTGACCTTCTCCTGCCCTCCTGTCTCTCACCCCTCATACTCCCCCAAGGCAAGTCATAGAAACTAGAACCCTTTTCCCCCCAAAGCCAGCCATAAAGCCAAAAAATATGACTCTAACCTTCCTCTCAACCACCTTTCTATACAACAGCTGGCCATAAAGAAATTAAGACCCTCATTCCAAAGAGGTCCTACCCCATACTGGGGAGGAAGAAACGCTACAACAGAGAGGCCAAGAAGAATGTGGACAGGCTTTGCTGGGTTTCCCCACTCAGTCTATTTCCATTAGCTCATCTGTCCCTGCTTCATGGACTCCAAGCATAAAATCAGATCATTTCCCTTGCATCTTTAAGGGGTTTTCATTTCTGAAGGCTCCCATGTCACATAAACCTATGATTCAATAAATTATTATGCTTCTCTCTTGTTAATCTGTCTCTTGTTTAAGGCTGTCAGCCGTGACCCTTATGATATCAGCTCTTTCCTCCCCTACATAAGCAATTGCTCATTTTCTGTTTTTTCAAAAACACAAGATACCTTTTTAAAGCACCTTGGATATTTTAGAGACCTTTTGTAAAAATGCAACTTAATACCAAGGGGACACCTAATTCTTCCTACTTTGTTGTTGTTGTTGTTGTTTTGAGTTGGAGTCGCGCTCTGTCACCAGGCTGGAGTGCAATGACACGATCTGGGCTCACTGCAACCTCCGCCTCCCGGGTTCAAGCAATTCTCCTGCCTCAGCCTCCCAAGTAGCTGGGACTACAGGTGCATGCCACCATTCCCAGCTAATTTTTGTATCTTTAGTAGAGACAGGGTTTCACCATGTTGTCCAGGATGGTCTTGATCTCTTGACCTCGTGATCCGCCCACCTCGGCCTCCCAAAGTGCTGGGATTACAGGCATGAGCCACCATGCCCGGCCCTCTACTTCTTTTAAGCACACAAGTAAGTTTAACAAAGTTTCAAAGGTTCAGGGAAAGGCTGGCCCTGTTTTAGATCACTTCCTCCATTGAGGATTGTTTCTGGTGTCAAGACAAGTTTTTCATTTACTCTTACATGCAGTGAGCAGAACCAAGTGTTTATAGGATAGCACAGTGTAGAGCTGTGCTGTCTCCACTACCTAATAAAAAATATTACACAGCCAGGTACGTAATTTTAAGTTTCTAGTAGCCATATTAAAAAAGTAAAAAGAATCAAATGAAGTTCATGTTAATATATGTTATTTAACCCAATGTAGCCAAAAATGTTATCACTTTTAACGCACAATGTAAGAATGTATTAGTGAGATATTTGACATCTTTTTTGTGTACTAAGCTTTCAGAAATCAGGTGCCTGTACTCAGAGCACATCTCAGTACGGATTTTGCCACATTTCCAGTATTCAATAACCACATGTGACCAGTGGCTCCCACATTAGACCAGGCAGGCCTAGAGCAAATAAAAGCACCGGAAGCACCCAGAGACACCTTCTCAGTGATGGCCATTTAAAAAGTAATGTTAGACACAAAAGAGTACTTACCTGATGATCTTGTTCTATGAAGTTCTAGAACAGTCAAAGCTAAGCTATGATAACAATCAGAACCGGGGTTGAGTGCGGGGCCTGGGGTGGATTGACAGAAAGGAGGTACCAGGGAACTTTGCAGGGTGAAGGAAATGGTCAATGTTCACTTTGGGATAATGGTTACAGGAGTGTATAATTTGTCAAATCCCGTCGATTTGCACACTGAAAATGGGACATTTTGTTGTATATAAACCATACATACAATTCTTTTTTATGTTGCCCCCAAAAAAGCTATTCTGTAGCAGCAGCGTAGTTCGGCACTATGCGCCCTAACCATCTAGTACGGGGAAAACGCGGGGGTCGTTGTTTAAGGGGTGCACTGGGACCGGGGAGAGGACAGAAAGGCCATGTTACCGGCGCTGATCACCAGCCTCGCAGACCCCCGCTCGGGGCTTCACTTCCGCCAACGCCATCTCAGGGCTCTCCTGGCTCCCGAGGGCCGGGAGAAGTGGGGATCCGGGTGCGGGCGCTGGCGCGGGCGGAGGCGGGAAGAAGCGCGTCCCGGGGACGCGCGGGACAGGCTCCAACCGCACTGGGCACGGGCCAGCGTTCCCCAGTCCCCGCGCCACACCCGGCAGCCGAGGTCTGCGAGCGCGGGGCTGGCGGCCGGACCCGACTCAGCGCTGGGCAGGGAGCCGGCGCCATCAGAGAGCGGACAAAGGAGCCCGGCCCCACAAGTGCACCGGGGCTGGGGGTGCAGGGCGGAGAGGCCCTGGGGACGAGGGATGGCCCGGGCGCCGAGGCCCTGGGGGTCTGGGACAGGCCCAGAAGGGAAGTTACCTGCGCGGTGGTGGTAGCACCGGGGAGGGTGGCCGGTGGGCACGGCGGGCTCCACCCCGCGGCTGGCCTGGCGCTCACCTGTCGGGCTGGGGAAGGGGTCGCTGCCGGGGCTGTCCAAAGCCGCCCCCGGGATCTTCCCACCGCCCACACGGGCCTCGGGGTGCGCGGCGCCCTCCTCGCCCACCTTCCCCTCTCCTCCCTGCTGCTGGCCCAGCTCACTCACGCTGGTGAGCTTGGGGTTTGCACCCGGGTTTGTGCAATGGTCCAAAACAAGCGCCTAAAAAGTGATTCCTCCAGCACAGGCAGCTCCCGTCACCCTCCGCTCTGGACGCACTGGGCCCCAGGCCTCGCCCAGCCCGGGGACCGCTCCTCCCTCCCGTGGCTCACTTTGCAAAGGCACTTCGAGTGCGCGGGTGAACTCCACGCTTCCCGGGGAACCCCGGCTTCCTGGCAAGCCGAGACCCTCGCTCGGGTCCTCCCGTGCAGATCTCACCCTTGTAAAGAACTTCACTGGTCACAAACGCTTGTGGATCCCCTACTACGCCCCAGGAACTGCAGGAGCGCTCAGGAGAGAAGGAAAAGGAAAGAGAATGCCTGCCTTTGAGGAGCTAGCTCACAGTCTGGTGGGAGGTCCACCCGTCTGTTGGAACCAGTAAGGTTCCCTAGAACAATACTTCTGCAGCAAAGAGTTGCGGGGGTGCAGTGAGGGGAGGAAGGCAATTAAGGCTTCCAAGAGTGACTTTTTTTTTTTTTTTTTTTTTGAGACGGAGTTTCGTTCGCCCTTTTTGCCCAGGCTGGAGTGCAATGGCGCGATCTGGGCTCACTGCAACCTCCGCCTCCCGGGTTCAAGCGATTGTCCCTGCCTCAGCCCCCGGAGTAGCTGGGATTACAGGCGGATGCCAAAAAGCTCGGCTAATTTTGCATT
Source organism: Homo sapiens (assembly GCF_000001405.40). Lineage (NCBI taxonomy): Eukaryota > Metazoa > Chordata > Mammalia > Primates > Hominidae > Homo > Homo sapiens. Next base: position 16,713,260 of record NC_000023.11, read on the forward strand.
TTTAACAGAAACGGGGTTACATCACGTTGGCCAGGCTGGTCTCGAACTCCCGACCTCAGCTGATCCTCCTGCCTTGCCTCCCAAAATGCTGGGATTACAGGCTTGAGCCACTGCACCCCGCCCAAATACTCTAAAAAGTCACTCTTCGGGTGACTCACGCCTGTAATCCCAGCACTTTGGGAGGCCAAGGCAGGCGGATCACCTGAGGTCGGGAGTTCGAGACCAGCCTGGCCAACGTGGTGTAACCCTGTCTCTACTAAAAATGCAAAATTAGCCAGGTGTGGTGGCACCTGCCTGTAATCCCACCTACTCCGAAGGCTGAGGCAGAGAGAATCGCTTGAACCTGGGAGGCAGAGGTTGCAGTGAGCCGAGATCAGGCCACTGCACTCCAGCCTGGGTGACAGAGGAGACTTTGTCTCAAAAAAAAAAAAAAAAAAGAGTATTGGAGGATGATTGGTGCTGGGAACGGATACAGGAGGTTTTTCGGGTGAAGGCAAGAAGCCAACCACTGAAGGAAGCTAACATGGACAACAGAAGGGTCTGAAGTGAGATGGAAGGTTTTAGGAAAGTGGTGGAAATTTCGCATAACCAGTGTGAGATGCTAGAGCGACAAGTTAGACAAGAGTCACTGAAGACCTAGTGGAGTTTAGAAACCATCATCGTGTAGTGGTGTCCAGCTATAATCTGCTATAATCTGGCAAGGTATCTACAGAAATATAGCTCTTAGTTATGAAACCCAAGTTTCCTGCTTGCATAGAATAGAAGGACAAGAGGGTGAGGAGGTGGAGGGCACAGAAAGACTGCGATTGCAGTGATGGGCCAGAGCTCTAGTCCTAGAGGACAGGAACTGTTAATAAAACCAGCGGGGAGCTGATGGACTGGGAGACAGATGAGAGAAGGGCTCCAAGGCCAGGGCCTCTGAGGAGAGGACTGGCAAACTGGCAGCAGAGAGTGTGGTGCTGGAGTTCAGGCCTTCAAATGGATATTCCAGGAAATGAGACAGTTTGGGGTGTGGCAGCTACAATGGAATAGAAAAGTGAGATGGGCATCACTGGCCTTGGGTTTAGTGCCCACAAGGCTGGTATGTTGGACATCGAGGGTCCCAAAAGGATGGCAGGAGGTGGAGGAGTCAATCGAGGTCAAGGAACTTTAGAGAATTGGGGTTGCGGGGTGGGTAGTGAGCCTGAAACTAATAGATGACTGTGACAAGGAAAGGGAGAAGGTTGCAGAACAAATGTCAGTGCCTTTCAAGACACAATGGAGGCCTGGCGCCATGGCACACCCCTGTAATCCCAGCACTTTGAGAGGCTGAGGCAGGCAGATAGTTTGAGTCCAGGAGTTGGTGACTTACCTGGACAACATGGCAAAATCCTGTCTCTACAAAAAATACAAAAATTATCACGTGTGCTGGCATGCATCCCAGGGGAGGCTGAAGCAGGAAGGTCGCCTGAGCCCAGGAGGTCAAGGCTGCAATGAGCTATGACCGTGCCACTGCACTCCAGCCTGGACGACAGACTGAGACCTTGTCTCAAAAAAAAAATCAATTAATTAATTTAAAAAAATAAACACGACCAGGCATGGTGGCTCACCCCTGTAATCCCAGCACTTTGGGAGGCCGAGGTGGGTGGATCACGAGATCAGGAGATCGAGACCATCCTGGTTAACACGGTGAAACCCCGTCTCTGCTAAAAATACAAAAAATTAGCCGGCCGCGGTGGCGGGTGCCTGTAGTCCCAGCTACTCAGGAGGCTGAAGCAGGAGAATCTCTTGAACCCGGGAGGTGGAGGTTGCAGTGAGCCCAGATCGCGCCATTGCACTCCAGCCTGGGCGACAAGAGCGAAACTCCATCTCAAAAAATAAAATAAAATAAACACAATGGAGTTTCTCCCCACCAAGGATGAAAGAACAGTGTTGTGGAGGAAGCAGTAAGGAACTTGGAACAATGATGTCAATTTCTGGGAAAATAAGCAGACGCTTCACTCAGCAGGGTAGCCTTGGGGGAGATCCAGGTCTCCATGGGTGTTGGGGGGTCCAGGGGAGGGACAAGGAACCACCTTGTCAAAAGGCTAGAGGCATAAACAAGTCTTCCAGAGGGCTCAGGGGAAAGAATGTTTGTGAAATGGGTTGGTATGGGTGCTAATACTTAATACCTGCCGCATATGTAAGGTTTCCTTCCACAGTTCCGTCTTTCATTATCTTTTTAGAACCAGGACAGTTGTTATGATCCCCTTTTTAGAATGAGGGACCTGAGGTTCAGAGATGTGAAATGTCTTGACCAAGGGTACGTTAGTTAATATGAGTGGCAAAGCCAGGACATCAATGCACAGCCAGACTCCACCACAGGATGTGAGGCCTGATCCAATTGTCCTATTCTATTCATCCATGAGGCTAATGGATAAAAGATAATCTGTATATACAAAGGGCTCATTATAATAACTATTGTATTATTAATCTCAAATGGGAAAAATAATGAGCTGGAAAACAAATTTGATAACAGGGTGTGGATTGACTGAATTGTGTGGGATAAGGATGTATCCTCATTCAACAAGTGTCAGTTCATGGCCCACCACCAGCATAACATCTTGCTGAATCCGCACAAGATGATTTTTTTTTTTTTTTTTTGAGGTGGGGATTCATTCTTGTCGCCCAGGCTGGAGTGCAATGGCATGATCCCAGCTCACTGCAACCTCCACCTCCCGGGTTCAAGTGATTCTCCTGCCTCAGCCTCCTGAGTAGCTGGGATTACAGGCGCCCACCACCACGCCCGACTAATTTTTGTATTTTTAGTAGAGACAGGGTTTTACCATGTTGGCCAGGCTGGTCTCGAACTCCTGACCTCAGGTGATCCACCTGCCTCGGCCTCTCAAAGTTCTGGGATTACAGGCATGAGCCACCGTGCCTGGCCAGATGATTTTTTTAAAATGAAAATGAAGCCCATCATTAAGTTGATTGCTTATGTTCTTGTTTTGTAATCTTTTTTTTTTTTCTTTTTTTCAGTCGGGGTCTCGCTCTATCACCCAGGCTGGAGTGCAGTGGCACGATCACAGCTCACTGCAGCCTCCAGCTCCCAGGCTCAAGCAATCCCCCTGCCTCAGCCTCCTGAGTAGCTGAGACGACAGGTGCAAGCCACTACACCCAGCTCATTTTTTATTTTTTGTATAGACAGGGTCTCGTTATGTTGCCCAGGCTGGTCTCAAACTTCTAGACTCAAGCAATCCTCCCACCTCGGCCTCACAAAGTGCTGGGATTACAGGCATGAGCCACTGTGCCCAGCCTAATCTCTTATTTTTAAGAATTCTACCTTTCAGAAGAGTTGTAAAACTGTCTATCCCTTGGTGACCACAGTGTTCACCACGATTTTGAGTGTACCTTAAGATAAAGCAGAGTAAGGCTGAAAGGGCTGGGCCCTATCTCTGCTGTGGGAAGGACCAGCACTATACTTCTTTTGCAAGTGAGGGAACTTGAGGGGCAAAAGGATGAGTAAAACGTCAAGTTTAGGCCGGGTGCGGTGGCTCACTCCTGTAATCCCAGCACTTTGGGAGGCCAAGGTGGGTGGATCACCTGAGATCAGGAGTTCGAGACCAGCCTGGCCAACATGGTGAAACCCCGTCTCTACTAAAAATACAAAATTAGCCAGGTGTGGTGGCAGGTGCCTGTAATTCCAGCTATTTGGGAGGCTGAGGCAGGAGAATTGCTTGAACCCAGGAGGCAGAGGATACAGTGAGTCGAGATTGTGCCACTGCACTTCAGCCTGGGCAAGACAGAGTGAGACTCCGTCTAAAAAAAAAAAAAAAGTCAAGTTTATTCACCTACTAGATGGTGGAATTAGAAGCCCATCCTAGGCTTCTCACTCAAATTCCAGGCTCTGTTCAATCATACTTGAAGCAAATATCCTATTCCCGAAAGTCTCAACCACTTTCAGGTTCTCATTGACTTAATAAAGCCTAGAAAGGCATTGATCCTAAGACATCTCCTGACTTCAAAGCTGAATCAATACTTGGACTCTAAAAACAGGCTGGAATGTCATCAATGCCACTGAACTGTACACTAAAAAAAATTTATTTTTACTTCAATTTAAAATATTAATAGTGTAATACACCAAAAATATATACCATTGAATTGTACACTTTAAACAGGTGAATTGTTTAAATCTCAGCTGTTTGGGGGAAAGAAAAAAACAGGTTGGGCTTGATAACCTAAAATCCTGGACCTGAATAAAATATAAATATAAGTCAGGCTGGAAAACTGGACAGCAGGGAAATCAGAGTTGTAATCAATTCCTCATGTATTCCCTCAGGTCACCGGAACTGTCCTCCTCTTCTCAAAATAGTTGGGGAGCAAGGAATCATGGATGTCCTTCCACAATTAATGACTGAAGACTGTGCTTGGGAAATGTGTCCATGAACTCCCTGCTCTGAAGGGGTAGTTATGCACATCACTAGTTTTTTGTTAGTTTTACATGTTATTGTGGGAAAAGTTAAAAATATAAAAAAGACAAATGTTTAACTACCCAGCTTCAACCCATGGCCAGGCTTGTTTCATCTATATCCCCCCCCATTCCCCCCACCCCCATCCTGTATTAATTTGAAGCAAATTCCAGACGTGGCATCATTTCTTTTTTTCTTTTTCTTTTTTTTTTTTTTGAGACGGAGTTTTGCTCTTGTCATCCAGGCTGGAGGGCAATGGCAGGATCTCAGCTCACTGCAACCTCCGCCTCCTGAGTTCAAGTGATTCTCCTGCCTCGGCCTCTCGAGTAGCTGGGATTACAGGCGCCCGCCAGCACACCCAGCTAATTTTTTGTATTTTTAGTACAAACGGGGTTTCACCATGTTGGTCAGGCTAGTCTCAAACTCCTAACCTCAGGTGATCCACCCATCTCGGTCTCCCAAAGCGCTGGGATTACAGGCGTGAGCCACTGCGCCTGGCCCAGATATGGTATCATTTCTTTGGTAAAATCTCAATATGTGCGGTGGATAAACAGATGGATAAACAAAACGTGGTGTATACATACAAGGGAATACTATTCACTCTTAAAAAGAAATTGACACAGCCTTGAGGACATTATACTAAGTGAAAGAAGCCAGTTACAGACAAATACTGAATGATTCCACTTATATTAAGGTATCTAGTCAGATCCATAGAGACAAGAAGTAGAATGGGGGGAGGAGGGGGATGACAAGGACAGGAATGGGGAGTTGTTTCATAGGTAGTTTCAGTTTTGCAAGATGAAGTTCTATTTTTCTTTTTTCTTTTTTTTTTTTTTTTGAGAATGGACTCTGCAACCTCTGCCTCCCGAGTTCACGCCATTCTCCTGCCTCAGCCTCCCTAGTAGCTGGGACTACAGGCGCCCGCCACCACGCCCGGCTAATTTTTTTCTATTTTCAGTAGAGACGGGGTTTCACCGTGTTAGCCAGGATGGTCTCGAACTCCTGACCTTGTGATCCTCCCGCCTCGGCCTTCCAAAGTGCTGGGATTACAGGCGTGAGCCACCGCACTCGGACTATTTTTCATTCTTTTAATTGCAAGATGAAGAGTTCTGAAGATTGATTGCTCAACAATGTAAATGTACTTAACAGTACTGAATTGTACACTTAGAAACGGTTAAGATGGTAAATCATATTAAGATGGTAAATTTTGTGTATTTTACCACAATTAAAATTTTGTAATTTCACAATTCCTTAATTTTATCAACTACCCAGTGTCCAAATTTCCAGTTCTTATAATAAGTATCATACTATTTTTTTCAATGTGTTTGCTGAATTAGGATCCTAATAAAATGCACAAGGGGCCATGTGTTACATCTCTTAAGTCTTTTTTAATCTATAGGTTCCCCACCACACTCCTCTCTTCCTTGCAATTTATTTGAAGAAACAAGGTTGTCTGTCCTGTGGCTTCTCATAGTCTAGATTCTGCTGACAGCATCCCATTGTGTTGTTTAACACCTTATTCTGTCCTCTTATTCCCTGTTGGGCTTGGCGGCTTTGGGTTAGTTTTGAATTGGGCTCAGGAGGAGGCTAAAGACATCCAATTCTGCGGGAACGCAGCCCTGCGGGACCTGAAAAGGCGAGACTAAGTCACCAGCCAAGCTGCCTAGAGGCAATCTTAAAATGGGACTGGCTAGGACTGTGACAAAGACACCGTCCACATGCCTACTAGGTCAGTCACCTACAAAGCTGGCGAATGAGGAAAAGAGGGAAGGCAGGGCTACGCTGGGAAAGCTCTTTGTCCCCTATCCACGCGCACAAAACAGTTGTCACAACTGACGTCACCAGGGGCGGAGCCTTTGGACGGAAGTGACGCTTGCGCGGCCGCGGCGGAGTCGTCATAGAGGCGGGGCTGCGGCGGCTGCGGTGTTCCTCCGACTTCCGGACATCTCCCTGGGAGTCGCGCAGAGTGGAGTCAAAGGCAACCAGTGCTCGCTGCGGTCTCTGGGGATCGGGACCGCGGCGGCGGCCCGCGAGCGGGATGTTCCGGGGCTTGAGCAGTTGGTTGGGCTTGCAGCAGCCGGTGGCAGGCGGTGGGCAGCCCAATGGAGATGCTCCACCCGAGCAGCCGTCCGAGACGGTGGCTGAGTCTGCGGAGGAGGAGCTGCAGCAAGCGGGAGACCAGGAGCTCCTCCACCAGGCCAAAGACTTCGGCAGTGAGTCTACCCTGGCTCTGGGACCGGGAAGGGGGGGGCGCATTCCTCCTCTGGGACGGCCCTGGGGCGCGGGCCCGACTGGCTGGGGGATGAGGGGGCCGAGGTGGGAGGCAGGGGAGGAAGATGTGTCTGTCGGTCAGTCCTCTCCGGGTCGGGAGAGATTGGTGAGGATCTGGACGAGGCCAGAGCTTCATCTAGCAGTCAGGTCCTGTCCCTGAAGTTCCTGGTGACAAGTCTACAAAGTTTGCAGACATTGGAATCAGGTATGCAGTCAAGCAGTGTGACCCGACGTCTTCAGGTTTGACAAGGAATCTTTTTTGTTCAACTCGAAAACCTTCATTTACACCCCCCAGATCGGGGATAGTTGGCGAGCTTGAATTGGTTGAAAAAATAATTTTTTGCCCCTAGGTCAGAACGTGTTGTCTGAAGTAAACTGACAGTTACTGAATGTCAATGTCTGCCCCGGTCAAATGCTTTTTAGGTACAGAGACCTTTTTCCTTAAGGAGGGAGAGAAAATGCCAACTGTCTGCTATACGCAAGTTGCAGTACTAGATGTTTTATGAAAGATATCCCATTTCATCTGTTAAACACCCCCAGTGAGTTGGGGGAACAAGCCCAGAGTTATTGGGCCAAAGTTATACTGATAGTGAGTGGTAGAAGTGGAATTTGAGCTTCGATCTTTCTCATTTTAAAGCCCGTGCTCTTTCCAAGTTTACAGTCTACAGGGGTTGGGGGACAGGTGATAATAGACGTGGAGTAAACACATGCTGTAGTAATTCTCATTTCTGGAGAGACCATGGTGGGCTTCAGTGATCACAGAAAGCATCTTTGAGGCCGGATATGGTGGCTCAGGCCTGTAATCCCAGCACTTTGAGAGGCTGAGGTGGGCGGATCATGAGGTCAGCAGTTCGAGACCAGCCTGGCCAACACGATGTAACCCCGTCTCTACTAAAAATACAAAAAATAGCCGGGCGTGGTGGCGGGCACCTGTAATCCCAGCTACTCAGGAGGCTGAGGCAGGAGAATCGCTTGAACTGGGGAGGTGGAAGTTGCAGTGAGCTGAGATCGCACCACTGCACTCCAGCCTGGGTGACAGAGCAAGACTCCATCTCAAAAAAACAAAACAAAACAAAACAAAAAAGCATCTTTGAGGAGGTGAGCCCTAAAGCAGCCCAGCACTACAAGTGAGAGAACTGCAACAAAGGTAGATACTAAGTTCAGCAACATTTGAAGAATCTACTAAAAGATGGGGGTGGGGGGATGGGGGTGGAGACAGGGATGTGGGAGGAGAGCAGCCTGAGAGTAGATAAACACATATTTGAGTAAGAAAGGGCCGAACAGTTTTTCTGGAGACAGGGTCTCACTCTGTCGCCCAGGCTGGAGTGCAGTGGCACGATGTTGGCTCACTGCAACCTCCACCTCCAGGGTTCAAGTGATCTTCCTACCTTATCCTCTCCAGTAGCTTGGATTACAGGCATGCCCTACCACGCCCAGCTAATTTTTGTATTTTTAGTAGAGATGGGGTTTCGCGATGTTGGGCAGGCTGGGCCCTAACGTTTAAAAGTTTACTGTGGGATGAAAGGACAGGGAAAACAGACATAATCTCAAACCATGACAGTGTATAATCTCAGCCCAAGGCCCCCAGATAGAATAGTCTTGCTCTGTCGCCCAGGCTGGAGTGCAATGGCACGATCTCGGCTCATTGCAACCTCCACCTCCTGGGTTCAAGCAATTCTCCTGCCTCAGCCTCCTGAGTAGCTGGGACTACAGGCACACGCTGCCACACCTGGCTAATTTTTTTTTTTTTTGTATTTTTAATGGAGACAGTGTTTCACCATGTTGGTCAGGCTGGTCTCAAACTCCTGATCTCAAGTGATTCACCCACCTTGGCCTCAAAGTGGTGGGATTACAGGCGTGAGCCACCGTGCCTGGCCCCTCTGAATATTTTCTAATAACTGCATTTTTCATATGGATGTGTACTTTGGAGCTAATGCTGCCATCTTTCTGCTCACCAGATTCTCTTTTGATATTTACGGAAGCTGAGGTTAGATGGAAGTACCCACAAACACACACACATTGTGAATTTAAAGCTTCAGAATAAATGAGAATTCTTTCTTTTCTGAAATTTATGTGATTTTAGAAAGTCGTAAAGGTTCTAGTTCATATACAAACTGTGAGAGACAAGAGAGATGATCAGATATTTTTTATTTCTACATATTGATCCTAAGAAGTATATTGTCTTTAAGAAGACCCATTTATGTTTTGAAAACTGGAATTAAACATCTGTGAGCCTGACTCCCAGAGTAGATTCATTTCTTAAGTCTTTTGAAATCTACATAAAATATCAGCCGGGTGCGGTGGCTCACGCCTATAATCCCAGCAGCTTTGGGAGGCCAAGGCAGGCAGATCACGAGGTCAGGAGATCGAGACCAGCCTGACCAACGTGGTGAAACCCTGTCCCTACTAAAAATACAAAAATTAGCTGGGCGTGGTGGTGCGCGCCTATAATCCCAGCTACTCAAGAGGCTGAGGCGGGAGAATCGCTTGAACCCGGGAGGCGGAGGTTGCAGTGAGCCGAGATCGCGCCACTGCACTCCAGTGTAGGTGACAAAGTGAGACTGCATCTCACAAAAAAAAAAAAAAAAATCTCCTGGGAGCCCCATTTGTTCTGCATATATTTGTTGAGTGCCTACCTTCAAGACTGGACACTAAATACTTCCTGGTTCCTGGTGACCTATTTATACATTCAGGCAACTCACCAGTTAGTGGTGGACACCCAGGCCTGCATTCCACTCCCTCACTCAAAACCAAACCTCCTGGTCTCCTGATTCTTGGCCCTCCCTCCTGATAAATTTACAACCTCCGATTGTCACTGTCTCCAAAGGAAGGAACAATTTATAGGAGAACTCACTTAAGAGCTCCTCCCTACCTCCCTCAAGGCCCCATGCCGTTAAGTTGGTTAGTTGGTTTTTGTTAAAGTCAACCAAATTAAAGCTTTGCCTCTACTCTTTCTGAAAAAAATAAATAAATAAAAAGAAAATCTGTACTTCTGAGAATGTTAAATATCTGAATCAGTCACACAGTTTACATCAGTGGGAGGATGGCCAAAGATGAGCTTTGTGATCTTTAGCTTTTTCTAAACCGCCCCTAAAACTATTCCATGCCTAGGAATGGGGAAAGGGCCACCTCCTCCTCCTTTGAAAAGTGCTATTAGTATTGCAGTGGACCTGTGTTAGACTGTCCTCCTTTTCTTCTGTAGGGAAAGTATATTTCAAGTTCCAGCTGCCTAACTTGCAAACTAAGAGGACTCCTAAAGTTAGAGTGTACAGAGGTGACTATGTACCTGCTTTGATGTGGGAGTAAAATATCTAATTGAGTTCTGATAACACACCCAGGTTTACAATGCACAGTCAATAGCTTGGATCCTAGGGCTTATGAACAATACTTTTTAAAATTGGGGATCTCGATTTGAAGAAGAAACTTAGGGACATTGCAGAAAATCTGAAAGGTCTTTTGCAGAAAAGAAGTCGTAGATGTTCCTTATGAGGATAGACCTGAGGCTGTGGGGTAGAAATGACTAGAGAAGTGAGAAGAATTTTCTGATTAGAGTTGAGTAACAGTAATTACTGGCTGCCCTTCTAAGTCCTGTGCTCCCTACCCCTGGAAGTGGGGCTACCTGGATAGGAAGGTCCATTCCCACACTAAGATGCTGAAATTCTAAAATTGTATGAAATATAGTATCTTTGAAAAATTAACCAACTACTTTATAAGAATATTAATTTCCTAAGACTTTGCCACTGTATGCTTATTCTCTTCCTATTCTTGCGGCAGGCCTTAAACTCTACCTTGCTCTGTGTTTACTTTAACAAATTTATGTTTTTTCTGACCTTTGAAGCTCTTCCTACTTTACTTTATTCTTACCATTCCTTTCAGTTCTTCAAGCCCTTGTCAACTTGCTCAACTGACCTGAGGCAGCGTGGGATTGGAGCATGAGCTTGGGATTTAGAGGCAGATAGCCTGTGTTTGAGTTCCCTACACTACTTACTGTCTTTATTGTTATATCATTTGCAAATTACAGAAAGTCCAGTGATCAGAGGCTTAATGAAAGAAACTTTATTTTTGTGTCAGGGAGTCCCCAAGAACCATCCCCAGGTTTGATGATTGGCTAGGAAGACTTATGGGACTCAGCATATAGTTGTATTCATGGCCGTGATGTATTGCAATGAAAGAGTACAAGAATAAAATCAGGAAAGGAAAAAGGCACATGGGGTGGAAGTCCAGGGGTAAGCAGGCACAGTAGAGTCACACAGGACGTGCTTAATTCCTCTAGCAAGGAGTTGTGACAACACGTGTGAGATGCTGTCTTCCAGGGAAGCTCATTAGAGACTCAGTGCCCAGGACTTTTACTGGGGACTGGTCGTATAGGTATCCTCTGCCTACCACATATCCAAATTCCAGACCCCACAAGGAAAGCGGGAGTTCAGCATAAACCACAATGAGGCATTCTTAGCAGTTTAAGAAATGGTGGGAGCCCTCCCGAAATCTAAGTTCCCGGACACCCAGCCAGTGGCCAACCTTGAAAGCAAGCCTTTCCAAGGACAGCAGTCTCAGGCCTGCCATGTTAATGCTTTTCTGCAGAGTCTCCAAGAAATGTGGGGATGGGAGGGAGGTCCCAGGGTCAGTTCCATGGCTCAACGATATGATCAGGGAACCAATCTCTTCCACGCTTCCTCTCCTTCATCCATAGTGAGTTGGTTTCCATCCTCAGGCTGATCACTTCAGGCTCACAAGACAGCAACTGCAGTAGAAAGGGAGGACGAGGACTCTCCCCATAGCTCCCTTTTTATTAAGAAAGAAAATGTTTCTGGATGCCGACTTGCAGGTGTCCCCTTAAATTTCTTGGGGTGGAGCTGTCACATGGCTTTTCTAAGCTTCACGGGACTCTCAGCAAGTATGTGGCAGAGATCCTGACAGAGGTAGTGCCATTACCTTCTTTGGTGTGGACTTGTCAAGATTCATTCTCTGGGGCTGGCCACATGGGCACGCATCAAAATTGGGGTGGTTTTAACAAGGCAGAAGAGATGGGCTACTGGCTGGGCAGCCAGCAAGATCTGCCCCTATCACATAGGACAAATCATTTTTCCTCTGTGAGCCTCAGCTTCCCTTTTTTTGAACTGGGCAGATTATTCCTTCTCCTTGTCCCAGGAAGGTTATGAGAATAAAACATGGCATAATTAAAATGAAGGTAAAATAACTACTTTAAATGTTAGCTGTCGGCCCCCACCTTCCAGCAGGTCGCTAAGTCGTATTCAGATACATTTGAATTTGACTTCCTTTTCTTTGGCGCTACTTCGTTTCAGACCCTCACTTTATGGACTGAAGTGGACATTGTACTCCTGTTACTTCCTGTTAACTCCTATCTTAGTTTCAGTTTTTTCCTAGACAGTTCATAAAAACTGTCTTTGGCCAGGTGCGGTGGCTTACAGTTGTCATCCCAAAACTTTGGGAGGCCAAGGCGGGTGGGTTGCTTGAGCCCAGGAGTTTGAGACCAGCCTGGACAACATAGTGAGACTCCATCTCTATAAAAAATAAAAATCAAAATAAAAACTGTCTTCAACGTGGTGTCAGCTGATCTCTTTGCAAAATTAATAAATCACTTCTTGTCTTTATGGACTTCTTCCCTGAAAATCTCTTGTCATGCTCTCCATCTCACTCCCAGGCCACTCTAATAACTCTCTGGAGACAGTTCTCCCTCCATGCTGCCACATCTGCTTAATGAATAATCTTGTTCCTCTTTTTGTCTTTGATTCTCTATTTATTTGTTTTGCTTTAGAGATGGACGTTCCTGGAGGGCAAGAACTTGTGCTTTCTCAGATATTCAGTGTGTTCAGTAAACTCCATCCATGGAGTCATTAAAATCTAAGGAATGCAATGATTATGCTAAAATACCAGTTTTTAAATGACAGTTCTCCCTTGGAATAAAAATCATTGTTTGAATTCAAAATATGTTTCTGAGGAAGGGATAAAAGGAATTTATTTCCAAAAGAACCCTCTTCTTTTGGAACTTTAGATTTGTTTCTCTGACTGCAAAGCATGGTTTTGTTCCTGGACCAAACTGAGGGTCAGGCTGCTATTTCTCGTGGCCCAATAACAAGATGCAGGTCAACTGGGAAGGAAGAGAGTTTTTATTTCTGTAAGTGGCTCCAGGGAGAAGGCCTGGAAATTATCACCAGACCAACGCAAAATTAGAAAGTTTTCCAGAGCTTATATACCTTCTAAGCTATACGTCTACGTGTTAAGTGTGCACTCATCTAAAGACATAAGTGATTAACTTCTTTTAATCTATAACTAAGGTCTGAGTCCTGAAGACCTTCCTCTGGAGCCTCAGTAAATTTACTTAATCTAACTGGGTCCAGGTGCTGAGGTGATTACCCTTATCTTGTCTCCTGCTAAATCATGGAGGTTTGGGGAGTTCCTTCAGACCCCCAATCAACTTGTTTGTGGAGGCCTGGGGAGTCTCTTCAGACCCCCCAGTAAAACTTACTTAATCGTGCTTTAAGGTTCAGGAAAGTCCTAGGCAAAACTCTTGGGCTTTTGTTACATCCCAGCCTTTGTATAAGGTCACTGGCTTTTAATATTTAACTTAACCACTCAGTCAGTACTGAAACAGTTGTGATGGAAGCCTATGTTAGTGAGTCCTGGCCTGCCGCAATCCCCACTGTCAATTTGCGCATGATTTCTATCATGCTTGTATATTTATTTATCATGAGAATCGTAGGGAGATGGGGCATCATAATCTTTCTGGCTACTTTTTGCTTAGAGGGGCTCATCATTATGGGGCACTGAATGCAGCACTGAAGTAGAAGAGGTCAACTTGTTCCCGGTAGCACTCTCTGTTTCAGAGGCTTAGAGGCAGCACCTGCTGAAACATAATAGTATGTAACAGCAACACATATAAATAGGTTACTGCTGTTTTCTTCTGAAGTTTAAGTTGTCTAGTCTTCAGTTCACAGGGCTTTAAGAAAGCACAGCTTAGGTTTCAGTGATTTCCAAATAGGAAAAATGGGGAAAAAGGAAAAGGAAAAGGAAAAATTGAAAACATTATTTTGAAGACCTGTGGCCAGAAAAATTAGAATTTAATCCAAACTGTGGAAAAAAATAAAAACTGAAAAACATCAGGCATAGAATTTAACAACAGGTATACTATAGTTTTTGAAACAAAATTTTTCTCTCTCTAGTTTCCTATTTTTATTAGAAGACAAATCATGGTAGGACCAATTTGCTTTATTGTACTTGGCCAGATTATTTGTATAAAGTGCAGCAAGAAAAATCATTTTCTTTTAAAATAAAATTTTTTTATTTAATATATATTTTAAAAATTAAAAAAAAAAAAACAGGCTTTGATGGAACTTTGTTCCATAGAAGGAATCTGAGATAAGACTTTTTTTTTTTTTTTTTTTGAGACAGAGTTTTGCTCTTGTTGCCCAGGCTGGAGTGCAATGGCATGATCTCGGCTCACTGCAACCTCCGCCTCCCGGGTTCAAGTGATTCTTCTGCCTCAGCCTCCCAAGTAGCTGGGATTACAGGCATGCGCCACCATGTGCAGCTAATTTCGTATTTTTAGTAGAGAGGGGGTTTCTCCATGTTGGTCAGGCTGGTCTCAAACTCCTGACCTCAGGTGATCCACCCACCTCGGCCTCCCGAAGTGCTGGGATTACAGAAGTGAGCCACCTTACCTGGTAAGATAAGACCTTTTTAAAGCCAAGCCCAGCCATGGATTTGTACCATGAAATACCTATGACTTGGGTGAATTCCTCTCCTCTTGAGGTCCCAAGATAACTTGGGGTTCCTGGCCTGTCAGAAGGTGACATTCTTTACTTACCACAGATCAGAAACCCTGTACAGGGACTGTACACAAAATATGAGGGCAGTTTTCCAAGGGTTTTCTTGGCTCCCTAAGTCAAGTTTGATTCATTAAAGGAAAACACACCATTCCAGTTAAAGCCTTGGTAAAATAACAAGTTTTTCCAGTTGTGTCCTGTTATAAATGAAAACAGATTCTTATTGAACTTATGCAAATAACTATATTGCCATAATTAAGAATACTCACAAATAGTTTCCAAATTCTGGAGAAAATTGGGTAGAAACAAATATGCTCCACATTTTGTTCATGGGAGTATACTAAATTGTTAAAAGCTGTCAGTAGCTCAGAAGAAAAGTTTCCTTGACTCTGAAAAGTAAAACAAAGGATTAGCAATATTTTAAGCAAAAACTCAAAAAGATCACTCCAGTCTCCTATTCAGTTCATGCAGTTAATTACTGTCCTGCTTGATATTAATGAACATGTTAGCTCTTCAGGAGTCCTGAACATTTTTCCTCTGTTCTGATGTCACAATCTCCAAAGTTATCAGAAACCTGCATTCAAGAGCACTTGTTAGAGCTTTATAGCTGATTATAAAATCAACTTCTAAAGAGGACCAAAACAGCCGGGCACAGTGGCTCATGCCTGTAATCCCAGCACTTTGGGAGGCCAAGGCAGGTGGATCACCTGAGGCCAGGAGTTCAAGACCAGCCTGGCCAACATGGTGAAACGCCATCTCTACAAAAATACAAACAAAATTAGGCATGATGGCGGGTACCTGTAATCCCAGCTACTTGGGAGGCTGAGGCAGGAGAATCACTTGAACCCGGGAGGCGGAGTTTGCAGTGAGCCAAGATCATGCCGTTGCACCCCAGCCTGGGCAACAGAGTGAGACTCCACCTCAAAAAAAAAACTAAATAAAGAGGACCAAAACAAGACAACAATTGTTCATGGATGACAAAAGGTTTTCGGGTAGCCATAAAGACACAGTTGAGGCTGGGCATGGTGGCTCACGCCTGTAATCCTAGCACTTTGGGAGGCTGAGGTGTGTGGATTGCCTGAGCTCAGGAGTTTGTGACCACTCCAGGCAACACAGTGAAAGCCCGTCTCTACTAAAAATACAAAAATTTAGCCAGGCATGGTGGTGCACACCTGTAATCCCAGCTACTCAGGAGGCTGAGGCAGGAGAATTGCTTCAACCCGGGAGGCAGAGGTTGCAGTGAGCCGAGATCACACCACTGTGCTTTAGCCTGGGCAACAGAGCGAGCAGCTATCTCGAAAAAAAAAAAAGAAAAAAAAAAAGACACAATTGACAAAATCTGTTACCTCTGTGGCACACAATAATTTAACATAATTATAATTATTACTGATAACGTACACTGATATATCAGAATTATAGGAGTTTCACATGATTTTGGAACACATACCAATAACATATTTACACATATATGGCCCAAAGAAAGTCAAACCCCATTTTATATTTGGCAATGCTTCCTGTGTGGTTTTTGGTACTAAATAAGCCAAATTTCACCTTTACGTTAGTGTACTATTAATGTTAAACCAAATTCTTATTAAAACCTCATAGACATATTGACACAATTTTAATGTTTGACCATAAGGTAAGATTTTTATAGATCTTTTATAACCCTTTATAATTTTCGTTGAAGAGCAGGTTAGTGCTTTCAAAGAAACCTGTTATGCTTTTATTTTATTGATTTTATCGATTTTTTTTTTTTTTTTTAGAGACAGAGTCTCACTTTGTCACCCAGGCTGGAGTGCAGTGATGTGATCTCGGCTCACTGCAACCTCTGCCTCCTAGGTTCAAGCAATTCTCCTGTCTCAGCCTCCCAAGTAGCTGGGACTACAGACGTGCCACCATGCCCAGCTAATTTTTGTGTTTTTAGTAGAGACGGGGTTTCACAATGTTGGCCAGGCTGGTCTTGAACTCCTGACCTTGTGATCTGCCCACCTTGGCCTCCCAAAGTGCAGGGATTACAGGCATGAGCCACTGCGCCCAGCCTATGTGCTTTTATTTTAATACTCAATTTACAGAAAAACTGGATGATACTCTTTTAACTTTAGCCAGTATGTTTACACACAGAATTTCCTTTACAATCAATCTTCCACAACTTGCTTAAACCTTCATCTTTATTTTATCCAACTTAAAACAATCCTTTAACCTTTTAATCTAGGCAAAAATCCACATTTTCATGCCTCCTTATAATCTTTTTACCAAAAGCATATTTTACTTTCCTTGTAAATATGCTTTTTACCAAAAGCATATTTTACTTTTCCATGTAAAACTTTCTTCAGGCCGGGCACAGTGGCTCACACCTGTAATCCCAGAACTTTGAGAGGCCAAGGTGGGTGGATCATGAGGTCAGGAGTTCGAGACCAGCCTGACCAACATGGTAAAACCCCGTCTCTACTAAAAATACAAAAATTAACTGGGCGTGGTGGCAGGTGCCTATAATCCCAGCTACTCGGGAGGCTGAGGCAGGAGAATCGCTTGAAACCAGAAGGTGGAGGTTGCAGTGAGCCAAGATCGCACCATTGCGCTCCAGCCTGGGCGAAAGAGCGAAACTCTGTCTCAGAAAAAGAAAAAACAAACAAACAAAAATCTGTTTCTTCAGTAGTGTTAAATACATGTTACACTGTTAACTCTTAGCAACCTTTACTTTTGGTGAAAACCTTGGTAAGTTTGGGATTTTATGTACTAGGTGTGGAGCCTAAGATGTAGACAGAAGTGCAGATAAGGTCTGACTTATTCCAGCATCTAACTCCATGTGTCCCAGGCCTTATCTAGCTGTAAAGCAGGCAAGTTGTACAGCTGAGAGTCATAGTGGCATTTTATAAAGCATTTAAGAGACCTAATCACCTTTAAATTGTACAATATTTGTTGCATAAATTCCGTTTCATAAATTCTTTCACAACTTACACAGACAAGCTATGACATACCTTGACTTTCTGACTTGTCCTAAGCATCCCTCTTTTTAAACATCCAGTTACTTTACTTTAGGACAAGAATTTGCCATACAAGGTCCTTTCTTATATAAAATCTCTTTTCTCTAATACCTTTTGCATAGCTAGGGGGCTTGGCTAATTTCACATGTCTCCAGGCCTTTTCTAGAATCTAATGCTACAAAATAAATCAAACAATGTTTAAGTCAAAGAAGCAGTTTATGATGCAAAGCATTTAGCAAACCTAATATTTGACCTGCATAATTTAGACCAAATGCTTACATTTTGAAGATATTTTATTTTACCAGTAATCTTTAAAACTGTCTTTATTTTTATAACTTTCTTTATATCTCTCTTATTTCCTGGTTTCTTTTACCATGTTTTATATATAACCTTTAAATAAGCTTTGAGTTAGACAAAAATTAGTTACCCTTTAAAAAGGACACAATGTTTAGAAAGAATATTTTCCTACAATATATTTTTATTGGAAAATACCCAAATAATGAAATATCTGTTATTTAATATAACTTTAGATTCAAAATTATGACATTTGTTATGAGTATCCCATTACATTTATCTAATTATTTATTTTAATCATTTACCTAGATTATTTATGAAAACTGCAGTAGTCATCATTGAAAGTTATGAGACCACCATTGCAAAATTATAGCTGAGACAGTGAAAGTGATCTGCCGTAACTGACTCCATCTTGCTTCTAACCTCCAAGCTATTCTTGTTCATTAACTTAGTTTATAGTTTAGCTTTGAAACAAAGATGATAACCGTCCTTTCCCAGAACAAACTTCCTTTATGTCTGTGGACTAGACTGCCTAAGGCCACAAGATCAGAGGTTAGGGTATTTTACTAAATAATTCAAGATGTAGCTATCTTCATTAAACCAATATCAGTGTTTTATTTATTAAAAATTACACAAGCAGCCGGGCACAGTGGCTCACACCTGTAATCCCAGCACTTTGGGAGGCTGAGGTGGGCGGAACATCTGAGGTCAGGAGTTCTAGACTAGCCTGGCCAACATGGTGAAACCATGTCTCCACTAAAAATATAAAAATTAGCTGGGCATGGTGGCAGACACCTGTAATCCCAGCCACTCCAGAGGCTGAGGCAGGAAAATCACTTGAACTCAGGAGGCGGAGGTTGCAGTGAGCCAAGATTGTGCCATTGCACTCCAGCCTGGGCAACAAGAGCAAAACTCTGTCTCAAAAAAAAAAAAATTACACAGCAAAGTTCACTCTGTTTTGGGCTGAGTTATCGTTTTGTAGCCTCTATGCCAAATTTTGATACCTTATAGTATTTGGCAGAGATAAGTATGAAATTGCTTGATCAATAAATGTAAACAAAAATATATGCTGGCAACTCCGAAGACATTTCTAATATTACTTTACCAGTAATTTTTAAAGCTAGCTTATTTATTAAAGATTTTACTTAAGTCACATAAACTTGAAAAAGCATTTGACTAGTCTTTCTTTTTTTCTGTTAAAGTATTTAAGCACTTCTATTTTTCTGTGAGCCAACTAATTAGAACTCTTTCGTATATTTTCAGTAGTGAAATAGTTTGGTCATGCTTTAAGGTTCAGGAAAGGCCTAGGCAAAAAACTCTTGAGCTTTTGTTACATTCCAGCCTTTGCATAAGGTCACTGGCTTTTTTTTTTTTTTTTTTTGAGACGGAGTCTCGCTCTGTCACCCAGGCGCCCAGCTAATGTTTTGTATTTTTAGTAGAGACGGGGTTTCACCATGTTAGCCAGGATGGTCTCGATCTCCTGACCTCGTGATCTGCCCGCCTCGGCCTCCCAAAGTGCTGGGATTACAGGCGTGAGCCACCGCGCCCAGCCCGGTCACTGGCTTTTAATATTTAACTTAACCACTCAGTCAGTACTGAAACAGTTGTGATGAAGGCCTATATTAGTGAGACCTGGCCTGCAACAGTTTTATAAACTAGTGTGGCTGTCTACCCATTTTATCATACCACTCTGTACAAGTAGAGTAGTCATAACTAAAGAGAAATGAGTGATTTCACTCAATCTTAGCATTTGTTCTGTCACTCCCCATTCATCCATTCAACAAGTACGTACTGGTCACTGGTCATCCGCTGGGGATACAGTGGGGTATCAGACAGCCCAGGTCCCTGCACTCATGGGGCTCAGCATGGGCTTTCAGTCTGGCTGAGAAGACATTCACCAAGTAATCGGTAGAGTGTTTTGAAGATTGTTGATCAGGCAACAGTCTTCAAAACACAGGATGTGCGGAGGGAACACATCTCAGGACATCCATCGTAGTCAAGGGAATATTTCCTAAGGAGAAGGGATATTTAAGTGGAGACCCACAGCATATGGAGAGTTAGCCAGATAAAGAGAGAGCAGACAAAAATGTTTCAAACCAAGGAGGCCTCCTTGGAGGTAGTGAAGAATTTCCATGTGATCATATGACTGTAGACTGGGAAGAAGGAGAAAGATGAGAACTAGACCAGAGATAAGTAGCAAGTAGCTTCCTGTGGTATGTCCTAGGGGTGTTTTGTTGGGGTTGACAGATAAACACTACCAGACACAATGGGAGGAAGTAGATTTTTAAATGGGAAGCTGGTGAAAGGATCATTCAGATGGAGTGATAATATTACTGGCTCCCAGACACCTATACAGTCTGCTGGTTTCCTGGAAGTAATACCACCCACAGAATGAGGATGGAATCTGTTGTGCAGAGCTCTCTTTGCCATTCTTATGGGACCTTCTCCACCTGCCTGCCCCTTCAACAGGTGTAAGTAAGAGAGGCAAGACCGCCCTAATGTGCCAGCTATTTCTCATGAGAGGAGGATGTCAATTGCCTGGGAGCATCCCCCAGCAGGTCCAGCTTCAAGACCTGCCTCAAGTCTCTTTCAGCAGCCTGGATTCTGTAGGATGTGGACTTTGAAATGATATTTGTCTACAAATTAGCCCTTTTTTTTTTTTTTTAGACGGAGTCTCGCTCTGTTGCCCAGGCTAGAGTGTAGTGGCGCAATCTCGGCTCACTGCAGTCTCTGCCTCCCGGGTTCAAGCAATTCTGCTGCCTCAGCCTCCTGAGTAGCTGGGATTACAGGCGCACGCCACCATGCCCAGCTAAGTTTTTTGTATTTTTAGTAGAGACGGGGTTTCACCATGTTGGTCAGACTGGTCTCGAACTCCTGATCTGCCCGCCTCGGCCTCCCAAAGTGCTGGGATTACAACAAATGAGCCCTTATAGTGCAATAGAACCTTGACACATGTCTTTTCACATCTTCCAGAAAGCTAATTCTGTGGTTTTGTTTTGTAAAAACTGGAAGTTTTATGGGTTCCACTTTTAATCTTGTTCTACTTATTTGCTCATTATTATTAAGAATGATTTCTAGTCCAGGCTTGGTGGCTCACGCCTGTAATCCCAGCACTTTGGGAGGCCGAAGTGGGTGGATCACCTGAGGTCAGGAGTTTGAGACCAGCCTGGCCAACATGGTGAAATCCCATCTCTACTAAAAATATAAAAATTAGCCGGGTGTGGTGGCGGGCGCCTGTAATCCCAGCTACTTGCAGGGCTGAGGCATGAGAATCACTTAAACCTGGGAGGTGGAGGTTGCAGTGAACTGAGATCTGAGATCACGCCACTGCACTCCAGCCTGGGTGACAGAGTGAGACTTCATCTCAAAAAAAAAAAAAAAAAGATTTCTGTTTCTACTAGGGCTTGCCAAGATTTCTATTTCTTATTTAAAATTCCCCCAGATTTATCATGGGACATGTTAATTTGAGAAAGGAGGGGCATTTTTTCTTTGAACAGGAGGGAAGGAGGAGAAAATAAAGATGGCATACATGAGATCTAGAAAGGAAGAAAAGTATAAAGGAGCCTTGTTCTTCCTGGCAAAGTAGGAGGGTAGATTATTTACTGAGATAAATTAGAACCAGAGACTTGAGCAAGAAAATTTTGAAGCAGCTACTGGGAAGAGTATACTAAGGGTCTTTGAAAGAGATGAATGAGGCCAGGCCCGGTGGCTCACGCCTGTAATCCCAGCACTTTGGGAGGCTGAGGCAGGCAGATCATTCGAGGCCAGAAGTTCGAGACCAATCTGACCAACATGGTGAAACTCTGTCTCTACTAAAAATACCAAAAAAATTAGCCGGGCATGGTGGCAGGCGTCTGTAGTCCCAGGTACTCGAGAGGCTGAGGCAGAAGAATCGCTTGATCATAGGAGGCAGAGCTTGCAGTGAGCTGAGATCACGCCACTGCACTCCAGCCTGGGTGACAGGGCGAGACTGTCTCAAAAAAAAAAAAAAAAAAAAAAAAAACAAAAAAAGAGATGAATGAAAGGCCCAGTATGATTGGCCAGTCCACCAAGAAAGTGGTGCTTTTCATCACTGTCAGTGCTTCTCATTACTTGTTTCAGGTCCTTATGAACAAGGAACATGCCCTAATGCTTTAGATTCTCATAAGATCTCTTTAAGGGAAAAATCTCAAACATAATAACCACAGATTCTTTTTATTCTTTACAGACTATTTATTTAACTTTGCATCTGCTGCCACAAAAAAGATAACTGAATCAGTTGCTGAAACAGCACAAACAATAAAGAAATCCGTAGAAGAAGGAAAAATAGATGGCATCATTGACAAGGTATATTCAATTATCTTTTGGAAGTAGAAATGTATGAAATTCATTGTTTCCTCTTGATGGTTTCTTCTTCTTATGAACATTTTTTAACCTAAGTAGAATATCATATTCTGATAAAAATGTTAATTGTTGAGATTTTTGGTTTTTTCCTCTCTTTGAATAACAAGTAAGTATCATTAAATTACAGTACTTGATTTAAATAGCTGTTTTTATTTTAATATATTACAATCAATACATTGATACTTGGGGGTTATACTAAACTTTTCATGTTGGTTGTTTGTTTGTTTGTTTGTTTGTTTTGAGATGGAGTCTCATTCTGTCACCCAGGCTGGAGTGTGGTGGTGTGATCTCAGCTTACTGCAACCTCTGCCTCCTGGGTTTATGCAACTCTCCTGCCTCAACCTCCCAAGTAGCTGGGATTACAGGCATGCGCTACCACACCCAGCTAATTTTTGTATTTTTAGTATAGACGGGGTTTCACCATGTTGGCCAAGCTGGTCTCGAACTCCTGGCCTCAAGTGATCCACCCGCCTTGCCCTCCCAAAGTGCTGGGATTACAGGCATGAGCCACCACGCCTGGCCAACTTTTCATGTTGTGAGTTTAACTTTATAACTGTTTGAGGATATATTTATGCCTTTGCATCATGCGACTAAGGTCCTAGCCCATTAGGAACAACCCTTTTAAGACTCTAAGGAGTGAGTTTGTTTTTTGCAGTGGGCCTATGGCATTTCATTTATGTTGGTAGATATTTGAACTAAGGAAGTCATCAATTAAACCTTAGATACATTGCTATTTAATTTGACTATGTATTTTTTTTAACAGACAATTATAGGAGATTTTCAGAAGGAACAGAAAAAATTTGTTGAAGAGCAACATACAAAGAAGTCAGGTATGGTATAGGTTTGTCTTAATTAACCTGCCAGGTTTTATTGAGCACCTGTTATGTGCTAGATACCACACTGAGGGTCTGAGAACACAAAAATGCATATGCAATGGCCCCATCCTTTGGGTAGCACAAAGACTAGTGAGGGAGACAAACCCATAAACTTCCATGATTTAAAGGAAGGGACTAGATTGTTTCTGGGTGAGGGCTGCCAGTGCTGGCCCCACTGGGGAGCTGGCTGTGAAAGGGGCAAGTAAGCTTTCAGTTCTGACTTTCTCTTTTCTTTTCCCCCACCGAGATGGAGTCTTGCTCTGTCACCCAGGCTGGAGTGCAATGGCGTGATCTCAGCTCACTGCAACCTCTGCCTCCCAGATTCAAGCAATTCTCCTGCCTCAGCCTCCCGAGTAGCTGGGATTACAGGCACGAGCCACCACACCCAGCTATTTTTGTGTGTGTGTATTTTTAGTAGAAACGGGGTTTTACCATGTTGGCAGGCTGGTCTCGAACTCCTGACCTCGTGATCCGCCCGCCTTAGCCTCCCAAAGTGCTGGGATTATAGGCATGAGCCACTGCACCTGGCCTCAGTTCTGACTTTCTACCACATGCCCAGCACAGAGCACAGTATGCACATGACCGGCATTTAGCAAGTGGTGGCTCCGTTCCTGCTGTCTTCAGGAGAAAAAATGGAAGAGCTTCCGAGGGAGGCGAGTGACCGCACCTGCAGTGACAGAGGGCCGTAAAGAGTCTCGGGTGTTTGGAGAACATACTCAATACATTACTGCTGACACATGCCTCTGAAGTTATAAGGCCTCAGCATGCCTACTCTTACCATTTTGTAGCACCCAAACACAAAACCAGCCTCGTGTCTTTAGATTTGGCAAAAGTAGTATAACTGTAATCCCAACACTTTGGCAGGCCAAGGCGCGAGGATCACTTGAGCCTGAACTTCGAGACCAGCCTGGGCAACATAGTGAGACCCTATCTCTACAAAAAAATAAAAAGAAATTAGCCAGATGGGTGTGGTGGTGCACACCTGTAGTCCCAGCTACTTGGGAGGTTGAGACAGGAGGATCACTTGAGCTTGGGAGTTTGAGGCTGTAGTGAGCTATAATCATGCCAGTGTACTCCAGCCTGGACTACAGAGTGAGACCCTGTCTCAAAAAAAAAGTAGTAGAAAACAATTCAGTTCGAGTTGTGCCACAGTTAATCCCATGGTGAATTTCCATCAGGCATTCTTGCACCTAGGTAAACTCAAAAGCATGAGCAACTCTTTTAGACAAGTGAGGTATACAAGTTAGCATCACTTAGTGATTATTTGGAAGCAGCAAAAGTGATCCTGGCTTGGGGACTTGCTGTAGGAGCTGATGCCTCTGAGATACGAACTGTGAGGGCGTGGGGGTGGAAGGTTTGGAGGCAACTTCAGTTTTGAAGTGAGTTAGACATCCCGGAGATAGGAACATGTAGAAAGACAGGAAAGAGAACACAAGTGCTTTATCTGGGGAAAATTTCCTTCTTTTTTTGCATCAGCCACGTTTCAGGTCCTCGATAACTACATATGGCTAATGGCTTCCGCACTGGACAATGCAGATATAGAACATTTTTGTCATTGCAGAAAGTTCGTTTGCTCAGTGTGGCTCTGAATTAAATAAGCAGGCTCCTGCAGCAGTTTATTCCTGTTTGAAGCATGAAGCAGAATTCAATCTAGTGATATAGATTATTATCAAGTCACATAAAAACCATGAGAGTAGATGAGCTCCTCTATGGAAAGTGTGTCAAGCATGAAGGGAGATGAGCAGAAGCTCCACAGTGTTTAGGGAGGGGAAGAGGGGAAGGAATTGACATCACTGAGTGCCTGCTGAGCAGCAGGCATTTTATATATAACATCTCATTTCAAGACGCAGTCAGGGCCAGGCGTGGTAGCTTCATGCCTGTAATCCGAGCACTTTGGGAGGCTGAGGTAGGCAGATCACTTGAGGCCAGGAGTTTGAGACCAGCCTGGCCAACATGGCGAAACCCCATCTCTACTAAAAATGCAAAAATTAGCCAGGCTTGGTGGCACACACCTGTAATCCCAGCTGTCTGGGTGGCTGAGGCGCAAGAATTGCTTGAACCTGGGAGGTGGAGGTTGCAGTGAACCGCGATTGTGCCGCTACACTCCAGCCTGGGTGACAGAGCGAGACTCTGTCTCAATAAATAAATAATAAAGATGCAGTCAGCAAGGGTAAGTAATTTGCGGAAGGTCACTCAGCTGGTAAGTGATGAAACTGAAATTTGCCTTCAAAACCAAATACAAAAATTAGCTGGGCCTAGTGGCATGCGCCTGTAATCCCAGCTCCTCGGGAGGCTGAGGCAGGAGAATCACTTGAACCTGGGAGGCAGAGGTTACAGCGAGCCAAGATCATACCACTGCACTCCAGCCTGGGCAACAGAGCAAGACTCCATCTCAAAAAAAGAAAATAAAAACAGTGCCCGTTTACCCAAGAGAGTGGACAACTAGGAGAGAGAAGTAGCAGAAGCCCAGAGAGGGGAGAGTTTCCAGGAGAGCAGTCAGCCATGGGAGGCAGGGCCAAGAGGTCCACTTACAATGACCATGAGAAGGGCACCTTGGAAATGTGTTCCATGCATTTCTTCACTTCATAATCACAGTAACTCTATAAAGTACTTACTGTTACCTCCGTTTTCCAGATAAGGAAACTGGCCTAGAGAGAAGAGAACTAAGAAGTGTCCTTGGGGTTGGAGAACCAAGAGGTTTTGGTCACTCTAAAAAGAATAATTTCAGGAACTCGGGGTGGGGAGCATCTCCTCATACAAGTATCTTAGGAGGGCCTCATTATCTGAGCATAAATAGCACCAGGAGAGACTACCCAAGGTGAAGAGACTTGGAATGGAGACTAAAGTGTGTGAGAAAAAATGTTTTGGGGGCTTTACCCTAATTTTTTCTTTAAAATGTGCAAATATGTTTAGATTATCTTATCATTAATAGAATTTGGATTATAATTGCCACCATTTGCTGACTTGGGATAAGCCAAAGAATGAAGCGTGTGCTCATCTGCCTATCCATCCCTGTGTCCATCCACACATGCATGTAACTTTTCTCTCAGTGGGCTCGTGATATGATATGTCTTCCCTCTGACTCAGAGCATAATAGTAAAGGGACTATTTCTGCCAAAATATTCCAGGACAGCAAAGCATTTGCTCTCCAAGGGCCTGCCTTAATTGCCCCTTTGGTTTTCAAATCACTCTCTCTCTCTTTTTTTTTTTTTTTTTTTTGAAACGGAGTCTGTCTGTTGCCCAGGCTGGAGTGCAGTGGCACCTTCTCAGCTCACTGCAACCTCTGCCCCCCGGGTTCAAGCAATTCTCCTGTTTCGGCCTCCCGAGTAGCTGGGACCAAATCATTCTCTTTTAAAGCACTTGCTGGGTCACCAGCCTTGTGTTTCCTTCAGGCATAGGTGCCCTAACTGCCAGGTCCTCCTTATTGTTTGCTTTGTGGTGATGCAGGCAGCTATCCCATGTCACTTTACTTTGACTTTGTGAAGCACCGTGTGTTTTGCAAGATTTGCCTTTTCACTTTGTGTTGCAAGACCAGTAGGGCTAGAATCTAGTGTTAAGGCAGCAGGAGTGATTCAGTGGCTTATGAATTAGTCCACATTTTTGTGACTTCTGCTTCCCATCCTAATCTTGCCGCTGTGGGTTGCTGAATGAGGCTATTAAGGGCCCCCTGCCTGTGTGTCTTCTGTGCCGATCACGCAGATCTGCAGCCTTCACTCTGCTCTCTAGCTGCTCCGTGCTGCTTACATGGGAGAGATCTTCAGACGAGCTTGCCATTGTTTTTGTTTCCACTCTAAACACCCCCACCCCCATCCACCACTGACCTCCTCTTCCTAGTCCAAGATTGGGCTCCTAGGTCACCAGAAAATCTTGTAGTTCTCACCTCTCCAGAGGGTTGTCATTTGTCACCTGGCACGGCACTTACAGTGCTGGATTCTAATCACCTCTATCTTGTGAGCCCCAGAAAAACATGGGCTAGATCTTGGCATTCCCAGCATTTAGCTTCTAACGGCTTATTGAGGATTTGATTCCAGCCCTATTGTTTACTGCCTCCAACTTGTGCATTTCTTTTTTTTTTTTTTTTTAGCTCCTGAAAACCCTCTTCTTATTCCTAATCACCTGTCTTACAACATCACCTTTTATCATGAATCAAGTACAGTAACTTTCTTTTTTTTTCCTCCAGAAATATACTTACCCATTTTTCTTTCATTTTTTTAAGTAACTTTCTAAAAATTTTTCTATTTGGAAAAAATTTTAATTTACAGAAGAGTCGCAAGAATAAAAATAGTACAGAGAACACCCATATACCAGTACCTAAATTGCTCTAGCTTTATTCTGTTTGCCTTATTCACGCCCTCTCTCCAGCTCTTGCTGTGTGTGTGCCCTTTTTTTCCTTGTGTGTACACAAATGTTCAGTACACATTTCCTAAGAATTAGGGATATTCTCTTTCATAATCATAGTATAGTTAACGGCATTAGGAAATTTCACCTTGATGCAATACTTTACTGTTCATCAGTTAATTTTGTTAGTTGACCCAGTAATGTCCTTTATAACATTTGTCCCCCTCGTATAGGATCCAGTTGAGGATAAGGTATTGTATTCTTTGTCATGTCTCTCAGCCTTCTTTAATCAGGAACATTCCAACATCCTTTCTTTGTCTTTTATGATATTAATATTTTTGAAGAATACTTCTCTTCCTTTTTTTTAATAGATTCTTTCTCATTCAGGCTTTATCTGATATTTCCTCATAACTAGACTCAGATTGTCCATTTTTAGCCAGCATACTACATAGGTGATGATGTCCTTCTCAAGATACCACATCTGGAAGGCCATGATGTTCATCTCTCCCTCATTGTTGATTTTGATCACCTGATTAAGGAGTTGTCCAGTTTCTCCACTGTATCATTTAAGTAGAGTTTTTTGTTTTTTGTTTTTTTTCTGAGACAGGGTCTCAACTCTGTCACCCAGGCTGAAATGCAATGGCGGAATCACAGCTCACTACAGCCTTGACTCCTGGGTTCAGGTGATCCTCCCGCCTCAGCCTCCCAAGTAGCTGGGACTACAGGCACGCACAACGTCTGGCTAACTTTTGTATTTTTTTGTAGAGAGAGGGTTTTGTCATGTGGCCCAAGCTGGTCTGCAACTCCTGGGCTCAAGCAATCCACCCACCTCGGCCTCCCAAAGTGCTGGGATTACAGGTGTGAGCCACCATGCCTGGCCTCAAGTAGAGTTTTTTTTTTTTTTACCAAATGCATATGTGCATATAACTCATAATAATAAGTCTGGTTATTACGGTTAATGTTCATATTTGGAACTTATTGGTAAATTGCTACTTTTAGTGGTCATGCAGAAACTTTCATGCTTTGAAACCATAGACTGCAGTGTAACCATCATGACCTATTTTTTTCTCTTTTCTTCTTTGCCATTAAAAACTGTATAGAAGCAGCTGTGCCCCCATGGGTTGACACTAACGATGAAGAAACAATTCAACAACAAATTTTGGCCTTATCAGCTGTAAGTATCTTGTGGTACCCCAGATAGAACATACTTTCTTCTGTCATGATATATCTCTGTTGATGTGACTTTAGTAGAATTTATTTTTCTATACAGTTTTTAAAATATTTTGAGATGTTAGGAATGTACACATTAACACATGATGTGTACATTAACAAAATGTACACATAAAATTTATTTTTTATTTTTTTTTTGAGATGGAGTCTTGCTCTGTCACCCAGGCTGGAGTGTAGTGGTGCAATTTTGGCTCACTGCAACCTCCACCACCCGGGTTCAAATGATTCTCCTGCCTCAGCCTCCTGAATAGCTGGGACTACAGGCATGCGCCACCATGCCCAGCTAATTTTTGTGTGGTTTTTTTTTTTTTTTTTTTTTTTTTTGAGACAAAGTCTCGCTCTGTCACCCAGCCTGGAGCGCAGTGGCACGATCTCGGCTCACTGCAACCTTCTCCTCCCAGGTTCAAGCGATTCTCTTGCCTCAGCCTCCCAAGTAGCTGGTATTACAGGTGCCCGCCACCACGCCCTGCTAATTTTTGTATTTTGAGTAGAGACGGGGTTTCACCATGTTGGCCAGACTGGTCTCGAACTCCTGATCTCGTGATCCACCCTCACCTCAGCCTCCCAAAGTGCTGGGATTATAGGCGTGAGCTACCACACTCAGCCTAATTTTTGTGTTTTCAGTAGAGACAGGGTTTCACCATGTTGGCCAGGCTGGTCTCGAGCTCCTGACCTCAAGCAGTCCATCTGCCTTGGCCTCCCAAAGTGCTGGGATTACAGGTGTGAGCCACCATGCGCTGCCAAAATTTTTAATTTAATTTGTTTTGTTTTGTTTTGTTTTTGTTTTAAGAGACACAGTCTCAATTGGTCATCCAGGATAGAGTACAGTGGCATAATTATGGCTCACTGCAGCCTTGAACTGGGCTCAAGTGATCCTCCGGCCTTAGCCTTCCAAGTATCTGGGACGATAGGCGTAAGCCACCATGCCCAGCTAATTTTTAAAATTGTTTTTAGAGATGGGTTCTCACTATGTTTCCCAGGCTGGTCTCGAACTCCTGGCCTCAAGCGATCCTCTTGCCCAACTTCCCAAAGTGCTGGATTATAGCCATGAGCGACTACACCCTGTCCGCTTCTATTTTTTTTTTTTTTTTTTTTTTTTGAGAGTCTCACTGCACTCCTGCTGGTCAACATAGCAAGACTGTCTCAAAATAAAGAAAGAATATAATATTTCCCCAGTCTATGATAAATTGTTATGTAGTAGGCCAGGTGCAGTGGCTCACACCTGTAATCCCAGCACTTTGGGAGGCCAAGGTGGGTGGATCACTTGAGGTCAGGAGTTCGAGACCAGCCTGGCCAACATGGCGAAACCCCATCTCTAGTAAAAATACAAAAATTAGCCAGGCGTGCTAGCACACACCTGTAATCCCAGCTACTCGGGAGGCTGAGGCAGGAGAATTGCTTGAACCCAGGGGGCAGAGGTTGCAGTGAGCTGAGATTGCACCACTGCATTATAGCCTGGGCGACAGAGCAAGACTCCATCTCAAAACAAAAATAAAATTAAAAAAAAAGAGTGGGCGCATTGGCTCACCCCTGTAATCCCAGCACTTTGGGAAGCCGAGGCAGGTGGATCACGAGGTCAGGAGTTTGAGACCAGCCTGGCCAAGATAGTGAAACCCCATCTCTACTAAAAATACAAAAATTAGCCAGGCGCAGTGGCGGGTGCCTATAATCCCAGCTACTCGGGAGACTGAGGCAGGAGAATTGCTTGAATCCAGGAGGTGGAGGTTGCAGTGAGCCGAGATTGCACCACTGCACTCTAGCCTGGGTGACAACCCGTCTCAAAAAAAAAAAAAAATTGTTATCTATTAATCGCATTTTGTGGAATACCCTGTGTTTTTTTCTTTTTTTATCAAAGGACAAGAGGAATTTCCTTCGTGACCCTCCGGCTGGCGTGCAATTTAATTTCGACTTTGATCAGATGTACCCCGTGGCCCTGGTCATGCTCCAGGAGGATGAGCTGCTAAGCAAGATGAGATTTGCCCTCGTTCCTAAACTGTAAGCAGAGTGTTCTCCAGCGTTTCCTCATGGCCTCCATTATGTGCTCAGTATCAGCACATAATGATGGAAGGGGCCAAAAGGGTCTCTATCTGTTCATAAAAGCAGGCCCCGCAGCCCTTTGGCAGCTCCCCTGGTCAGGGCACTCTGGAATCAAAACCAAGGTCTGACTTGGCAGGAAATACAGGGTAGAGGTGAAATGTGCTTTTCTATCCCAGTTACAAGGTAGAACACATTTCCCTACAGAAACCACAAACATGCTGCATCACCCTGAATCACATTCTGGTCTCTGAGGCTCATCGGGATCTTTTTTCCAAGCTGACTGCATTTTCCATTCAGGCTCTGCCCTCCAGTGGCAGTGTTCCTGCTCTCTTTGCTAAGGCTTTTCCTCCAACAGCTCTTCTGGGCTCCACAAATCCCAGCTTGTCCTGTAGGCTCCAGTGCATGCATGATGCATTCTGGAAGCCTGCCTTGGTGGTGCGGCCAACAGGGGCCACCTTCCCCGCTGCTGCTTCCCTTGGGTGTTCTGTCTCAAGCTCTTCCGTGCCTTCTCCAGTCCAGTCCCTTGTATTGAAGCTGTCGCATGTTTGGAGTCAGCGTTCCTTCTTATTCTGTCATTGTTCCCTTTCTCTTAACCTTGTCATATGGGTGCAGTATCTTACTGTTCCCTGAGTACGTTAGTTACAGTTCTCTCAAAAGACTCCTTTTTCAGCTGGGTGCGGTGGCCAATGCCTGTAATCTCAACACTTTGGGAGGCTGAGGTGGGAGGATCACGTGAGGTTGAGTTCGAGACCAGCCTGGGCAACATAGCAAGACCACCATCTTTACAAAGAAACCAAGAATTAGCCGGGCGTGGTGGTGTGCACCTTTAGTCCCAGCTACTCAGGAAGCTGAGGCGGGAGGATCATGTGAGGCCGAGTTCGAGACCAGCCTGGGCAACATAGCAAGACCACCATCTTTACAAAGAAATCAAGAATTAGCCGGGCGTAGTGGTGCGCACCTTTAGTCCTAGCTACTCAGGAAGCTGAGGCGGGAGGAACACCTGAGCCTGGGAGGTCGACGCTGCAGTGAGCCATGATCACGCCACTGGCATTCCAGCCTGGGCAACAGAGTGAGACCCTGTCTCAAATAAAAGACAGACTCCTTTTTCTATGCTGTTTCCTCCCTCGGGACTCTTTTGTTTGTTTGGGGATCTGTCGTTTATGTGGCAGACTCTCCTTACCTGTCCCTTCGCATTAGCAGTGCCATACTGAAAGGGTACATGGCCGCTGAATGTGGGGACAAGCCTTTTGGCCTGGAGAGGCTCAGTAGCTGTGGGAAGGTAGCTTATCCCCAGAGGACTCCTCGGCCTCCTGCCTGGCTGCAGGCAGGACAATGGGAAGAGCCAGTTGATAGGCAGACTATCCCTTGACCCCTGTGGCTTGACCTTGATGTCACACCCCCAGTCTCAACTGTGCCACCGGTCCCTGAGTGTAGAGCAGCTTGGCTCCCCTCCCCACATGGGCAGAGCAGGGCAGGGCAAGATGGGAGGCCCAGGGGCTCTCTGGGCTTCCACCCTTGCTGCAGACAACTCAGTACAGTTTTCTCTGGTCAACGAAGTAGACTACTGTTTGCCTAGGCCGGGTGCAGTTGCTCATGCCTGTAATTCCAGGACTTTGGGAGGCCAAGGCAGGCAGATTGTCTGAGACCAGCCTGGGCAAATAGTGAAACCCTGTTTCTACTTAAAAAAAAAAAATACAAAAAATTAGAGCCTGGTGTGGTGGCACATGCCTGTAATCTCAGCTACTCGGGAGGCTGAGGCAGGAGAATTGCTTGAACCCGGCAGACAGAGGTTGCAGTGCACCAAGATCGTACCATTTGCACTCCAACCTGGGCGACAGAGTGAGACTCTGTCTCCAAAAAAAAAAAAAAAAGATTACTGTCTGCCCTTGACATTTCCACTTGACAGCTTTCCACTTGACTGCCCTTGACAGCGTCCACTGTCCTCTCCTCTCTCATTCTCTTTGTCCTTGTGTTTTTATGTATGTAATTCCTTTTCTGTTACTTTCCTGGCATCTTCAGAGGGAGCACAGATGAACACATGTTTGTTTTGCTATGCTTACCCAGCCACATAGCGGTTTTAACAAATATTTGCTAGCCTTTTGGTTCACACAGCAGCACAGGTTTTCTGTCTGTGAAAACACCACTCTGGAAGTGTTCTTCCAGACTCAGAATAACAGTTATATGGAATCTTTTTTTCTTTGTAGTGAAACTCTTCCCTCCATAATTATTAACATATTAGTGGTAAATTTCTAGAGCCCTCCCCAACCCTCCCATAAGAAAAGTATGTTTTATGGCAAAAAAAAAAAAAAAAAAAAATCTCATTAGAAATTTCATCTTTAGACTTTGTCTTTTTTCTTTCTTTTTTTTTTTTTGAGATGGAATCTCACTCTGTCGCCCAGGCTGGAGTGCAATGGCGTGATCTCGGCTCACTGCAACCTCCGCCTCCTGGGTTCAAGTGATTCTGCTGCCTCAGCTTCCCGAGTAGCTGGGATTACAAGCGCCCGCCACCACACCCAGCTAATTTTTGTATTTTTAGTAGAGATGGGGTTTCACCAGGTTGGCCAGGCTGGTCTCGAACTCCTGACCTCAGGTGATCCACCTGCCTCAGCCTCCCAAAGTGCTGGGATTACAGGCGTGAGCCACTGCGCCCAGCTAGACTTTGTCTAAAATAGCTGTGGTTAAGGATATTTTTAGTTAAGGTGATTTGTTTTGTTTTGGAGACGGAGTTTCGCTCTTGTCACCCAGGGTGGAGTCCAATGGCTTGATCTCGGCTCATCGTAACCACCTCCCCACCTCCCAGGTTCAAGCGATTCTCCTGTCTCAGCCTCCCGAGTAGCTGGGATTACAGACGCATGCCACCACGCCTGGCTATTTTTTGTATTTTTAGTAGAGACAGGGTTTCGCCATGTTGGCCAGGCTGGTCTTGAACTCCTGACCTCAGGTGATCTGTCCGCCTTGGCCTCCCAGAGTGCTGAGATTACAGGCCACCGCACCCAGCCTAGTTAAGGATATTTTTTAAATGTACCATCTAATCTATTTTTTTACTACATATGCTCACAAAATCATAGGAATTGACTTTTTTATTTTAAAAAGTATTATTTTTTAGAGACAGGATCTCTGGAATGCAGTGGCACAGTAGCTTACTGTAGCCTTGACCTCCTGGACTCAAGTGATTTTCCTGTCTCGGCCTCCCAAGTAGCTCAGAGGCCTGTGCTGCTACGCCTGCCTAATACTGTTTTTAACTTTTTTAGAGATAGGGTCTTGCTGTGTTGCGCAGGCTGGTTTTGAACTCCTGGCCTGAAGCAGTCTTCCTGCCTCAGCCTCTCAAGTTGCTGAGGTTATAGACGAGAGCCACCCACGCTCCTGGTAGAATTGAATTTTGAAGAGTTTGTATATATAATGTGTATGTGTATGTGCTTGTGTGTGTGTGTTTCAAGCTCTTCCCTCAGAATTTGAGGCTGTGCCTGTTCTGAGTAACTGACTCTGAGGGAAGGGTACCCAAGCTCCGGGGTGCAGATGCCCTTTACACTTGCAGCCTGCATCAACTTGAAGACCTTTTGAATCACCCTGAGCCATATGCTTGGCTCCTGCTGTGGCTCTCAAGACCAGCAAGAGGCCCTGAGTGGCTGGAGCCTGAGGCCTGTGGCCTGGGGTGCTCATAGCAGGCATGTAGCTGTCCACAGTTTTGGTTCTTTACAATTGTGGACCGCCCCCTCTCACTGTTGACAGTAATTTTAGATTTTTTGAAACTGTCTGAGAATTGGTATTTGGCAATTAGTGTTTCTAATTTGTCACAGGGCAACCTGCCAATCAAATATTTCAATATGACTCCAGTTTCCTCCTACTAATTTTGTTGAGGATTACTTAGAAATTATAGTTTTTATTTATAAGTCCTTATCTGTTAGAAATGCTTGCTGAAGTGGAGCGCAATGGCTCACGCCTGTAATCCCATCACTTTCGGAGGCCGAGGCGGGCGGATCAC
This sequence comes from Homo sapiens, assembly GCF_000001405.40. Classification (NCBI taxonomy): domain Eukaryota; kingdom Metazoa; phylum Chordata; class Mammalia; order Primates; family Hominidae; genus Homo; species Homo sapiens. The sequence goes on from NC_000023.11 coordinate 16,747,865, forward strand.
CTGAGGTCAGGAGTTCGAGACCAGCCTGGCCAACCTGGTGAAACCCCGTGTCTACTAAAAATACAAAAGTTAGCTGGGTGTGGTGGCGGGCGCCTGTAATCCCAGCTACTCGGGAAGCTGAGGCAGCAGAATCACTTGAACCCAGGAGGCGGAGGTTGCAGTGAGCCAAGATCGTATCATTGCACTCCAGCCTAGGCAACAAGAGCGAAACTCCGTCTCAAAAAAAAAAAGAAAAGAAAAAGAAATGCTTGCTGAAGTATTTACAAATGAAAGAATGTGATGTCTCTCATTCGCCTTAAAATATTCCAACCCATTCCCAAAGAAAAGCATGTGTGCAGGGGAGGGGAAGATAGATGGAACGCAACTGGTGAAATGCTGATACTCACGGTAGGTAGGTCACAGGTACATGGGGTTCATTGTTCTAGTTGCTTCACTTCTGTTTTGTCGAAAATTTCCATAACAGAACAAAAACAAGCTGTCAGACACAAATATACGGTTTCCAGACTTTTCCTGCCTGACACACAGAAGCACAACTTTGCTCTTTGAAACACTTTTTCTGAACAGAAGCCATCATTAACTAGGAACACTTTAGAAAACAAAACACTTGCTCTGGATTTCAAACTGCATATTAGTAGCTTAACCCTTCCCTGTGGTAGTCTAATGCTGTGACCGAGATAGGGTCCTGCTGGTACATCACAAGCACCCTCTGAGGCCCTCATTCTGATGACAGTAGGGAAATCACAAGTCCTTTCCTGCCTTGGCCTTGGCCTGTGACATTTGTCCAGTGTTTCCCGGAGGGTTTTCACAGGATACAATGCCTTAAGATAGTGCAGGAAAACAAATAGATAAGTGTTTGAGAGTTGCTGTGCTCAATTAATTTTTTTCTTTTTTTTTTCTTTTTTTTTTTTGAGACAGAGTCTCGCTCTGTCACTCAGGCTGGAATGTAGTGGTGCGATCTCGGCTCACTGCAACCTCCACCTCCCGGGTTCTAGCGATTCTCCTGTGCCTCAGCCTCCCAAGTAGCTGGGACTACAGGCGCACGCCACCACACCTAGCTAATTTTTGTATATTTAGTAGAGACAGGGTTTCACCATGTTGGCCAGGATGGTCTCAATCTCTTGACCTTGCAATCTGCCTGCCTCAGCCTCCCAAAGTGCTGGGATTACAGGCGTGAACCTCCGTGCCTGGCCGTGAATTTTTTTTCTTTTTAAGACAAGGTATCTCTCTGTTGCCCAGGCTGGAATACAGTGGTGTGATCATGGCTCACTGCAGCCTCAACCTCCCAGGCTCAAGCAATTCTACCTCAGCCTCCCTATGAATAGCTGGGATTACAGGCACATGCCACCATACCCAGCTAATTTTTTATTTCTTGTAGAGTCAGGGTCTCACTCTGTTGCCCAAGCTGGTGTCAAAGTCCTGAGCTCAAGTGATCCTCCTGCCTCAGCCTCCCAAAATGCTGGGATTACAGGTGTGAGCCACTACCGTGCCCAGCCTGGATTTCTTTACCAAAGGACTTGACTTCTCAGAACCTTTAGTCGTCATCTGTATTGTGACTCTTCCCCAGAGGGTGACACAGACTATTTCTGCAGTGTGCCTCTATGACCGCACCTCTCATATCAAGAGGGAGAGACTATGGAAAACAAAGCAGTCCACATGTTTGTTTTTATTAATCAAGACAGCAAACAGTGCCCATGATCTACCATAGGTACCTAGAATACCTAAGTCTCATTTTGGGCATTTCACATAGCTCAGACTTAAAAGTGAATTCAGGCCAGGCGCGGTGGCTCACACCTGTAATCCCAGCACTTTGGGAAGCTGAGGCAGGTGGATCACTTGAGGTCAGGAGTTCGAGACCATCCTGGCTAACACAGTGAAACTCCGTCTCTACTAAAAATACAAAAATTAGCCGGGTGGTGGCGTGTGCCTGTAATCCCAGCTACTCGGGAGGCTGAGGCAGAATCACTTGAACACAGGAGGCGGAGGTTACAGTGAGCCGAGATTGTGCCACTGCACTCCAGCCTGGGTGACAGAGGGAGACTCCATCTCAAAAAAAAAAAAAAAAAAAGTGATTTCAAAGATATTTAGGCAGCCTACTACCTCATGGGAAGGCTCATTTCACTTTTGTTTGGCTCGAGTGTTATGGCTTAAGACCCTGGAACTTATCAGGACAAACAGGCCCAGTTCTTAGTTCCCCTAAATGTCTTAGTCCCTATAATCCCTCACCATCCAGGTGTTTTGCCGGTAAATACCCTTTGGTTTGTCAGTGTCATCGTTAAAGTGAGTCCTCAGGAGTGAATATAATGCGTTGTCTTAATTGCAGAAAGCACACCATAGCATATCTTGTATGTTTTTGATGCAGCCGAAGATTTCATGAGCTCTTTTAGCAGTGGTAGCATACTGTGGTTTGCTCAGCTAAACTCGTGGTCAACTATAATCCCTTATGAATTGCTATGAAGCCCAATATCCCTCTTGCCGAACTAATTCCAAGAGACGTTACAACAGTTGTGTGGCCACATGAGTTTGGGAAATGCTGCTTGGCATGTAGTAAGAACTTAACAAGTGAGAGGTTATTATTCCTGTGACCATCTATGATGGCAGACAACTTGTCTTATTCCCCCAGCACCCAGCATAGCGCCTGATGCACATGGCACCATAATTCCACCGGTAAATGTTGGTGGCATTAATAAAAGTGGGGCTGTGTCTGGCAGCAAATTCCATCTTGTTACCTGTCCTCGCTTGTATAGGTAATCGTGCATTTTGCCTCTATCACTTACATGCTAGCTTCCAGGCCTAGCTTCTCCATTCACAGGTGTGACAACTGTGCATTCTGATGCCTCATCTAAGATAAGCTCTGTCCAGATTCACAAGCCTGAGTCTCATTATTTTCTGCTAGTTCTCACTGATTTTTTTTTTTTTTTTTTGAGACAGAGTCTCACTCTGTCACCCAGGCTGGAGTGCGATGGCGCCATCTTGGCTCATTGCAACATCTGCCTCCCCAGTTCAAGCGATTCTCCTGCATTAGCCTCCCAGGTAGCTGCGATTACAGGTGTGCACCACCACGCCCGGCTAATTTTGTATTTTTAGTAGAGACGGGGTTTCACCATGTTGCCTAGGCTGGTCTCGAACTCCTGACCTCAGGTGATCCGCCCTCCTTAGCCTCCTAAAGTGCTGGAATTACAGGCATGAGCCACCGCACCTAGCACTGACTGATCGTATTCTACTCTTTCAAAGTCTTTTTCTGTCAGGCTTTCTTCTCGTTTTCCCCCCATTCTAAGAACCTTGCATCCCTTCTAAAAAAATGGGATAGACTGGGCATGGTGGCTCACGCCTGTAATCCCAGCACTTTGGGAGGCCGAGGCGGGCAGATCACGAGGTCAGGAGATCTAGACCATCCTGGCTAACACAGTGAAACCCCGTCTCTACTAAAAATACAAAAAATTAGCCAGGCACGGTAGCACGTGCCTGTAGTCCCAGCTACTCGGGAGGCTGAGGCAGGAGAATCGCTTGAACCCAGGAGATGGAGGTTGCAGTGAGCCAAGATCACGCTATTGCACACCAGCCTGGGTGACAGAGCGAGACTCTGTCTCAAAAAAAAAAAAAAAAGGGATAAAGAGGCATTCTCCCACCCTTTTGTCATTTCTACTTGCCAAAAAAAAAACAACAAAAAAAAATTAGAACATAAAATGAGCCACTCTTCCAGGCAAAAACAAACAAAAATAAAATTTCACACACCCTGCAGGTCACCAAAGCCATTCCTTGGGTGTGTACATGTTTGTGTGCATGTATATGTGCTTTTTTAATGCTTTTTTTCTTTTCTTTTTTTTTTTTTTTGATACGGAGTTTCGCTATTGTTGCCCAGGCTGGAGTGCAATGGTACAATCTTGGCTCACTGCAACCTCCGCCTCCTGGGTTCAAGCAATTCTCCTGCCTCAGCCTCCTGCGTAGCCGGGACTACAAGCATGCACTATACCCAGCTAATTTTTGTATTTTTCATAGAGACGGGGTTTCACCATGTTGGCCAGGCTGGTCTTGAACTCCTGACCTCAGGTGATCTGCCCACCTTGGCTTCCCAAAGTGCTGGGATTACAGGCATGAGCCACTGCACCCGGCCTTTTTTTTTTTTTTTTTTTTTTTTGAGACAAAGTCTTACTCTCGTCCAGGCTGGAGTGCAGTGGTGCGATCTTGGCTCACCGCAGCCTCCACATGCTGGGTTCAAGCGATTCTCCTGCCTCAGCCTCCCAAGTAGCTGGGACTACTGGCACATACCACCACATCGGCTAATTTTTGTATTTTTTGCAGAGATGCGATTTCACCATATTCCCCAGGCTGGTCTCAAACTCCTGACCTTGCATTCCTCCTGCCTTGGCCTCCCAAAGGCACTGGGACTACAGACGTAGGCCACCATGCCTGACCCATTTTGCTTTTATTTAGTTTTGTTTTTTGTATTCAACCCTCAAGATTTTTATTTAATTTCTCTGAAGCGAGCACAGTTATCAATGGATTATTATTATTATTATTATTATTATTATTATTATTATTATTTTGAAACACAAACTTATGGAAAAATTGGAGGTACAACATAAAGAACTTTTCTCCAAATCACTTGAGACCTAATGTTGCATCACTCCCAAATGCCGTAGTGTTTTACAAGCATTCTCCTACATGACCACAGTGTGCCCATCCAAATTAGGAAATGATCATTTACACGTTATTACCATCTCACTCTCAGACCCCATTGAGGTTTTTCCATTTGTCCCAATAATGTCCTTTTTAGCAAAAAAGCCCAGTTCACACTCACAGGTTACATTTGGTTTTCATGTCTCATCAATCTCCTTATGTCTGTTGCATGCTGTCAGGTGGCACATGCAGCCATTTGTCCCATTACTGTTCATACTTGGGTCATTTGATGCAGGTGGTGTTTGCCAGGTTTCTTGACTGTAAAGTTACTCTTTTCCTCTTTGAATGTAATTACTATTTTGCTGGGATGTGCTTTGAAACTGTGAATACTCTATTCATCAGACTTTCCATGTATTTATATTTGTACAGACTCATGCAATGGTCTGTAATTTTGATGCTCAAATTATTACCAATTTGAGGCCAGGCATGGTGGCTTACACCTGTAATCCCAGCACTTTGGGAGGCCTAGTTGGGAGGATCACTTGAGCCCAGGAGTTCAAGACTAGCCTGGGCAACATGGTGAAACCTCATCTCTACAAAAAATTAGCCAGGCATAGCTGGGCATGGTGGTGGGCGCCTGTGATCCCAGCTACTCAGGAGGCTGAGGCAGGAGAATTGCTTGAACCTGGGAGGCGGAAATTGCAGTGAGCCAAGATCGCGCCACTGCACTCCAACCTGGGTGACAAAAGTGAGACTCCGTCTCAAAAAAAAAAAAAAAAAAAATTAGCAAGGCATAGTGGCATGTGCCTGTAGTCTCAGCCACCCGGGAGGCTGAGGCAGAAGCATCACCTGGGCTGGTGAGATCAAGGCTACAGTGAGCCATGTTCACACCACTGCACTCCGGCCTGGATGACAGAGTGAGACTTTGTCTCAAAAAAAAATAATAATAATTACCAATTTGGCCAATGGGAGACTATTCAAGCTGACTTGTGTCTTTCTAACTCATCCCCATCATTTCTTCACACGTTTCCTTGCTTTCTGGCACAAGATAGTATTCTTCCTCTGCTCTAACCCTGGAATCAGCCATTTCCCCAGGGAGCTCTGGATCCTTTTAGTGGAAAGTCTAAATCTTGGTATTTTGCAAGATCTGGATGCTAGGTGTGCTCATTGCCATTGGGGTGCCACTGCTCTGCATGCTCTCAGTGGACACAGCCAGGGAATGTGTGTGTGCTCATTTCTGTGTGGAATGAAAACCATGTGTTCATGGTGCTACCTCATGACGGAGGTCATTTTCATTTTTTCCCTTTCCATGTTTGTAGCTCTCCTCTCTGATGGTGAGAAACCTGGTTTCTACTATCTTTAATATTTTTACTTATTCCCTGTGCATGTGGCTGATCTGTCATTTTTGCTGCCACTCACTCCTCTGCTCAAACACCCTTCTCTCCCTGCTTGGTTCTCACTCTCCGTTCCAGGCCACCCCCCTGTGTGGACACTTACCTCACCCACTTGGGCACCAACACATCACACCAGGTGATTCTAATAGGTAGCCAGGTTTGAGAACCACCAAGAGTTTTCAGGTTGAACTGCACTTCAATCTTTTTATCAAGCATTTCCCACCCCATTGCTAACTCTTACTGGTTACTAGTTATTAGCAAGCTGCCAAACATTCTCTTTCATAAGGAACAACAGCCACAATGCTTGCTTCTCACTGCTGGAAGGCATTTAATCCTCTTGAGAAACAGCAAGTGATTGGTGGAGTCCTGGCTCTGCTTCTGGTTTCCCAGGTTGATTATGCTAGTTTCACAACAATGCCATGTTTTCTTCTACCGAGAGCAGTATTGGTATCATTAAGATACCAAGAAATGCTGAGGTTTCATTGGTATTCTGTAACTTGTATTTTGCTGCTACGGGGAAGATAGCTGTTAGGTTTATCCTGTTGTTAGCTTTCAATTCTAAAGTGAATATGGGCTGGGTGCGGTGGCTCACGCCTGTAATCCCAGCACTTTGGGAGGCCGAGGCGGGCAGATCATGAGGTCAGGAGTTTGAGACCAGCCAGGCCAACATTGTGAAACCCCGTCTCTACTAAAAATACAAAAATTAGCTGTGCATGGTGGCGGGCACCTATAATCCCAGCAACTCGGGAGGCTGAGGCAAGAGAATTGCTGGAACCCAGGAGGCGGAGGTTGCAGTCAGCTGAGATCACACCACTGCACTCCAACCTGGGCAACAGAGCAAGACTCCGTGTCAAAAAAAAAAAATTGTTAAAGCCAATATGAACCCCCTCTGAACCTCACTCAGCTTTGAAAGTGCTCTTGCAAATCATCTACTCCAGTCCCCTTTACAACAAATAACCCCTGCGTGCACTTGTCTGTGTGCGTTCTCAAATGTGTTCTTGTCTGTCTGCTTTTTATTGATTTTCAATTTTGCCTTTTTCCACTGTTCTAATTTGCCTTTCTTTAAAAGTGTGAAGGAAGAAGTGTTCTGGAGGAACTACTTTTACCGCGTCTCCCTGATTAAGCAGTCAGCCCAGCTCACGGCCCTGGCTGCCCAACAGCAGGCCGCAGGGAAGGAGGAGAAGAGCAATGGCAGAGAGCAAGATTTGCCGCTGGCAGGTATATTCTGGGTAGAAGACAGCACTCTACAGAAAAAGTTGTTCTTAGAGACTCAAATGAGCTTGACCTCTTATACGTACCAGAAATGTCATTGCCTTAGGGAAAAATTCTTTTCTTCCCAGAGGAAATCTTCATTTTTCTCTTACTGCCTTCTCTCTGACCCAGCTCACACATGTCTTCCCCAAGCTTTCCTTTACTTTGCTTATCTCCTTTCTCATTCCTTGTTTTCGTTTTTGTTTTTTTTTTTAGACACGGGTCTCACTATGTTGCCCAGGCTGTCCTCAAACTCCTAGACTCAAGCGATCCTCCTGCCTCAGCTTCCCAAGTAGCTGGGACTTACAGGCATGAGCCACTGTGCCTGGCGAGTTTTTTTTTCGTTTTATTTCTCTCTCAAACATCCGTCATCTTCCCCCCCTCTCATTTTTGGCCCTTAACCATGTGATTCTTTATACTTCTGTCCTCTACCCTGATTCAGTCCGCCTCCTTTTTGTTTGTTTCAACCTGATGTTTCTCCAGTGTGTGTAGTCTGTAGAGCAGAACAAAGCTCCATTCCACTCCCAAGTTACAAGGATCTATCTAGTTCTGAGCTAGGCACTGATGAACATTGGACTCATTGTGACACTAACTTACCCCTGGTTGTGGGAATGTGTTTTATAATAAGGGCAGCTGTTTGAAATCTGTAATAATTAAAATAAGAAACACATTTTGTGTCATAGTTTAAATTCTTAGTGAGTACCTGCTGTGTATAGTAGGTACTCATTACAACTGGACATTTATCCCACAAGAAGCGGGGTGATTTAATTCACGGAATTTTAAATGATTAAGCAAAACAGCATGTCCTGAGGTACAGGTTATACAGAATACTAGGACAGGATCTGACACTGCTGTTAGTGTCAGGGAAATGGAGTGAAGTTGCTCTACACAGGAAAATTTGTCATTTTGTATATCAGTGTTAACATGCATCCCAATTGTCTGTTATTCTTTAGCATTTATGTTAATTTTGTTGGAAAATGCCATTTTGCCAAATACTGCCTTGTTTAACAAAATGGATTTATGACAGTATTCCATAAAGACTGCCTTTTTCTAGCACTCTTATCAGCAGGCAAACTTGATAAATAGCTTAATTCTCATTATTCTAAAAAAGTACAGAACTATTCTTCAATGAATTTTGCTAACACTGTAGTTAAAAATTATTTCCTGCTGGAAATTTTATGTAAGGATATGTATTGAATATGATGACATGTTAAAAATATCCCCAGGAGGCTGAGGCAGGAGGATCACTTGAGCCCAGAAGTTCGAGTCCAGCCTGGGCAACATAGTGACACCCCATGTCTAAAAATAAATAAATGGATAGGTAGATAGATAGATAAAAATATCCCCAAAGTAAGAGGTTGAGATGGTTTCACCATGGCTGTTTCTTATAACTTAAGAAAAGCTGAAAGCATAACATAAAAATTCATTTCTGAAAATTATTTAGTATCATAATACTTGTGGATATTTTACTGTGATTATAATATGTATTCAGAACTGAACCAAGCAATTATTGTCTCTCTTATTCTCACTTCTTAGAGGCAGTACGGCCCAAAACGCCACCCGTTGTAATCAAATCTCAGCTTAAAACTCAAGAGGTAATCCAGTTTTACATTGTACCTAGTAGTTGATATCTGGAAATAAAGTAACTGTGTTAACTCTTTCTGATACCATTTAAAACTATGTATGAATATGGGTTTGGAAGAAGCAGCATCTGGTACTTGAATAGTCAAGGAACTAGGGCTGAGACTTGAGGACGATTTACTGGCATATGTAATTCTAGATGTGTTCATCAGGGATTGGAGAGAAGGGTTGGAGTGATTCAAACTGTGAAGGAGAATAATAGCCTCAGGTGGTAACTCATGTAGTTACCAAGCAACTGCAAGTTAGAAGGTTGGAGAGCAGTGCTCATTGTCTTACAGCTCGCAGAGAAAAGAAATAAAAATAGCACGGCATTAAATTGTGAGACAATAGCAAACCAGAATAACACAAATGTCGCTTAGCAAACCATTTCAAGAGCTCATTTGTTGCATTTCAGGATGAGGAAGAAATTTCTACTAGCCCAGGTGTTTCTGAGTTTGTCAGTGATGCCTTCGATGCCTGTAACCTAAATCAGGAAGATCTAAGGAAAGAAATGGAGCAACTAGTGCTTGACAAAAAGCAAGAGGAGACAGCCGTACTGGAAGGTAAAAAACAAAACAAATCAAAGCAAAGAAACTATTCGTCTCCCTAATTCCAAAGCTAATTGTAGAAAATTGTTATTCTGAAGCCAGTGCACAAAAATGTGTTGTAAATTTTGCATCAAAATTGATTCTTGTCAGAGGCAATGGCTCACGCTTGTAATCCTAGCACTTTGGGAGGCCGAGGCGGGCAGATCACGAGGTCAGGAGATCGAGACCATCCTGGCTAACACGGTGAAACCCCGTCTCTACTAAAAATACAAAAAAAAATTAGCCGGGCCTGGTGGTGGGTGCCTGTAGTCCCAGCTATTCGGAAGGCTGAGGCAGGAGAATGGCATGAACCTGGGAGGCGGAGCTTGCAGTGAGCCGAGATCGCGTCACTGCACTCCAGCCTGGGTGACAGAGCGAGACTCCGCCTCAAAAATAAATAAATAAATAAATAATAAGTTTTTGGCCCTGGTGCAGTGGCTCACATCTACAATTCCAGCTACTCGGGAGGAAGCTGAGATGGGACAATCACTTGAACCCGGGAGGCGGATGTTGCAGTGAGCCGAGATCACACCACTGCACTCCAGCCTGGGTGACAGAGCAAGACTTCATCTCAAAATAATAATAATAATAATAATAAATTTTTAAAAGCTGGCATTCTCCTTGACTGTAGACATGTACATGGAAGATTCTTTTCCCAGCTGCTGCATGCCAAAAGAGCATTGCTTCTGGGAAGGAGCAGGCTGCTTTTAAAAACCAGTTTTCTTTTTGAGATAGGGTCTCACTCTGTCACCCAGGCTGAAGTGCAATAGTGCCGTCATAGCTCACTGCAGCCTCAAACTCCTAGGCTCACACCATCCACCCACCTCAGGCTCCAATGTAGCTGGGACTATAGGCGTGTGCCACCACACCAGGCTAATTTTTTTAATTTTTTGTAGAGATGGGGTCTTGCCAGATTGCCCAGGCTGATCTTGAACTCTTGGGCTCAAGCAATCTTGCCACCTCAGTGTCTCTAAGTGCTAGTATTATAGGTATGTGCCACCATGCCCAGCCCAACAGTCTTTTTTTTTTTTTGAGATGGAGTCTCACCCTGTCGCCCAGGCTGGAGTGCAGTGGTGCAGTCACGGCTCACTGCAACCTCCACCTCCTGGATTCAAGCGATTCTCCTGCCTCAGCCTCCCAGGTAGCTGGGACTACAGGCGTGCACCACCACACCTGGCTAATTTTTGTATGTTTTGTATCGCTATGTTGGCAGGCTGGTCTCGAACTCCTGGCCTCAAGTGATCTGTCTGCCTCGGCCTCCCAAAGTGCTGGGATTACAGGCATGAGCCAACATGCCTGGCCCCAATAGTCTTTTATATATTATATATCTTGGCTCCAGGACTAAATTGTAAGATCCCCAAGGGCAGTTACACATTGTCTTTCTGTCCCCCTACAGTACCTAATGTGGAACTTAGCACTCAGTAAGCACCCTAATAAATATTTGTGAAATTGGTGGCTTCCTGCACAACACAGGGTGTCTTTTCCTTTGAGGTTGCTGCTGTAGAACGATTAAAGCATTTCATTTTTGTTTTCTCTATAGCTAAGTTTAAGGTTTATTTTTAAAGACAGGCTGGGCACGGTGGCTCATGCCTGTAATCCCAGCACTTTGGGAGGCTGAGGCGGGCGGATCACGAGGTCAGGAGATCGAGACCATCCTGGCTAACATGGTGAAACCCCGTCTCTACTAAAAATACAAAAAAAAAAAAAAATTAGCCTGGCGTGGTGGTGGGTGCCTGTAGTCCCAGCTACTTGGGAGGCTGAGGCAGCAGAATGGCCTGAACCCAGGAAGCGGAGCTTGCAGTGACCTGAGATCATGCCACTGCACTGCAGCCTGGGCAACAGAGCAAGACTCCGTCTCAAAAAAAAAAAAAAAATACAAAAATTAGCCAGGCGTGGTGGCAGGCACCTGTAATCCCAGCTACTTGGGAGGCTGAGGCAGGAGAATCGCTTGAACCCAGGAGGCAGAGGTTGCAGTGAGCCGAGACCACACCATTGCACTCCAGCCTGGGCAACAGAGTGAGACTCTGTCTCAAAAAAAAAAAAGAGACAAAAATGAATCTTAGCTTTACTTTTTAAATAGCCAGTTTGTTTTCTCACCATTTTATAACATTACATAGCAGATGCATTATCCTACACACACAGAGGTATATTGAGTGTCTGTGTAGAAAGTTGCAGGTCTAAATCTCAACGCGGAAGACCAGTGTGAGAGCTCCAGTCAGAACACCATGAGAGAGTCCAGGCTGACTTCAGACCCCGGTGTCTGTCTCCACTCTTAAGGAGACAGCTCTTTGTATAGTGGTTAAGCATAGACTGTGGAGCCTGCAGATGTGGTTCCATCCTTATATCTGTCGCTGTCAAACGGTGTGATCTTGGGCAAGTTGCTTAACCTCTCCTAAGTCTCCATTTCCCTATCTATAAGATGTGGCAAATAGTAATACCTTGTCCATGGACTGTTCCAAGGGTGAAAAGCGTGATACATAGAAAGCAGTTGGGCCAGTGCCCAGCCCAGTAAGTGCTCAATAAACATTAGCTGCTTTTGCTACCATCATCATCATTGGTAGTGGTAAAAATTAACTTGCAACCAAGTATTAATTATCATTTACCCATTTAAATAAAAGGAAATGCAGAGGCATAGGGAAAGCAAAATAACACCCAAAATATATTGATGACATCTGATACCTTTGCTTCTACATTAACAGATTTATCTTTCTAATTGTGTTTATCCTTGGTCACTGTTAAAATTTACTGAGTTTTTCTGAGCACACATAGTAGTGAAGCCTGAGATACTAAAAATTACAGCAGCTAGGACTTTACGTAGGTAATTGAGATGGACCGAATTGTGAACACCAGCATTATGAATTCAGAGAGAATCTTTTTCTTCTCCTTTGTTTCTTTTAGAGGATTCTGCAGATTGGGAAAAAGAACTGCAGCAGGAACTTCAAGAATATGAAGTGGTGACAGAATCTGAAAAACGAGATGAAAACTGGGATAAGGAAATAGAGAAAATGCTTCAAGAGGAAAATTAGCTGTTCCTGAAATAGAAGAATAATCCTTAACAGTCTGCAAACTGACATTAAATTCTAGATGTTGACAATTACTGAATCAGAAGGCATGAAAGAGTATAATTTTATGAAATTCAAAATTATTCTTTTTTCAAGTTGAAACTTGCCTCTTCTACTTTAAAAAAGTATATAGAACAGTTACTTCTAATAATCAGAAAGAGATGTTTTATAGAACATTTCTTTAATATAAAGTTAGAGATGTCTTCATAGGCAGTATGGCTATCTTTGCCACAGAAACATAAGTAAAATTTTAGAGTTCTGTTTTCCATGAGGTCAAAAATATAATTTATTCCTCAGTCATGGTTTTCTAAATATCTGTACTCCACATTCCATTTTAATTGATATGAGGGTGTTAAAGTACCTACTTAATGGGTTGATTACTATCAAAATGACCAAATTATACCAAAGAACTTAAGAGGAAGCACTTTCAGAACTATTCACTTGCCAGGTATTTTCTAAAATTCCACCTGAAAGCCAAAAGATAAAATAAATAAGTTGATTTTAATGATATAAGCATCACACAATTTTACATTAAGAAATACTGTGCAGGCCATGCGTGGTGGCTCAGGCCTGTAATCCCAGCACTTTGGGAGGCCGAGGTGGGCAGATCACCGGAGGTCAGGAGTTCGAGACCAGCCTTGCCAACATAGTGAAACCCTGTCTCTACTAAAAATACAAAAATTAGCCGGGCATGGTGGCAGGCACCTGTAATCCCAGCTACTAGGGAGGCTTTTGAACCCAGGAGGCAGAGGTTGCAGCGAGCTGAGATCGCGCCACTGCACTCCAGCCTGGGTGATAGAGTGAGATTCAGTCTCAAAAAAAAAAAAAAAAAAAAGCTGTGCGAAAATATTTGTTTTTCTCTGGGGCCTTTTCTTTCTTTTCTTTTTAAACTATACCAGAAATTTTACATCACAGTTTTTATACAAAGTGGGACCTTCCATACTTTTTGTATTACAATAACCTTCAGAAGCCCATTCCCCTTAAAGTCTGTTGTTCTTGTTTTAATCATCACCACATATAAATGTTTTAGCTTTGTCTTAAACTGTGAGTCTTCATAAAATTGTGTTCCTCCGAGTTCACCTTCTAGGACTTTATTGATTAATCCTTCTCTTTCTGCTATACCAGCAGACACATATTCATAGAATATGATTATTTTTAAAGAACAAGGTGAGGAGGCTGAGGCAGGAGAATTGCTTGAACCTGGGAGATGGAGGTTGCAGTGAGCTGAGATCACGCCACTGCACTCCAGCCTGGGTGACAGAGTGAGAGACTCCGTCTCAAAAATGAATGAATGAATGAATGAATGAATGAACGAACGAACAAGGTGGTTTAATGTCAGAAAACTTCCTAAGCATTTGCTCCCCAAACCTTTCATGTTTTTCAAGAAGCCTTTATTACATAAAGGGGAATAGAATTAAAATGTTTCTTTATAAGAAAAATATACATATTTGTGTTCTTGGCCCCATTAAAACTAGTCAGTAGTCCTTTGGCAAAGATATAGTCAACAAGAGAACTGGGTATGAGTCCAGGCATTACTCCTGTTCATAGTTGTGGATGCATGTGTCTGAGCCAGACTGTCTCAACTGGAGTCTCTTGGGTTATAGCAGTAAACCCGTGTATTCCATGAAACCACTGGGCCCATCATCAAAAGGTTTCCACTTGTGGTGCCACAGTTGCTTATTACTGAGTTTGGGTTCCAAGATGACTGGCAACTTCTGAAATAATCTCATTGAAGGAAAGAGTTTCATTTTTTTTTTAAAAGAGTTTGCTGGAGGAAAAGAAGCATGTTAAATGTTTTTAAGCAGCTAAAAGTCCTAGATGGAAGCATATCAGGATGTGTCGGTGCTTGGCTCTTAGTGAATGCACTAAAATTCTTATTGATAAATGTTGAATAAACACACACAAAAAAGTATCAGAGAAAGAGAAAAACCCTACAATGGCAATAGAGGTGTGTGACAGTTATTGCTATCAATTTTACATAATATCTCATTTAAAAACAACCTAATTATGCATTGCCTGTGAAAATAAAAGGATAAAATAAGATTTTGTACATACTGTAAGAATACAGTTGTGCTGTATTTTTATGGATTCATCAAGGAGTAAAATGTTCTGCTTTAGTAAATTATATAGGTAACTGAAGTGTTATTCCTTTAAAGAGCAAAATAATTTATCACCATGTTTGGTGGAAAATTTCTAAGTATTTATTACATGCCTAGGGGTTAGCCAACAAGATATACCAAGCATGAAAACCTGTAAAACTTAATAAAATGCTAAAATATGAACATCACACTATGGAGATTATGCCTCACTACTCAAAGAGTGTGGCTCAGGAACCAGTGTAGCTTGGCCATGCCCTGGCAGTATGTTGGAAATGCCTGCCCCAGACCAGTTGATGTTACTAAGAACGCCCAGGGGATGAGAATGGACTTTATTTACAGTTTGGGAAGCACTGGTCTAATATGCTCTCAGGGAAGCTGAGGTTTCTACTGCTTTTTACTTTTTACCCTTCCACTAGATGTCCTTTGCAGCAGTGTTTTTCTAGTTGGCATTACAGGTGTCTCCTCTGAGGTTCCAGTTATTTCTATACTACCAAAATTAAAAAGACCCAAGGGCTGGGCATGGTGGTTCACACCTGTAATCCCAGCACTTTGGGAGGCTGAGGCAGGCAGATTGCTTGAGCTCAGGAGTTCAAGACCAGCCTGGGCAACATAGGGAGACCCCTGCCTCTACAAAAATACAAATGAGCCAGGTGTGGTAGCCCACACCTGTGGTCCTAGCTACTTGGAAGGCTGAGGCAGGAGGATCGCTTGAGCCCAGGAGATCCAGGCTGCAGTAAGCCATGATCATGCCACTGCACTTCAGCCTGGGTGACAGAGACTCTGTTTCAAAAAAGGGAGGGGGGGCAAGTTTTTAGGGGGATGAGAAATATTCTTGGTAAATCGGGCATTTCTTTTTTTGTTTGTTTTTTTTTCTTGGAGACAGAATCTTGCTCTGTCACCCAGGCTGGAGTGCAGTGGCTTGATCTCAGCTCACGGCAACCTCCGCCTCCCAAGTTCAAGCGATTCTCCCACCTCAGCCTCCAGAGTAGCTGGGATTACAGGCAACCGCCACCATGCCCAGCTAATTTTTTTGTATTTTTAGCAGAGATGGGGTTTCACCGTGTTGGCCAGGCTGGTCTCAAGCTCCTGATCTCAAATGATCCGCACGCCTTGACCTCCCAAAGTGTTGGGATTACAGGCATGAGCCACAGCCTTAATTGGTAATTTTTGAAAAAAAAACTAGAGAAACATTGTTTCAGAGATAAAGCAGCAATTACACTTGTACTCCCAGTGATTTAAGATGCACTATTGTAATCAAGATGATTTGCTTTAATCAAAATATTGTTAAAAATAGGATTTCAGGACATTTAAAAGGTTTCAGCAGAAATCTTATGATTATGTCTGACTTGCAGTATTTTATTTGCCTCTTTGACGGCTTTTTTTTTTTTTTTTTTTTTGAGACAGAGTCTCACACTGTTGCCTGGGCTGGAATGCAATGGCGCAGTCTCAGCTCACTGCAAACCTCCGGCTCCCGGGTTCAGGCAGTTCTCCTGCCTCAGCCTCCCTAGTAGCTGGGATTATAGGCATGTGCCACCACACCCGGCTAATTTTTGTATTTTTAGTAGAGACAGGGTTTCGCCATGTTGGTCAGGCTGGTCTTGAACTCCCAACCTCAGGTGATCCGCCCGCCTCGGCCTCCCAAAGTGCTGGGATTACAGGCGTGAGCCACTGCGCCCAACCTTAATGGCTTTTTGGTATTAAAAACCAGGACTCTGAATGTGCATCAATAATTCAAATAATTTTATATAGTTACTCTTTCTAGTAATAGATACCCCCCTCCATTTTTAAGTAAAGATAAACATTTTTTAATTAGGAAAATTAGGCACATTTAATTTTAGCAAATTTAGTTTTTCAACTTTTTTTTTTTTCTTTTTTTTTTTTTTTGAGATGGAGGCTCACTCTGTTGCCCTGGCTGGAGTGCAGTGGCCGCAACCTCGGCTCACTGCAACCTCCGCCTCCTGGGTTCAAGTGATTCTCCTGCCTCAGCCTCCCGAGTAGCTGGGATTACAGGCGTGTGCCACCACACCTGGCTAATTTTTGTATTTTTAGTAGAGACGGGGTTTCACCATGTTGGCCAGGCTGGTCTTGAACGACTGGCCTCAGGTGATCCGCCCACCTCGGCCTCTCAAAGTGCTGGGATTACAGGCATGAGCCACCATGCCCAGCCAGTTTTTCAACTTTTAAAAATAAAAGTGGTAGAATTTTTTTTTTTCTTTTTGAGACAGGGTCTTGCTCTGTCACTCAGGCTAGAGTGCAGTGGTGGGATCTCAGCTCACTGCAGCCTCCGCCTCCCAGGCTTAAGGGATCCTCCCTCCTCAGCCTCCCGAGTAGCTGGGACCACAGGCATGCACCACCACGCCTGGCTAATTTTTGTATTTTTTGTAGAGATGGGTGTCTCCCCATGTTGCTCAGGCTGTTCTTGAACTTCTGAGCTCAGGTGATCTATCTGCCTCGGCCTTCCAAAGTGCTGGGATTACAGGCATGATGAGCCACTGCACCTGGCCAAAAGTGGCAGAAATTTTGATATGGTTTATAATCAGTTTTATTGTGGGGAAGATGGGCCATTTTAATGAATGATTATTTCTATTGGCTAAACTACCGAGTCACGACATGACAAATACACATGAAGCTTTAATCACATGCAGTTATATACTTCTCACAAATCATCAAATTATTTATCTGGTCTTCACACTAAGGGATTTACTTAGATAAGCCATCGATGATTTCAGTTGTTAAAAGTGTGGCTTTTTAAACAGCATTTATTCAGTGCATCCTGATTTATTTCAAAATGAAAAATTGTTACCTTTTTTTCTGAATAAATAAAGCTTACTTTTAGTGGCAAGGTATAAGTTATAATGGTTGTTCCTGGATAACTAAAAATTCAGGCAAAGAGGACCTGTAAATATTTCAAAGCCATCTGGTATGTAGGCTCCTATTGTTAGAATTTAAACTGCCTCGAGATAGTATTGCATTTTAAGAACACATTTTGCTTTCACTGTAGACTTCTCAAATTCAATGGGTTGTCCTTCATAATAAAAGACCATTCTAACCCACGGTCAGGAGCTCTGGTATTCCAAGGCTGTTGTGGGATTTTTCCTTCACTGCCACCTGCCCCCAAGGAGTGACAATATATAGTGATTTTTCTTGTTCTTCCCTGATAACCATAATGAACAGTGAGTATGCTTTCTGCCAGCCAGAGCTAAAACTCAGCGACGTTAACCAGCTCCTATGACCTAATAAATAGAGATAATAGATCAATTCATCATAATGGAGGTTTTGAGTGACTACTCCTACAGTACCCAGTGTCCAACTGTAATCAGCATAATAGCAATAAAGTGCATAATGTTCTCTGCCATTACTGCACTTAGACAATGAAAAAATCCTGATATAGCAAAATGACCATGTCACTCAGCAATTTTAAACTGTTTCATGGAGATTTACTTTAGGGTATAAGTGGCATGTGAGAACTGAGCTAAATAATATGCCACTATCAAAGGAGTGTGGCACAAGAACACTGTATTGATGCCACTAACAAAATTGTTGAGTGTTCATTGTTAATTGGAGTAACAGAGTACATGCTTGTGAAATTGAGGCATGAAAATAGATACTATTTAAAATCTGGGGCCAGGTGCGGTGGCTCACGCCTGTAATCCCAGCACTTTGGGAGGCGGAGGCGGGTGGATCACAAGGTCAGGAGTTTGAGACCAGTCTGGCTAACACAGTGAAACCCCATCTCTACTAAAAATACAAAAATTAGCCGGGTGTGGTGGTGTGCACCTGCAATCCCAGCTACTCGGGAGGCTTAGGCAGGAGAATCACGTGAACCCGGGAGGCAGAGGTCACAGCTGAGGTCGCACCATTACACTCCAGCCTGGGTGACAGTGTGAGACTCCATCTCAAAAAAAAAAAAAAATCTGGATAACACACAAATGTAATTAATAAAAATAGGCCAGGCACAGAGGCTCACACCTGTAATCCAAACACTTTGGGATACCAAGGTGGGCGGATCACTTGAACCCAGGAGTTTGAGACCAGCCTGGGCAACAGGGTGAAAGCCTTTCTCAATTAAAAAAAAAAAAAAAAGCCAGGCGTGGTGGCGGGCACCTGGAGTCCCGCTACTCGGGAGGCTGAGGTGGGAGGATGGCTTGAGCCCAGGAGGAGGAGATTGCAGCGAGCCACAATCAGGCCACTGCACTCCAGCCTGGGCGACAGAGCCAGACCCTGTCTCAAACAAACAAATAAATAAATAATAATGAGCTTGTGATGGATGTCTTGATGTCCACATTACCATGCTTTTAGAAATGGACTAAACCAGTCAATCTCCTGGCAGCGGGTAGTCATCCTCAAGCGTGGCCGCACAATAGGACCTCCTGGCAAGTCCAGGTGCTACTGATGCCCAGGCTCCCCTGCAGAGATACTGATTTATTTGGCTGGGGATGTAGCCCTTGAGGGTACAGGGTTGTTTGAAACTCTCCAAGACTTTGTAACAGCAGCTAAGATTGAGAACCACGGGGCCCAGGGAAAGAGACTCAAGTGGAAAGTCAGGAGACTTGGTGAAAATACTCAGCCTGACACACTCAAGCTTCTTTATCAGTACAATGAAAGGGTTGGACTGCACGTTTTTTAACAACCTATGTCTAAAATGTCATCCTATTTTTAAAGAGGCCTTTGTAAAATAAATACTGTTTTAGTTCTGTTTTCAAAGTGGGGTTTTGTTTTTTAGTTTTCTGAAATGTACAATATCTTAGGTTCTCACATAAATATATGCATGTATCTCCACTCCATCCACAAACCCCACTGAATGACAGTAAAGGAATGAAAAGAAAAGCTATACATTCATAGTGACAAAAACAGAAGGGTCAGCAACAGCCAAGTGATACCAAGAACATTTTCATGCTTCAGAAGCCTGGAAATGCTCAGGAATTCTGGAGGTGCAGTAACTCGGAAGGCTGAGGAAAAGTTGGTATCAGGGTGGGCAATTTGTGGTCTCTGCCACAATCTACAACTGAAAATCAAGGGCAAGTGGCGTAAGCATATTGTTATGAGACACAGACACAAACAGACAAAATTGCTAAGTTTTAAATGGCTCCTGAGAAGTGGGAATTGGGGATGTGAAATGGCCTTTGCAAAAAGTGTAACAGTGACAAAGTTATGGCAGTGTGTAGATCTGACCTAACTGACTCCATCTTGCTTCTGTGTTCATTCCTGGGCATAGGCCAAACTAACTTTGGGAAGAACTTTAACTTTGACATAAAGATTGTAACAGCCCTTTCCTGAAACAAACCCCATTCTTGCATGGGAACCACACTGCCTTTGTAGGACTAACACATGAGCCACAATATTATGGTTTAGTGTCACAGCTGTTTTAGAATTTATCTAGCAGGTTTTCTGGTCTTTACTGGAAAGCCCAAGAAAGTAAAAATAGCCGGGTGCGGTGGCTCACGCCTGTAATCCCAGCACTTTGGGAGGCTGAGGCAGGCAGATCATGAGGTCAGGAGATAGAGACCATCCTGGCTTACACGGTGAAACCCCATCTCTACTAAATATGCAAAAAAAAAAAAATTAGCCGGGCGTGGTGGCGGGTGCCTATAATCCCAGCTACTCGGGAGGCTGAGGCAGGAGAATGGCATGAACCCAGGAGGCGGAGGTTGCAGTGAGCCAAGATCGCGCCACTGCACTCCAGCATGGGCGACAGAGCGAGACTCCGTCCAAAAAAAAAAAGAAAAAGAAAGTAAAAATAATAATAATAATAATAAAAGAAAAATAGCCCGGGCACGGTGGCTCATGCCTGTAATCCCAGCACTTTGGGAGGCTGAGGCAGGCAGATCACCTGAGGTCAGGAATTCAAGACCAGCCCAGCCAACTTGGTGAAACCCTGTCTCTACTAAAAATACAAAAATTAGCCAGACATGGTGGCAGGTGTCTGTAATCCCAACTACTCAGGAGGCTGAGGCAGGAGAATCGCTTGAACCTGGGAGGCAGAGGTTGCAGCGAGCCAAGGTCGTGCCACTGCACTCCAGCCTGGGCAACAAGAGCGAAACTCTGTCTCAAAATAAATAAATAAATAAAAATAAAAAATAAAAAAATAAAGAAATTATGGTTCTGGAGTCTTGCAGCTAGAGGCCACAAGATTCTAAACCTCCTCAATTGCTCCTAGGGATAACATCACTACCCACTACCATAAAACCTAAGATTAGGTGCTGAAGATATTTTTCAGTCCATGGATTAGCTGGTGCCACCCAGATCAATAAACTGGCTCATCTGGTGTTGTGGCCCCCACCCAGGAACCGACTCATTGCTAGAGCACAGCTTCGACTGACCTCCTAGGATTTCATCTCTGACCCGACCAATCAGCACTCCCCACTCCTTAGCCCCATACCCACCAAATTATCCTTTAAAAACCTCAGTTTCCAAATCTTCAGGGAGACTGATTTCAGGAATGTGAAACCCAAAAATCTGAGACAGGCCTCAGTTAATTTAGAAACTTTATTTTGCCAAGGTCGAGGATGTGTGCCTGTGACACAGCCTCATGAGGTCCTGACAACATGTGCCCAACGTGGTCAGAGCACAGCTTGGTTTCATACATTTTAGGGAGACATGAGACACCAATCAACATATGTAAGATGAACATTGGTGTGGTCCGGAAAGGCGGGACAACTGGAAGCAAAAGCGCACAACTCGAAAGGGGAGAGGGCTTTCAGGTCACAGGTAGATGAGAGACAAACCGTTGCATTGAGTTTCTGATTAGCTTTTCCAAAGGAGGCAATCAGATATGCATTTATCTCAGTGAGCAGAGGGATGGCTTTGAATAGAATGGGAGGCAAGTTTGCCCTGAGCAGTTCCCAGCTTGAATTTTCCCTTTAGCTTAGTGATTTTGGGGGCCCAAGATATTTTCTATTCACAGTAATAATAAAACTCCGGTCTCCTGTTCAGCCAGCTCTGTGTGTATTAAACTCTATTGCAATTCCCTTGTTTTGATAAATCGGCTCCATCTGGGCAGTGGGCAAAATGAACCCATTGGGTAGTTACAAAGAGAGAAGCACTGGTCAAGGGTCTCTGTTGTTTTAAAAGCCTTGTGTAATTTGACTTCTAAAATTAAGGACATGCATCTTTTTTTTTTTTTTTTTTTTGAAACGGAGTCTTGCTCTGTCGCCCAGGCTGGAGTGCAGTGGTGCGATCTCGGCTCACTGCAACCTCCGCCTCCAGGGTTCAAGCTATTCTCCTGCCTCAGCCTCTCGAGTAGCTGGGATTACAGGCACCTGCCACCATGCCCAGCTAATTTTTGTAGATTTCTTTTAATACCTAATTTTGACACGGGTATGGGGAAAAAGCATAAAAATACTGTAGATGGGAGTGTAAAATTGTTAAATCTTTCCAAATGGCAGTCGGGTAACAAGCATCAAAATGTTAAATGTGAGGAACATTTAACCCGACATTTCTACTCTTGGAATTTATGCTAAGGAAGCAATTAGACAAGCAAGACTTTGAGTATACAATAGAAAAATTGGCAGGTACCTATATGTCATACACCAGAATCTTGATTTGAACAAATGGTGGTTCATCCACATGATGGAATTGTGTGCAAATATTTTAAGTGATATATTTTATACCCACCAGATGGTCAAAAATGTAGAAGTCTGAAGGCTGGGTGCAGTGGCTCACGCCTGTAATCCTAAGACTTTGGGAGGCTGAGGTGGGCAGATTGCCTGAGCTCAGGAGTTGAAGACCAGCCTGGGCAACATGATGAAACCCCATCTCTACGAAAATACAAAAATTAGCTGGGCATGGTGGTGCGCGCCTGTAGTCCCAGCTGCTTGGGAGACTGTGGTGGGAGAACCACTTGAACCTGGGAGGCAAAGGTTGCAGTAAGCCGAGATCGTGCCACTGCACTCCAACCTGGGTGACAGAGTAGACCCTATCTCAAAAAAAAAAAAAAAAAAAAAGTAGAAGTCTGAAAATATCAAGAGTTAGTAAGCATGTGAAACAACAGGAACATCGACGTGCTATTGGCGCAACTATGCACTGGCACAATCTCTTTGGAAGTAAGCCAAAACTGGCATTACTTCAATGAAAAGTTGAATATGTACTTCTCTTTGCCCAGCAAGCAGTTCCTCTCCTAGGGAATACCAAATGGTATTAACCACTTATGAAAATAACTACCATTACTTAGTAAAGTGGAAGATAAAAACATCATATGGCATGTGCTAGTAGGTGGCACATGCACGACTGTCAATAAAAGTGATGTTCTAGTGACCTCAGGCTGCACCCAACCCAAATGTGCATCAACAGTAGAATGGAATTATAATGACAGTGTGATAACCATAGCAAAGAGCCAAGAACACGAAAAAATAACAGCTGTGCACAGTGCTGTGAGTGAATCTATGAATCTCATAAATGTAATGTTAAACAGAAAATGCAAGATTGGAGAGAAGACCTACGTAAACTCCAAATACAGGTACAACTATACTACATATGTAGTAGAACTAAAAGAAACAGCTACCATAAAAGTCAGATATTACATAGCATAAGAGAAATCAAGAAACTACAGCTACATAAAACAAGGAGAAGACAGGTCCCAACATTACACACCTCAATAAAACACCCAGTTAAAACTCTACTCACTGGGCCTGGTGGCTCATGCCTATAATCCCAGCACCTTGGGAGGCCAAGGCTAGCAGATCCCTTGAGCCCAGGAGTTCTATACCAGCCTGAGCAACATAGTGAGACCCCATCTCTAATAAAAATACAAAAAATTCACCAGGTATGGTGGCATGCACTTGTAGTCCTAGCTACTCGGGAGGCTGAGATGGGAGGATCACTTGAGCCTGGGAGGTCAAGGTTGCAGTGAGCTGTGATTGCACCACTGTACTCCAGCCTGGGCGACTGGGCAACTGTCTTAAAAAACAAACAAACAAACAAAAACCCAACAAAGACTGTCTCAAAAAACAAACAAAAAACCCCCAACAAACTCTACTTAGTTTTATTTTTGCTTAAATCTTTAATAAAAGGGAAAGCCAGGCACAGTGGCTCATGCTTGTATCCCCGCTGTGGGAGGATCACTTGAGCCGAGGAATTTGAGACCAGCCTGACCAACAAAGTGAGACGCTGTCTCAAAAAAAAACAAATAAAAAAAAACAAATAATTAAAATGTAAAAATAAAAAACTAGCTGGGCATTTACCATTGTGGCAAGAGGGTGGTCTAAGCCCAGGAGGCCGAGGCTACAGCGAGCCATATTTGTACCACTACAATGCAGTGTAGGTAGCAGAACAAGATCCTGTCTCATAAAATAGTAACAGAATTAAAAAAAAAAAAAAAACGACTAACTCTATTAATCTAAAAACAAGAAAAAACAACAGCAAGCTTGGAAAGGCAGTTGCCAGGTAACAGCCACCTCTGGTACACTGAGGGTGAAATTAAGCCCAGCTCAAATACATACAGCACTTCTTTCAGGCGAATGTGTAAGGAAAAGTATCATTCTTCAAAACAGCAGGTTTAAAGGACACCTACGGCTTTTAACTTGTAAATATATTGCATGCAGTGCACCATGGTTATGCAAATGAAGCTGAGTCATTGCCCTATAGATTAATGCCGTAGCTCCCAAGCATGGCTGCAGCCTGCAAGGTAGGGAAAAGGCCCAGTCCAGAGTCCACCCGGGAAACTCAACCAATTTGTTTTGTTCACCGATGCCCTGACTGTGATTTCTTTTGGATAAAGGATTTCTTGAATGCTTTCAAAAATGACGTCCAAGCGCTACATTTGACATAAGAGAAGGTTCACAATATAATGTTAAATGAAATATAAAAGGCAATTTACAAAAATATTTAATACGATTACACTTTTTCTTCCAAAAATGCCCGTGTATGTGTGTGTTGGGCATGCTTTTGTGTTACCGGTGGAGGGTGTCCACGTTCTTGGCGTTTTGAACAAAGAATTGGACAAAACGCACAAAGCAAGGAAAGAATGAAGCAACAAAAGCAGAGATTTACTGAAAACAAAAGTACATTCCACAAGGCTGGAGCAGGCCTAGTACAGGGGCTCAAGAGCCCCAGAATTTTCTGGAATTTAAATACCCTCTAGGGGTTTCCCATTGGTTACATGGTGTACACCCTATGTAAATGAAATAGCGGCCTGCAATCAGTCTGTTTGGTTGTGGAAAGCAACCAATCAGAGGATGAAGTGTAGTTACAAAGTTACACTCACTCCTATGCAAACGTCTGATTGGCTACAGAAAGCAACCAATCAGGCTGGGCGTGGTGGTTCACGCCTGGAACCCCGGCACTTTGGGAGGCCAAGGCGGGTGGATCACCTGAGGTCAGGAGTTTGAGACCAGTCTGGCCAACATGAGGAATTATCTCTACTAAAAATAAAAAATTTAGCTGGGCGTGGTGGCACGTGCCTGTAATTCCAGCTACTTGAGAGGCTGAGGCACAAAAATCGCCTGAACCTGGGAGGCAGAGATTGCAGTGAGCCAAGATCGTGCCACTGCACTCCAGCCTGGGCCACAGAGGTAGACAACTTCCCCACCCCCCTAAAAAAAAAAAAAAAAAAAAAAGAAAGAAAGAAAAGAAGGCAACCAATCAGAAATGCTTTCAATTTTCCATCTGCCGCACAGAAAGGTGGGGTGGGGGTGGGGTGGATTTGCAAAGGGAGTAGTTTACAATCCTTTTGTTATTTACCTGTGGAAAGTTGGGATGTTCCTTTTGACTTAGTTTTTTTTTTTTTTTTTTTTGAGACGGACTTCACTCTTATTGCCCAGGCTGGAGTGCAATGGCACGATCTCGGCTCACCGCAACCTCCGCCTCCCGGGTTCAAGCGCTTCTCCTGCCTCAGCCTCCTGAGTAGCTGGGATTACAGGTATGCGCCACCATGCCCGGCTAATTTTGTATTTTTAGTAGAGACAGGGTTTCTCCATATTGGTCAGGCTGGTCTCAAACTCCCGACCTCAGGTGATCTGCCTGCCTCGGCCTCCCAAAGTGCTGGGATTACAGGCGTGAGCCACCGCGCCCGGCCATTGACTTAGTTCTAGAAAGCCAGCTTGAATCGGCCTTAGGTTCCCTGCCTCCGGACCCTATTCTCCTGCCTCATATGCATAGAAAAGACTCGGGAGGCTTACACCAAAATGGCGGCTATATCTTTTTTTTTTTTTTTTTTTGAGACGGAGTTTCGCTCTTGTTGCCCAGGTTGGAGTGCAATGGCGTGATCTCGGCTCTCCGCAACCTCCGCCTCCCGGGTTCAAGCGATTCTCCTGCCTCAGCCTCCCAAGTAGCTGAGATTACAGGCATGTGCCACCACACCGGGCCAATTTTGTATTTTTAGTAGAGACGGGGTTTCTCCATGTTGGTCAGGCTGGTCTCGAACTCCCGACCTCAGGTGATCCGCCCGCCTTGGCCTCCCAAAGTGCTGGGAGTACAGACGTGAGCCACCCGCACTTGGCCATCTTTTTTTTATATATTTTTTTAACTATTTGTGGTTATGTTTTTGGGAATTTCTGTGCTTAACATAGTAGGAAAAATAAGAAAAATCGGTAATAATTTACATTTCCTTTCCTCAGACCTGGAAGCAGGCATTTCTTCAAGGAATCTTGATTCCTTTTGATGGGAAAAGCTATTTACTCTTCAAGAATTGTCAGCCTGGCGTGGTGGCTCACGCCTGTAATCCCAGCACTTTGGGATGCCAAGGCAGGAGGATCACCTGATGTCAGGAGTTCAAGACCAGCCTGAACAACATGGTGAAACCCCGTCTCTACTAAGAATACAAAATTAGCCAAGCGTGGTGGTGGTGCATGCCTGTAATCCCAACTACTTGGGAGGCTGAGGCAGGAGAATTGCTTGACCCCAGGAGGCAGAGGTTGCAGTGAGCCAAGATGGGGCCATTGCACTCCAGCCTGAGCAACAAGAGTGAAACTCTGTCTCAAAAAAAAAAAAAAAAAGAATTGTCCTGCAGACTGGGGGCAGTGGCTCACACCAATCCCAGCACTTTGGAAGGCCAAGGAGGGAGGATCCTTTGAGCCCAGGAGTTCAAGACCAGCCTGGGCAACATAGTAACACCAAGTCTCTACCAATAAAATGAAATAAATAAATAAAAATTAGCCAGGCATGGTGGTGCATGCCTCTAGTCCCAGCTATTTGGGAGGCTGAGGTGGGAGGATCACTTTGCTACCCGGGAAGAGTGTCCAGGTTCTTGGCGTCTTGAGCAAAGAATTAGACAAAACGCACAAAGCAAGGAAGGAATGAAGGGATTTATTGAAAATGAAAGTACACTCCACAGGGTTTGAGCAGGCCCAAGCATAGCTCAAAGGCCCTGTTTCAGAATTTTTGGGAGTTTAAAAATAACCTCTACTTGAGGTATGCCCTATGTAAATGAAGAGGATAAAGTAAAGTTACAATCATTTACTTGGCCTACGCCCTATGGAGAGGCTATTTCCTGTCATAGCTGAAGTGTGAATCGGCCTTATATTCCCTACCTCCAGATCCTATTTTCCTGCCTCAACTTGAGCCCTGGAGGTAGAGGCTGCAGTGAGCTATGATCACACCACTGCACTCCAGCCTTGGTGACAGAGCAAGACTTGTCTCACAAATTAATAATTAAATAAAAAGTAAATAAAATATGACATTGATCAAAACTTCATTAGTAGTATTAGAAGACAAAGTTGAGATCATCTACAAAGTACAGATGTTTCCTGACTTATGATGGCGTTATGTTCCAATAAACCCATCAGAAGTTGAAAATATCATAAGTGGAAAATGCATTTAATACACTTAACCTGGCCGGGCGTGGTGGCTCATGCCTGTAACCCCAGCACTTTGAGAGGCCAAGGCGGGTGGATCACCTGAGGTCAGGAGTTCGAGACCAGCCTGGCCAACATGGTGAAACCCCTTCTCTACTAAAAATACAAAATTAGCCAGGTGTAGTGGCACATGCCTGTAGTCTCAGCTACTCGGGAGGCTGAGATAGAAGAATTGCTTGAACCTGGGAGGTGGAGGCCACAGTGAGCCAAGATGGTGACACTGCACTCCAGCTTGGGCAAGACAGAGCAAGACTCCATCTCGGAAAAAAAAAAAATACACTTAACCTACCAAACATCATAACTTAGCCTAGCCTACCTTAATGTAAGCTCATAATACTTTGTTTTTTTGAGACGGAGTCTTGCTCTATTGCCCGGGCTGGAGTGCAGTGAGACGATCTCGGCTCACTGCAACCTCTGCCTCCCAGGTTCAAGTGATTCGCGTGCCTCAGCCTCCCAAGTAGCTGGGATTACAGGCGCCAGCCACCACGCCCGGCTAATTTTTGTATTTTAGTAGAGATGGGGTTTCACCATGTTAGCCAGGTGTGTCTCGAACTCCTGACCTCAGGTGATCTGCCCACCTCGGCCTCCCAAAGTACTGGGATTACAGGCGTAAGCCACTACTCCTGGCCAAGCTCATAATACTTATATTAGCCTACAGTTGGTCAAAATCATCAAACACAAAGCTGTTTTATAATAAAGTGTT
Source organism: Homo sapiens (assembly GCF_000001405.40). Lineage (NCBI taxonomy): Eukaryota > Metazoa > Chordata > Mammalia > Primates > Hominidae > Homo > Homo sapiens. Next base: position 16,775,986 of record NC_000023.11, read on the forward strand.
GAATATCTCATGTGCTTTATTGAATACTTGTACTGAAAGTGAAAAACAGAATGGTTGTATGGGTACTCAAAGTCAAATTCATACAACTTTGGCACCATCGCAACATCAAAAATTGTAACCCTGGAACTGTCTGTAGCAAAACAGGATATAGGAAAATAGAAGAGAAAAGATAAGAAACATGGAGCAGGGCACCGTGGCTCCCACTGAGGTGGGAGGATCACTTGAGTCCAGGAGTTTGAGACCAGCCTGGGCAACAGAGCAAGACCCTATCTCAATTTTAAAAAAAGAAAAAAGAAACATAAAAAAGAAATTATTAATAGGATACTATACAACTAGGTTGTGAATAATATCTACATGAAAATAATGTAAAAAAAATTAAGATATTAAATTAACAAAATGAAAACAACCATTTAGAGAGGATGATGTGATGATGGGAGGAAGTGAGCATCTGTGTGTGTGTGTGTGTGTGTGTGTGTGTGTGTGTGTGTGACTGTGAGTGAAAAAGCATAGACCCTCTTCCCTAGAAGCAAATCTATATATATCTTTCTGTGATTTCAGAATCAGCTTGATGGCAAGTGACAGAAAAATCCAGAATTACAGTGGTTTAAACTGGATGCTGATTTCTTTCTTTTTCTTTTTTCTTTCTTTTTTCTTTTTTTTTTTTTTTTTTGAGTCTCACTCTGTCGCCCAGGATAGAGTGCAGTGGCACAATCTCAGCTCACTGCAACCTCTGCCTCCTGGGTTCAAGGGATTCTACTGCCTCAGCCTCCCGAGTAGCTGAGATTACAGGCTTCCACCACTATGCCTGGCTAATTTTTTGTATTTTTAGTAGAGACGGGGTTTCACCAGGTTGGCCAGGATGGTTCCCCTTTCTTTTCTCTTCTCTTTTCTTCTCTTCTCTTCTCTTTTTTCTTTTTCTTGAGACGGATTCTTGCTCTGTCGGTGGTGCGATCTCAGTTCACTGCAACCTCCACCTCCCAGGTTCAAGCAATTCCCCTGCCTCAGCCTCCCAAGTAGCTGGGATTACAGGCACGCGCCCCTACATCCAGTTAATTTTTTTTTTTTTTAAGATGGAGTTTCACTCTTATTGCCCAGGTTGGAGTGCAATGGTGCGATCTCAGCTGACCGCAATCTCCGCCTCCCGGGTTCAAGCAATTCTCCTGCCTCAGCGGCCCAAGTAGCTGGGATTACAGGCATGCGCCACCACGACTGGCTAATTTTGTATTTTTTAGTAGAAACGGGGTTTCTCCATGTTGGTCAGCCTGGTCGTGAACTCCCAACCTCAAGTGATCTGCCCACCTTGGCCTCCCAAAGTGCTGGGATTACAGGCATGAACCACCGTGCCTGGCCTAATTTTTGTGTTTTCTTTTTAGTAGAGATGAGATTTCACCATGTTGGCCAGGCTGGTCTCGAACTACTGACCTCAGGTGATCCACCTGCCTTGGCCTCCCAAAGTGCTGGGATTACAGGCGTGAACCACCGAGCCCAGCCCTTTTCTTTTCTCTCTTTTTTTTTTTTTTTTTTTGAGACAAGGTCTTACTCTGTCGCCCAATTTGACGCTGTAGTGGGCTAGGATGAAAACCACTATACTCCAGCCAGGGTAACACAGAGAAAGAGATTCTGTTTCTTAAAACAAAATGAAACAAAAAAAAAAACTTGAAAAAATTGTTCGGCTGGGCGCAGTGGCTCACACCTGTGATCCCAGCACTTTGGGATCACAAAATACAAAAATTAGCTGGGCGTGGTGGCTTGCACCTGTAATCCCAGCTACTCAGGAGGCTGAGGCAGGAGAATCACTTGAACCCGGGAGGCGGAGGTTGCATTGAGCCGAGAGCGTGCCAACTGCACTCTAGCCTGGGTGACAGAGCAAGACTCCGCCTCAAAAAAAAAAATTGTTTTAATTGTTTTGAGACAGGGTCTCAGTTTGTCAAAACAAAAAATTGTTTTAATTGTTTTGAGACAGGGTCTCACTTTGCATTCTAGCCTAGGTGACAGAGCGAGACTCTGTCTCAAAAAAAAAAATTGTTTTGTTTTGAGACAGGGTCTCACTCTGTCACCCAGGCTGGAATGCACTGGCATGATCACAGCTCACTGCAGCCTCAACCTCCTAGGCTCAAACGATCCTCCTGCCTCAGCCTCCCAAGTAGCTGTGACTACAGGTGTGCACCACCACACTTGGCTAAGGCTAATTTTTTATTTTTTGTAGAGATGGGGTCTCCCTATGTTGCCCAGGCTGGTCTTGAACTCCTGGCCTCAAGCAATCCCCCTGCCTCGAACTCCCAAAGTGCTGGGATTACAGACATGTGCTACCACTCCTGGCCCCGAGATTTTCAATAAAGCCTAAACCTATTTGTAGTTTGTATTTTTCTTTTCCATTGTCTCTATACATGAACATTGTTTCCATGTCCTTGAAGTCTATAATTATAGGCGAGACTTGGGGAAGTATATCAAAACAAAATGAATGAATCCCAATACTCTGAAATATGCAATATACGTATTCGAATTTTTGAAACGCACATACTCTCTCCCAATAGTCCATACATGAGAAGAGTTTTTATTTTAAAAATCCTCTTTCTGCTAGAGCTGGCACCCTGGTGTGTGCCAATCTAATAGTACACTCCATAGCCTGCCATCAGTATGCCTGAGTGATCTGTGTATAAAGTATAATCATTTTCTAAATCTTTCAGTGTCTGCCAGAAATGTGGACATCTATAGCAAATGCAGAAACTGGCCAAATTCCTACAAGGACTAAAATCAGGGTTAGCTCAGAAAGATGGTATTGTGTAATCATATTAAACAATAAGCTTTTTGTTCTATGAAGAGGCAAACACTCTTTTTCACTACCTACAACCCCAATAGTATGCAACAAACATGAAATTCAACTCTTTTGATGAAACAATACTCTTGGCTGATTTAAAAGTTAGTAGGAGCTTTTCTTTCTGTGAAAGTACTCTGAGGTGGACAAGTCAGACTAGTGTGGCTAATTTAACTTCTGTTGACCCTTTAGACACAGCTCAGATGTCACCTTAAACCATCCTTAAACCTCCCCACCACCAGTAGAAAATAACCCTCAAGAGGTTACCCTGCAATACCTCCATTTTATAAATTACTTTATTGTTTGTTGTACATGTGAGTGTTCAGTGTTGGCCTGGGTACCCCTTATTCTAAATCAAGGTATGCCTGGTGACTAATACAGTGCTCCTGTTTAACTGATGAATGAAAACTTTCTATTGCCACCAAGTTTATCCTGGAATGACCTTGGTCCCTTGGCTGCTGGAGGGTCTACACAGTGTTGCAGAGGGACACTGCTGTCAGAAAACTCTCCAAGATGTCACAAGAAGGGATAGGATATCACCTTGGGGAATTGAAGGTTTGGTCCTCATCTGAACAGATTCAGAAAACAGATTTCTTAATGCAGTTACCTATTCAGGGGATCTTTTTCTCAATAAGTATGTGTGGAGAGCTTTCTCTGTGCCTGGGTTTTTTTGTTTTGTTTTTTTTTTGGTGGAGTCTTGCTCTGTCGCCCAGGCTGGAGTGCAGTGGTGCGATCTCGGCTCACTGCAACCTCCACCTTCAGGGTTCAAGCAATTCTCTTGCTTCAGCCTCCGTAGTAGCTGGGATTACAGGCGCCCACCACTATGCCTGGCTAATTTTTGTATTTTTGATAGAGGCGGGTGTCAACATGCTGGCCAGGCTGGTCTTGAACTCCTTACCTCAAGCGATCTGTCTGCCTCGGCCTCCCAAATTGCTGGGATTACAGGCGTGAACCACCGTGTGCAGACTGTGCCTGGCATTCTGCTGGGCACTGGGAATATAGGAGTCTTATGGGCACAGTCCTTGCCCTCACTTTGTTTACCATCTGGCTGGGGGAAAGAGTCAATTAGACAAACCACTGCCTTGAAGAGTGGGGACTGGCCTGGTATGGGAAGTACAGTATGCTAGGGGTACATAACACAGGCAACTAAGATATCCTGGGACCAGTGGGGCTTCCTGGAGGGATCACCCAGAGTACACTCTCTGTCAGGGAATAGGTACACATTAACCAGAGCTGCTATATAAAGTCGAATATGCCTGTAATCACAGCACTTTGGGAGGCCGAGGTGGGTGGATTGCTTGAGCTCAGGAGTTTGAGACCAGCCTAGGCAACATGGTGAAACCCCATCTCTACCAAAAATACAAAAAATTAGCCAGGCATGGTGGTGCACTCCTGTAGTCCCAGCTACTTGGGAAGCTGAGATGAGAGGATCGCTTGAGCCTGGGAGGTGGAGGTTGCAGTGAGCCAAGGTCGTGTCACTGTACTCCAGCCTGGTCAACAGAGTGAGACCCCGTCTCAAAAATAATAATGGCCAGGTGTGGTGGCTCATGCCTGTAAATCAGCACTTTGGGAGGCTGAGGTGGATGGATTACCTAATGTTATGAATTCGAGACCAGCCTGCCCAACATGGTGAAACCCCATCTCTACTAAAAATACAAAAATTGGCTAGGTGTGGTGGTGGGTGCCTGTAATTCCAGCTACTTGGGAGGCTGAGACAGGAGAATCGCTTGAACCCGGGAGACGGAGATTGGAGCGAGCCGAGATTGTGCCATTGCACTGTAGCCTGGGCAACGAGAGTGAAACTCTGTCTCAAAAAATAAATAAATAAGTAAATAAAATAATAATAAAGTCAAAATGTCCCTTTGTTAACAATGAGCAAATGTAAGTGTCTCATGGAGTTAAAAGGTACACATCTACATTCTCTCCCTGTGGTCAGACCACAGACCTGCTTCCAATTGTAGGAAGCACAATTACAATGGGAAGGTGGTTAGGTAAGAAATCAAATCAATTCCCATTGATCAAAGGTGTTAGGATAACTGGAGCCTCCATCCCCACGTAAAGGATAGCCTTACAAATAGGATGATCATTTTTGAAGTCCTCTTTTTGACCAAGATTCTTTGTCTTCCAAAAATTGCTTAGATGGGCTTTGGCAGCCTGGCCTTCCTTACTCTCTCCCTAAGTTTCTAGGTTTCCTCTCTTCTCATAGCCACATTGCTTCTTTTTTTTTTTTTTTCCCGAGACGGAGTTTTGCTCTGTCACCCAGGGTGGAGTGCAGTGGCCCGATCTCGGCTCACTGCAGCCTCCGCCTCCGGGGTTCAAGCAATTCTTTTGCCTCAGCGTCCCAAGTAGCTGGGATTAGTAGCCACCACGCCCAGCTAATTTTGTATTTTTAGTAGAGACAGAGTTTCTCCATGTTGGTCGGGCTGGTCTCGAACTCCCGACCTCAGGTGATCCACCCGCCTCGGCCTCCCAAAGTGCTAGGATTACAGGCATGAGCTACCGTGCCCAGCCCCACATTGCTTCTTTAGCTATGTTAATATCTGTGATCATATTATAGGGTATGATGAGGCCTGTAATTTACTGTCAGCAAAGATAGAGAAGGAAGAGGTGGAGGAGGAGTGTGTTGTGTTTAGAGCTGGAAATGACCCCACTTAGGACTTTATACACCAGGGGTGGTCAGGAGTCCATATTTCCTATTCTAGCCACTACAGATGCTTCTGTTAGCCATAGCTCAACCAATAACAGAGGCTTTCTTAAGTAGCAAAATGAAGGTTAGAAATGGGTTTTCTTGCCAGGCGCAGTGGCTCATGCCTGTAATCCCAGCACTTTGGAAGTTGAGGCGGGCGGATCACCTGAGGTCAGGAGTTCGAGACCAGCCTGACCAAGGTGGAGAAACCTCGTCTTTACTAAAAATACAAAATTAGCTGGGCGTGGTGGCACATGCCTGTGATTCCAGCTACTTGGGAGGCTGAGGCAAGAGAATGGCTTGAACCCAGAAGGCTGAGATTGCAGTGAGCCGAGATCGCGCCATTGCACTCCAGCCTGGGCAACAAGAGCGAAACTCTGTCTAAAAAAAAGAAGAAAGAAACGAGTTTTCTTTTTTCTTTTTTTAGACAGGGTCTCGCTCTTGTTGCCCAGGCTGGAGTGCAGTGGCACAATCTTGGCTCCCTGCAACCTCCACCTCCCAGGCTCAGGTGATCCTCCTGCCTCAGCCTCCCAAATAACTGGGACTACAGGTGTGCACCACCACACCCAGCTAATTTTTTGGTATTTTTTGCAGAGATGGGGTTTTGCCATATTGCCCAGGTTGGTCTTGAACTCCTGGAGTCAAGCGATACACCCACCTTAGTCTTCCAAAGTGGTGGGGTTACAGGTGTGAGCCACCGTGCCTGGCCAGAAATGGGTTTTCGTAGGTGAAATTAGTAGCTTATTAGCTTTAGCTAGTATAACAGGCATTAGAGGCTGGGCATGGTGGCTCACACCTGTAATCCCAACACTTTACAAGGCCAAAGCGGGAGGATCTCTTGAGCCTACGAGTTTGAGACCAGCCTGGGCAACATAGGGAGACACCCTCCTACCATTTCTACAAATATATATATATATATATATATATATATATATATATATATATTTAATTAGCCAGGTGTAGTGGTACACACCTGTGGTCCCAGCTACTTGGGAGGCTGAGGCAGGAGGAACACCTGAGCCCAGCAGGTGGCGGCTGCAGTGAGCCGTGATGGCACCACTGAAATCCAGCCTGGGTGACAGAGTGAGACCCTGTCACCAAAAATAAATAATAAAAATAAAAATAACAGCATTAGAATGGGCTCACATTAGTGAAATCAGGGATATTCAAGATATATGCATTGTTTAAAATATGTGAGACTCTACTCACTTTTGCGTTAAAAGAGTATAAGAATCTTTCTTAAAAAAAAAATCTTTGTCATACAGACAATTAATAAGAAAAAAAAAAAGAATCTAGCAAGTCCGAAGCTTGTTTCCTTCAGGATAATACTCTAGGCTAAACCTCTAAACCGTCCTGTGTCCAGCTATAAACTCTGAGGGTTGCAGTTTCCTGATATCGGCTATAAGGCCAACAGAATCCTGCCTCTGTAATAGTGGTGAGTCCACCTTGAGAGCTCTACATTTCATCACAACGGTGGTCAGAGCATCTCAAAGGTCAAAGAGTTGGGACCTCATTGAGCTTACTGTTCACATGAATTGTTTGATGCCTGCTTGCTCAAGACTTTAATAAACATCTGAATAAATGGAGCCATATTCAGGTTATATTCACATTCCTTAGGGAGCCTGGAGAGAACACCCCGTACCCAATGAGGAGCTATTGTTCTGGTGGCCTTTACCCTTCTAGCAGGCACAGTGTTTGTTTTTTTTTTTTTTTTGAGATAGAGTTTCCCTCTGTCACCCAGGCTGGAGTGCAGTGGCATGAACTCGGCTCACTGCAACCTCTGCCTCCTGGGTTCAAACGATTTTCCTGCCTCAGCCTCCCCGAGTAGCTGGGACTACAGGCACACGCCACCATGCCCAGCTGATTTTTTTTTTTTTTTTTTGTATTTTTAGAAGAGACGAGGTTTCACCATGTTGGTCAGGCTGGTTTCAAACCCCTGACCTCAGGTGATCCGCCCTCCTCTGCCTCCCAAAGTACTGGGATTACAGGCGTGAGCCACAGCGCCCGGCTTTTTTATTTGATAACTTTATTTATTTAGAGACGAGGTCTCGCTTTGTCGCCTACGCTGGTTTCAAACTCCGGGGCTCAGGCGATGCTCTTGCCTCAGCCTCCTAAACTGCTGAGATTACAGGTGTGAGCCACGCCTGCAGGCACAGTTAAAAGACAATAGTCCTGGCGCAAAGGTGAGATCAATGTAAACAGAACATTGGATGACCCTTAAAGTCTTGGACATAAAGAAAGGATAGGCCAGGCATTGCGGCTCAAGCCCGTAATCCCAGCACTTTGGGAGGACGAGTTGGGCAGAGGACGAGTCGGGCAGAGCACTTGTGGCCAGGAGTTTGAGAGCAGCCTGGCCAACATGGCGAAACCCCATCTCTACTAAAAATGCAAAAATTAGCCGGGTGTGGTGGTGCACGCCAGTAATCCCAGCTACTAGGGAGGCTGAGACACGAGAATTCCTTGAACCTGGGAGGTGCAGATTGCAGTGGGCTGAGATCATGCCACTGCACTCCAGCCTGGGCGACAGAGCAAGACTCTGCATTAAAAAAAAAAAAAAAAAGAGGCCAGGCACGGTGGCTCAGGCCTGTAATCCCAGCACTTTGGGAGGCCGAGGTGGACGGATCACAAGGTCAAGAGATGAAGACCATTCTGGCGAACGTGGTGAAACCCCCTCTCTACTAAAAATAGAAAAATTAGCTGGGCGTGGTGGGGCGCGCCTGTAATCCCAGCTACTTGGGAGGCTGAGGCAGGAGAATCACTTGAACCCGGGAGGCAGAGGTTGCAGTGAGCCGAGATTGGCCACTGCACTCCAGCTTGGGCAACAAGAGCAAAACTCTGTCTCAAAAAAAAAAAAAAAAAAAAAGATATGCATTTAATTCAATTAAATATTTTTCATTTCTCTGAAGGCTTGGGGTTAATGGCATAGTTCTTTTCTTTTCTTTTTATTTTTTGAGACGGAGTCTCGCTCTTGTTGCCCAGGCTAGAGTGCAATGGCGTGATCCCGGCTTACTGCAACCTCCGCCTCCCGGGTTCAAGCGATTCTCCTGCCTCAGCCTCCCTAGTAGCTGGGATTGCAGGCACGTGTCACCACGCCTGGCTAATTCTATTTTTAGCACAGACCGGGTTTCACCACGTTGGTCAGGCTGGTCTTGAACTTCTGACCTCAGGTGATCCGCCCGCCTCGGCCTCCCAAAGTGCCGGGGTTACAGGCGTGAGCCACCGTGGCCGGCCTCTTTCCTTAATAAAGATAACTTTATTGATTTTTTTCATTCCATACATACTTAAACAATATAGAAAATCATGAAATTTGAAACCAGCCTGGGCAACATAATGCCCCATCTCTAAAAAAAAATTTTTTTTTGAGGAATAACTTACTTTTGTGTGTGTGTGTGTGATGGAGTTTCTCCTCACCCAGGCTGGAGTGTTCAATGGCACGATCTTGGCTCACTGCAACCTCTGCTGCCCGGGTTCAAGCGATTCTCCTGTCTCAGATCCCAAATAGCTGGAATTACAGAAGCCCACCACCGGCTGGGGGCGGTTGCTCACACCTGTAATCCCAGCACTTTGGGAGGCCGAGGAGGGCAGATCAGGGGGTCAGAAGTTCAAGACCAGCCTGGCCAACATGGTGAAACCCCTCTCTCTACTAAAAATACAAAAATTAGCCCAGCGTGGTGGCACGTGCCTGCAATCCCAGCTACTCGGGAGGCTGAGGCAGGAGAATTGCTTGAACCTGGGAGGCGGAGGTTGCAGTGAGCTGAGATCGTGCCACTGCACTCCAGCTTTGGGTGACAGCAAGACTCCGTCTTGGGAAAACAAAAACAAAGAAAAAAGAAAAGCCCACCACCACCACCATGCCCGGCTAATTTTTGTATTTTTAGTAGAGACGGAGTTTCACTGTGTTGGCCAGGCTGGTCTGGAACTCCTGACCTTGTGATCCACCCGCCTCGGTCCCCCAAGGTGTTGGCATTACAGGCGTGAGCCACCGCGCCCGGCCTCATAATGAATTATTTAAGACAATATATCAGGATTTCATGATGGTCTGTGCCTTTCAGAAGCTCGGCCATTGGAGATCTGGTTCCATCAGATGGAAATAGGGAATATTCCTGAGGAAATCTCCCCTCTCCCCCCCAACATCATATCAATAAAAAAAAAAATTCGGTTCAGCAAACCGAGTTTGTTGAAAAAATTTAGGTAATGAAACGAGTAAATGGGGTGGGAGAAAGCAGGATACATTCAACATGAATGAAGTGCCAAGTAAGTGTGCAGAAGCCGGGGCGGTTCAACCAAGGTGAATAGAATGCGGCACCTATCCCGCGGGAGCTCGGGACAAGTAAACCGTGGTAACAACTCTGGTGGAGGGGCAGGGCTCGGGGCAGGTGCCCGAGCACGAAACTTCAAATTCTAAGAGCCAATACACCTTCCGTCTTGAAAGTCGTGAAGTATTTTCCCTTATCCCCAAATCATTCGCGCCCAATTCCTAAGAACGGCAACAAAAACAAAAACACAAGAATGTGTCGCCGATCGTGCTCCTTCTCAAACACGGGGATATTTCTAAACTTTCCGCGAAAGATCATAACGAGTACCTTCCTATAGCCAGACATCGCCCCCAGAAACCGCAAGTCCCACTAGGATGCACACGAAGCACACTGGGTGCAGCACTCTCCCCTTTTCAGAACGCCGCCTTATGTCCCAATCCCGATCCGAGCCTGCGAGCTGTGGCCGCACGCCCTGCTGGGACTTGTAGTCCACTCCCGAGTCCCATTCCCGATCCGCGCAGACTCACACGGCCTCTATCTGCCCTTCGGTCTTGCTGAAGCCCAGCCCAGTATTCAATGCTCCCCATCCCCATCTCGCTCCGTCCCCTCGGGGGCCAACCTCCTCCGGTCACGTGGGAAGTCTCACATGCGGCGATTGGTCGTGGGGGCTCGGGGGCGGGGCGAAAGGCCCTGCGAGATTCTGTGCCCCTTGTCGGGCCGCTTGTTTGGCTGCTGCCGTCACCTCATGGCGACGCGGGTAGAGGAGGCAGCGCGGGGAAGAGGCGGCGGCGCCGAAGAGGCGACTGAGGCCGGACGGGGCGGACGGCGACGCAGCCCGCGGCAGAAGGTCAGTCAGGGGGACGCCCTCGTTGTTGTCGGGCCCGGGGGATGTTTGGGCTCCCTTTTTCAGGGTCCACCTCTTCTCTCTCCCTGGTTACCTATAGCCACGGGACGAACATCCGGTCTTCTTCCCTCCCGGGGGTGACGACAGTGGGAGCAGGTGGGGGGGGGTGGGACCGCGATGGATGGGGTGGGAAGGGACGACGGTTGGGGTTTGGCGGCGCGCGGCGGGGAAGCCGGGAGGGAGGGCAGGGGGCGCACGCGGTTCTAAGGGAGAAGGGGTGCGAGGCGGGGGTGCGCCAGGTGTGACAGCCACGTGCGGCCAGCACCGCGGGGATCCGGGCGCCAGGCGTTCCTTCTCCCAGTCACCGCCGTCACCGTGCTCCCGGCGCTGAGCGCCGCCGTCCGGGGGCTCGCTGGGGTCGTGGGCTCGCCCTCCTGGCGTCGGGCAGGTGCGCAGGGCGCGCTGCGGGGTGCCCCCGGGCTGCTCAGGCTAGGCTGTTGCGCAGTAAGATAACCGCGCGGGAGCCGGGGTGTGCTTGGCCCCCCTTCCCCCGCCCCCCTGCGCTCCCCGCCACTGCGCGGGCGGGCAGGCGAGCGGGTGAGTGTCGCAGGGCCGGTGCGAGCGGGACGCTCGGCCCCCGGGACCTAGACCCCGGGGCTCCGAGGGCTTGGCTGCACGTGGGGCCGGGGATGGATGGGGAGGCGATGCTGGAGGACCTCGGTCCTGCAGAGTTGGGATATCGCATGATAGCTGGTCCTCCCAGTCCTATTTACCACCCTCCTCTTTTTTCCCCTCTTTTTTTTCTTTCATTTATTATTTTTTTAATTTGATGAGTGGAAACTTGAATGCCTTCCCGACCCTGGCCTTGGGTCTTTCTTAATCTGGGAAACAGGCCGGACTGTTCCCCTTGCCTTACTTGACTCACGTCAAGGAGTTTTCAGTCCCTCCCTAGATACAGGAAAATTGAGACCTCTTTCAGAACGGGACAATTCCACTTGTTCTGGAGCTCAGTGGGTGGAGTTTGAAAAAGATTGCACAACGAACGGGGTACAGGGTTTTCGGGGCCCTGGAATGGATAATTGCGGGGACTGAGACTGGGAAGGTGGGAACCCCATCTCTTTTTTTCCTTGCAGGTGAACATACTGAAACGTTCGACTTGTTGGATATCTTGCTTGATCACCGAGGGCTATTTAATATTACTTAATTATGTATTTGAACACTCTTAACTCCTGTATGAAATTACGAAATAATATTTTTCTAATGCAATTCATAAACTTCAAATGGGAGAACAAAGGTCCAGTTTACGTCTGAGCAGAGTGTTAAGAATTAGCTTTTTGGGGCCTGTTTCTAAGGTCAGGTATTTTCATGTTTCTGCATGACAGTGTTACTACTTCTCAATTACCTCTCTTTCTTTCTCTCCCTCTCTTTGTATTCTAAAAGAAAGATCCAGTGCTTGCAGGACTGAAAAAGAAGCTGTGGACCAATGTCCTGTAAGGGATTCAACACCATCACTTTGGACACTTCACTTATTCCCTAAGGGTGGAGTGCCAATCTCAGTGTTTGATTTCGTAGGTTCCCCAGGGGAGGAGGACTCTGATAAAAAGCCACTGCAATTGAGGATATAAGTTCCCTTTTATGACACTGGGATAAGGACAAAAAGTCGTTGAATTAGGAACTGAGGTTTAATCAACTAGCATTTAAAATAACCAAGATAGGAGGTAATGACCCTTTGAGGTGCAGAGCTCTGGTTAACAGCTGGATAGGAATAGTCATGTGTGTGTCTACTCATTTTTGTTTATGTACCTCATACTCCATTCTTCTTTGCTTATGCTCTTCTGAGCATCTTTTTCTTTTTGATTTCTAACTGACAGTGACGGCATTCAAATACATGGTAAAATATTAATCTTTGAATTTTCATTTAACAAATTGGGTGAATTATCTTGTGTTTGCAAGAATCATTTTTAAGCCAGCTATGGTGGCATGCACCTGTAGTACCACCTAGTCAGGAGACTGAAGCAGGAGGCTAGCCTGGGCCGCAGAGTGAGACCCTGTCTCTTAAAAAAACAAACAAACTTGTTGTGTTTTTTTTTTTTTTTTTTGAGTCAGAGTCTTGCTCTGTTACCCAGGCTGCAGTGCAGTGATGCAATCTTGGCTCACTGCATCTTCCACCTCGTGGGTTCCAGCGATTCTCGTGCCTCAGCCTCCTGAGTAGCTGGGATTACAGATGTGTGCTACCACGCCCAGCTAATTTTTATATTTTTAGTAGAAACAGGGTTTCACCATGTTGGCCAGGCTGGTCTTGAACTCCTGGCCTCAGGTAAGCCACCCACCTTGGCCTTCCAAAGTGGCGGGATTACAGGCATGAGCCACTGCAACTGGCCAAAAATTTTTTTAAAAATCATTTTTACATTACTTCATTGTGTCCCTTAATTTTAAAATTTCTTTTGGGTCACTGACTTGAAAAAATATTTCTTAATTCCAGCTTAACTTCTATCCTTTTTTTCAGGAAGCAGAAATGTTTAATGAATTGAGTTTTTTGAAAATATTGAAAGAATTAAAAGAAAAGTGAGTGTTTTGTCATTATCTAGTTACATTATGGGACCTGAAGTGAGGAACAATTGGAGATGGGCTTTTTTGGTTCCTGGTTGCTTTAACCATCTGCCTAGTCACTCGCGACCTGCTCAGTTAATTGTGGCATTGTTTCATAACTACAACCATTTGAATGGTCTCTTGAGGTAACCTTTTGCTTCTAAAGGTAATGTTACAGTACATTACTAGGGGTCTCTTCAGGAATTTTCTAAAACTGTGCTGATAGTAGCCACTAGTGACATGTAGCTAAATTTGTTAACTAAAATTAAAATTAAAAATTTTTTTCTTCAGTTATACTAACCAAGTTTCAGGTATTCAGTAGCCAGTGTGGCTAGTGGCTACTGTATTAGAGCAGATCTAGAATATTTTCATCATTGCATAAAAATTTTATCAGCATTGGTCTAAAAAGATGAGTACACAATATCTAGTATGTCAGGCATTTTTTAGAACATCAGGCTCATTCGTTTTACTTCCTAAATCCCTATGTAGAATTTGCTTTATAAGGTTGATTTAAAAAAAAATTAATAGACTTTTTTTGGGAATGGTTTTTAGTTTTACAGAAAAATTGAGTAGAAAGTACAGTTTCCATATACCCCCTCACACACACCCTTTCCCCCTATTATTATTATTATTTTTGAGATGGGGTTTCGCTCTTGTTGCCCAGGCTAGAGTGCAATGGCATGATCTTGGCTCACCACAACCTCCGCCTCCCGGGTTCAAGCAATTCTCCTGCCTCAGCCTCCCAAGTAGCTGGGATTACAGGCATGTGCCACCACGCCCGGCTAATTTTTTTTGTATTTTTAGTAGAGACGGGGTTTCTCCATGTTGGTCAGGCTAGTCTCAAACTCCTGACCTCAGGTGATCTGCCCGCCTCGGCCTCCCAAAGTGCTGAGGTTACAGGTGTGAGCCACTGCGCCCGACCCTTATCCCCTATTATTTACATCTTGCATTAGTGTGATACTTGTGTTAAAATTCATGAGCCAATATTGCTATATTATTATTGACTAAGTCCATAGTTTACGTTAGGGTTCACTCTGGTGCTATATATTCTATGCATTTTGACAAATGTGTAGTGACATGGATCCACGATTATAGTATCACACAGAAGAGTTTCACAGTCCTATAAATCCCTTGTGCTCTACCTATTCATCCCTCTCTCCCTTCCCCTAGACTACTGACAGCCACTGATTTTATTTTTTTTAAATTTTAGAGTTGGGGGTCCTGCTATGTTGCCCAGGCTGGTCTTGAACTCCTAGGCTCAGGCGATCGTTCTGCCTTGGCCTCCCAAAGTGCTGGAATTATAAGTATGAGCCACCACACCTGGCCTGATCTTTTTACTGTCTCCATAGTTTTGCCTTTTCCAGCTTGTCTAAGGTTGGTATTTTTTTTCTTTACTAGATTTTTGCTTGGGAATGTTAAAAATTATTTAACTACTATTAAACTAATTTTTAGGTCCATAAACCATGTGGAAGGATAATACAAGGTACCTAGGCCCAAATTAACAAAATCTTGCATTTACATAATGCCCTGTAGTTTTTATGGCACATTTGCACATACATTAACTCTTTCAGCACCAGTCAGATGCTGTGGAGAAGGCTGGGCAGCTTTCACTGCCCTCATTTGCTGATGACAAGCTGCTCAACGATGTTAACTCACTTGCCTAAGGGGTGAAGCTGAGTCTGGAACCCAATACTCTTTCATCTATACTACAGTAATGAGTAGTGTAGTACTGGGTAAATCTATGGATTTTGGAGTTGGGACTCCTGGCTTTCTGCCGCCCATAGCTCTGCAACCTTGGGCAAGTTTCTCAATCTTTCTAAGCTTCAGTTGCATCATCTGTAAAGAGGGGATAATGCTCATACCTACCACAGGGGATTACTGTGAAGAAGGAGTTGATGGGACACATTTGGCACAGTGTGGGATATGTAGAATTTTACATGGTTTGGAGGGGAGGACATATGGAAGAGATTAATTTCTCTTGCATTTAGGGTGCTAATTTTGTAAATCCATCTTCCAACCTTTATATTCTCTCCTCTTCCCAGAATCTCTCCGTGATAGACATAATGAGGAGAAATCAGGTCAGGGTTGGGCAAGAGTATGGGGGCAGGAAAAAGCCATTTCATTAATCTTGTTTTTCTCCCCATTTGCCAACTTGATGAACTTCCACTCTTCTGGTACAGAGATTAAGTAATGAGAAGTAAAGTAAAGTGATCTTCTGCTTACACCATTGTTTTCTAATTGTATCACCAAGCTTTGGTAAATTTATTTTTTTCTTTTACTGGGATCAAATAGGACAAGCAGTAATGAGAACAAACCAGATACAGCATATTCTGCTATTCATGCCACATTTTCATATCATATTATGTCATATTTATTATGTTATTGGAACGTGTTTTATTTATTTATTTTTAATTTATTTTGTTTTTTTGAGATGGAGTCTTGTTCTGTAGCCCAGGCAGGAGTGCAATGGCGCAATCTCAGCTCACTGCAACCTCCACTTTCCGGGTTCAAGTGATTCTCCTGCATCAGCCTCCCGAGTAGCTGAGATTACAGGCATGCGCCACCAGGCCTGGCTAATTTTTGTATTTTTAGTAGAGATGGGGTTTCACCATGTTGGCCAGGCTGGTCTTGAACTCCTGACCTCAAGTGATCCACCTGCCTTGGCCTCCCAAAGTGCTGGAATTACAGGCATGAGCCACCGCGCCCTGCCTGGAAGGTGTTTTATGTTATTTTGTGTGTTATTTATATTGGTCTTGCCTAGAGAAGTTTTGTTTAGGAAGGTATATATCAAATCCAAATGACATAAAACTGCTTTTGTGGGATTCTTCACAAGATTCACTATAATGGGCTTCTATTAAATAGATATGCTGTCACAGTTTTACACTTCTCAGAGTTATGTTTCAAAGGAAAGAAATTTGGAGACCTCAAATTTCATTTGTGTTTCATGCACTGTGTTAGTCACTTAAGGTGTGAATGCATTCTAATATCTCCTTAACTCTGCAAGGTAGGTGGTATCCCCAGGTATATAGATAAGGCATCTGAGTCTTAGTCAGAAACAAACTTGCTTGAATAATAGAGCCCACAGTTGGTGACGTTTGCTAGGGTTAGTGTATAGTTGTGTAATTGATAGTATGACAGATGTCTTCTAATGCCCAGGAAGTTTCTGCTTACCTCGTTAAGTTTTAACTTAATACCTCAAGAAATCTGTTTGCCTGTTCCTCCTCTTCCTGCTGCCCTCCCCCTAATTCCTCTTGTTTGGTTCTAATGTGATTATGAATAACTTTTAGTTAATATAACGGGTGTGTCAGTATTTATAAAGTATGGGCCAGGCATGGTGGCTCATGCTTGTAATCCCAGTGCTTTGGGAGGCCGAGACGGGAGGACTGCTTGAGGCCAGGATTTTGAGACCCGCTTGGGCAACACAGGGAGACCCCGTCTCTATGAAGAATAAAAAACTTAGCTAGGCACATTGGTATGTGCCTGTAGTTCCAGCTACTTGGGAGGCTGAGGTGGAAGGATCACTTGAGTCCAGGAGGTCAAGGTTGCAGTGAGCCACGATTGGGCCACTGCTCTAGCCTGGGCAAGAGAGTGAGATCCTGTCTCTAAAAAATAATAATAATAATAAAAATAAAAAGTATAGGCCAGGCACAGTGGCTCATGCCTGTAATCCCAGCACTTTGGAAGGCCGAGGCAGGTGGATCACCTGAGGTCAGGAGTTCAAGACCAGCCTGGTCAACATGGTAAAACCCCATCTCTACTAAAAATACAAAAATTAGCTGGGCATGGTGATGCATGCCTGTAATCCCAGCTACTCGGGAGGCTGAGGCAGGAGAATCACTTGAACTTGGGAGGCGGATGTTGCTGTGAGCCAAGATCGTGCCATTATACTCCAGCCTGGGTGACATAGAGGGAGACTCCGTGTCAAAAAAAAAAAAAAGTATACAATAATATACAAATTTAATATCATATTCATCAACATTGAGATGGGACATTTCTAGAAGAGGGTAGAAATAGGTAAGGTGACCTTTAAGATCCATTAAGACCCTGGGAGTACATTTTTATGTTTGAATCTACCTCCTAGTTGAAATTCTGTTGGCACTTATAAATACTTACATTTTATTACTTGAAGGAAAAGATACATAAAATAACTGGTGTTTTCCTCCTATGCTATCAAAATAATTGTATTAGCATTTATTGCTTAGGGTGTTGATTTGCATTCTGTGTTGCATTTCCAAAACGTCCCTAGAATGACCTCTGTTATCTCCTACTTCCCACCTTATAGTCTGTCCTGAGTAATATTTACTGGCTACTTTTTTTTTTTTTCATGTTTCTTCTTTCCCTACTCTCAAGGTAGTAGAATGGTTTGGCAAGAAAGATGTGCCAGTAGCTTAGAAACTCATTTCTTTATGGGTCTTTTGGATTGCAAAATGGGCCATATTAAAAGTGAGAATGAATGCATTTTGTAAAATATCTTTTTTTTTTTTCTTTTTTTTTGAGACAGGATCTCCCTGTGTTGCCCAGGCTGGAGTGTAGTTAACGCTTATTGCAGCCTTGAACTCCTGGTCTCAAGTGATCTTCCTGCCTCAGCCTTCCTAGTAGCTAGGACTACAGGTGTGTGTGCCACCATGTCTGGCTGTTTTTTTTCTTTTTTTTGAGAGACAGGGTCTTCCTATGTTGCGCAGGCTGGTCTTAAACTCTTAGGCTCAAGCATGATTCTCCTGCCTTGGCCTCCCAAACTGCTGGGATTACAGGCGTGAGCCACTGCACGCAGCCTGTAAAATGTCTTCATTCAAATATTATAACAGTTCTGCTATGTGTCAGCAGTTTATATCTATCAGCAATTTATACCTATTATATCTACTTATGGCGCTAAGAAGGTAAGTACTGTACATCCCAGTTTACAGATAAGGAAACTGACAGGTTGGCCTCCCTATGGCCACACAGGAGATGCTAAGTGGTATATTCAGAGTTTCGGCTCTTTGGGCTCCAAAGCCATTGTCCATATTTCGTATCTCTCATGTTAACATTTCCTCAGATAGTAAAGGTCACATAAGTGCCCCTAGTTGAAAGTGAGCAAAACATGCTGGTAGATAAAATAGTAATAGTAATAGTTTTTGCTAAACGAAGACAAATTATGAGGGATGGAGTTGGATGATTAGGGGATATCGAAAATTGATTGTAATTTGGGGACCAGAGGAGTTTTGAGCCTCTTAATATCTTTTGCTTCATTCACCTAGGCCCTAGGTTAACCTTGAGATTTATGATTTAGGAGGTATGCCATGCTACAACTTCCTGCAACAGTACCTCCAAGTGTAATTTGAATAAATTGAAAGGTAGAGAGTTTAGAGAGACTCTCTTTAACTTCTTGTAAATAAAGTTCATATAACCTGGTGTTAGCAAAGAGTTGAAGTGGTCTGGGGAAGTAAGACAAATAAAAAGAAGGCTTGATGTTTCAGAGGTGTATCAGGATTGGTCCATATGGATCTAGGGAAGGATGACTTCATAAAATTGGGACAGGGATGTTCACTTAGGTAACCCATAAAAGTAAAGGACCATTTTACATCTAAGAGTCTGTGGCTTAAAGATGCTAGTTGTGTGACCCAGCCCCTGTCCTGTAAATAGATCAGGTCCAAGTATATTTCAGTGGCTTTGGGCATTAAAATCTTTGAATGTCCTGCTCTTTTGCTGCTGAAATAGGTACTTACACTAATACAAGTATCTTTCAGATTGCAGATATTCATTGAGTTACAGTTTTAGAACTAGAAGTGATTTTGCAAATCATGGAATCCAGCATCCTTTATTTATATAAAAGAATAATTTAGCTGGGCGCGGTGGCTCACACCTGTAATCCCAGCACTTTGGGAGGCAGAGGCAGGCGGATCACGAGGTCAGGAGATCGAGACCATCCTGGCTAAGATGGTGAAACCCCATCTCTACTAAAAATACAAAAAATTAGCCAGGCGTGGTGGTGGGCGCCTGTAGTCCCAGCTACTCGGGAGGCTGAGGCAGGAGAATGGTGTGAACCTGGGAGGCGGAGCTTGCAGCGAGCCGAGATTGCGCCACTGCACTCCAGCCTGGGCGACAGAGCGAGACACTGTCTCAAAAAAAAATAAAAATAATAATTTATTTTTATAAAAGAAATAGCCACAGAAGTTAAATGCAAAATTTAATGCAGTCATTAACATTCACTTATTAAAAGGCAAATGATGTACACAGTCTAATATAGATGTTACCAGTAAATGTACAATATTAGCACTTATACTGCTAGGTTATGAGACTAAAGAAGCTGTGTCCAAAGTAGACCTTTCCCGGATCCTTTTACTCATTCTTGGTTTCTTCCCCAGTGGGGGAGATCAGGTTCCCTCATCCCTTAGTTTAGCACTAGTCTGCCTCTCTTTTCTTGTCATTTACCTACTAATGGTTCTGTGTGTTCTTTGTGCTCTTACATGCTGTGACAGTTACTCTGGATCCTTTAGCTGCCTGCTCCCAGGTAGTAGTTAGGACAACTCCTAGAACTTACCCTGCCTCCAATTTATGATCCCTCCTTAGAACTCCATCATTTCTCTGGCTTCATTTATTTAGTAATTTGTTTGGGTAACATGCCATACAGTTTGCCCATTTATAGTGTATAATTCAATTTTTTTTTTTTTTTTTGAGTCGGAGTTTCACTCTTGTTGCCCAAGCTGGAGTGCAGTGGTGCGATCTCGGCTCACTGCAACCTCTGCCTCCCGGGTTCAAACAGTTCTCCAGCCTCAGTCTCCCGAGTAGCTGGGATTACAGGTATGCGCCACCGTGCCCGGCTAATTTTTTGTATTTTTAGTAGAAACGGGGTTTCATCATGTTAGCCAAGATGGTCTTGAACTCCTGACCTCAGGTGATCCACCCACCTCAGCCTCCCAAAGTGCTGGCATTACAGGCATGAGCCACTGTGCCCGGCCTCACTTTTTTTTAGTATATATTCAGAGTTGTGTGACCGTCACTACACTTGTTCATTTTTATTATTTTTTATTAGAGACAGAGTTTTGCCATGTTGTCCAGGCTGGTCTCAAACTCCTGGGCTCGAGGGATCCTCCAGCCTTGGCCTCTCAAGGTGCTGGGATTACAGGCATGAGCCACTGTGCCCGGCCGCACTTGTTTATTTTTAACATAACCTGGGAAGAGCATGCTCTTTAGAGAGTATGCCCTTTACAGAGAAAGACAAGGATTCAGTCTCTGCTTTCCTTTCCTAGGTTCCTGACCGTGGACATCGTACTTAAATTACCTTATCACTGAGGCTGCTTGTTTATCATACCTGCCTATAAGATAGTTCTGAGAATTAAATGAGGAAGTAGTCTATTAAATACTGTTACAGAGGCTTCTGAATGAGCCAGAGCAATGAAGGTCAAGGGAAAGTGTTTATACCAGTTGTCCCTCACCACCCATTTGGATTCCACTGATTGGCAGATCTGTCACTTAACAAAAAGGGGGAAAGATGCCTATTTGTTAGGTGTAGTTGAATAAGAAGGAAGTGGCACTCTTCTCCCTGTTCTCCTCCCTGGTCCCAGGGCGTATTCCCTAGAGGTGGATCTGCCTGCTTATTGCTGCCAAGATGTGGACCCCTTTCTGGTCATGGTTTGACAGAGCTGGCCTTCTAGTCTCTCTATTCCTGCTCCCACCACAACCAGGACAGCAGTTCTCAAACTTCGGTTTGAGGATCTTTTTGTACACTTACACATTATTGACAGTCCCAAGGAGCTTTTGTTCTTGTGGGCTTCTTTACCTAATTTACCATATTAGAAATTCAATAAAAATTTTAACATTATTAATTCACTTAAAAAATGAAATGAGGCTGGGCGCGGTGGCTCATGTCTGTAATCCCAGCACTTTGGGAGACCGAGGTGGGTGGATCACCTGAGGTCAGGAGTTTGAGACCAGTGTGGCCAACACAGGGAAACCGTATCTCTACTAAAAATACAAAAATTAGCCAGACGTGGTGGCGCATGCCTGTAATCCCAGCTACTTGGGAGGCTGAGGCAGGAAAATCACTTGAACCCAGGAGTTGGAGGTTGCAGTGAGCCGAGATCATACCATTACACTCCAGCCTGGTCGACAGAGCAAGACTGTCTCAAAAAAAAAAAAAAAAGAAGAAATGTTGTACTCTGGTTATCTATTGCTGTGTAACAGATCACCCCAAAACTTACTGACTTGGAACATTTGTGATCTCACAGTTTCGGGGTTTAGGAATCTGAGTGTGGCTTAGCCAGGTCCTTTGCTTTAGGGTTTGTCGAGGGCTGTAGTCACCTGAAGGCTTGACTGGGAAAGATCCACTTCCCAGCTCACTCTTGTGGCTGTTGGCAGGATTCAATTCCTCGTGGGCTGTTGGACTGAGGCCTCAGTTCCTCATGAGCAGTTGGCCGGAGGCCTTCCTTGGTTTCTTGCCACATGGGTCTTTCTGTAAGCATCTCACAACATGGCAGCTGCTTCATCAGAGTGAGTAAGAGAGAGTGCCAGCATGAAAGAGAAGGAAGTTGCAGTCTTTTGTATCGTAATCATAGAAATGACATCTTCTCACTTTTGATAAATTCTCTCTTCATTAGAAGCCAGTCACTAGTTTCAGCCCACACTCAAGGGGAGGGGACCATTGGGGGCCATGGCAGAAGCTGCCATACATGTTAACATAAGTAACATTTTAAAAAAATTAAAAATAGCTGATTTTCCAAAATGTTACTGGAAAGAGTGGCATTCTTTCACATTTTTGCAGATCTCTATAATGAATGGCTTAATAGAAGACATCTGCTTCTGCATTCAATCTGTTGTAATATGCCCTTTCAGCCTAAGTATATGAAGAGAATGTGGCCTCACACATGTATGTAGTTGGAACAGGGAGGAGTATTGTAATAGTCTTTGTGGATAATTGTGGAAATCCTTTGATTCTGTTGGTCTGTCTTGCGTGTCAAATGGGTCTCTTTTCCCCATGTATCATTTTGTAATACCATCCATTAGTCATTTCGAAAATATTGGTTAACTGAATTGTGTTCATCTTCCAAACGTTGGTACGTTTTGGTATACTATATAAAAATTACATTTGTTCATTAATCACCACTGATCTCATCAGAAAAGTCTTTTTAAGTATTGGGAAGCTGTTTAGCTCATGGTGGCAGATAATTTTCAAAAATTCTATTTTTTGCTTTAAAGCTCAAATTTTATCATTGGCAACAAGTACTGTTGTTTGCTTGCCTTGAAGTGGCAGGCTTTCTTCGTATATTTTGGAGAAAATATCTGCCAAATACCCAGGTCTGAACAAACAACCATAGTTTGTCTATTTAAAACATGTTCCATAGAAAGAGCAGCAAGTTGGGTTCATAATTCAAACAGCTGCACTCGTGCTTTTTTCGAAGACCACCAGCATACTGTGGTGGACAGCAAAAGTTTTTTTTTTTTTTTCCTTAGAGACAGGGTCTTGCTCTGTCGCCCAGGCTGGAATACAGTGGCATGATCATAGCTCACTGCAGCCTTGAACTCCTAGGCTCAAGCAAGCCTCCTGCTTCAGCCTCCCAAGTAGCTGGGACTACAGGAATGTGCCACCATACAAGGCTAATATTTTTATTTTTTGTGGAGACAGGTTCTCACTATGGCTGGTCTCCAACTCCTGGGCTCAAGTGATCCTACTGCCTTGGCCTCCCAGAGTGCTAGGATTACAGGTATGAGCCACTGCGCCCAGCCAGCATTTCCTTTTTTTTTTTTGAGACGGAGTTTCGCTCGTTTCCCAGGCTGGAGTGCAATGGCGCAATCTCAGCTCACCGCAACCGCTGCCTCCTGGGTTCAAGCGATTCTCCTGCCTCAGCCTCCCGAGTAGCTGGGATTACAGGCATGCGCCACCACGCCCGGCTAATTTTGTATTTTTAGTAGAGATGGGGTTTCTCCATGTTGGTCAGGGTGGTCTTGAACTCCCGACCTCAGGTGATCCGCGCACCTCGGCTTCCCAAAGTGCTGGGATTATAGGCATGAGCCACCACACCCAGCTGCATTTCCTTTTTAAGGTGGAATAATATTCTACCTTATATATTAACCACATTTTGTATATCCATTCATCTGGCGATGGATACTTGGGTATTCATCATGATTCTTAGCTTTAGATGTGGTTCTTTAGGACGTCCCCTTATAGAAGCATCGACCTCCATGCCAGGCTTAATAAATGTAGGTCTGAAATAATGGCTTCCTCCCCTCACTTCCTACTCTGCTCCCTGGTTTCTTTAGCTATACAATGGGGTAATGTTCCTACTGTCTTAGAATTGTAACACTGAACTAAATAATGTATTTAAAATGTCAGGCATTAGGCCGGGCATGGTGGCTCATGCCTGTAATCCCAGCACTTTGGGAGGCCAAGGCGGGCGGATCACGAGGTCAGGAGTTCGAGACCAGCCTGGCCAACATGGTGAAACCCCATCTCCACTAAAAATACAAAAATTAGCCGGGCATGGTGGCGGGCACCTGTAGTCCCAGCTACTCGGGAGGCTGAGGCAGGAGAATTGTTTGAACCCAGGAGGCGGAGGTTGCAGTGAACCGAGATCGCGCCACTGAACTCCAGCCTGGGTGACAGAGCGAGACTCTGTCTCAAAAAAATAAATAAGATGTCAGGCATTTAGTAATGTTAGTTTTTTTATTCCTTTTTTTCACTCAGAACTTAGCCTTGAAGGTATTCTGTTAGCCATCTTGTGTGTTCCATTTATCTCACATAGTAAACTTAGATATTGACCATGTAATTCCACTTGGGAATAATTATCCATCATCAAATCTTTTTTTTTGAGATGGAGTCTCACTCTAGCCCAGGCTGGAGTGCAGTGGTATGATCTCGGCTCACTGCAACCACCGCCTCCGGAGTTCAAGTGATTCTCTTGCCTCAGCCTCCCGAGTAGCTGGGATCACAGGCATCTACCACCACGCCCGGCTAATTTGTGTATTTTTAGTAGAGACGGAATTTTGTCATGTTGGCTAGGCTGGTCTGAAACTCCTGACCTCAGGCGATCCACCCACCTTGGTCTCCCAAAGTCCTGGGATTACAGGCGTGAGCCACTATGCCCAGCCACTTTATTATTATTTTTAATTTTTTATTTTTTTGAGACAGGGTCTCACTCTGTCACCCAGGCTGGAGTGCAGTGGCACAGTCTCAGCTCGCTGCAGCCTCCACCTCCCAGGCTCAGGTGATCGTCCTGCCTCTGCCTCCCGATTAGTTGGGACTATACGTGTTCACCACCACACCTGGCAAATTTTTGTTTAGAGGCGGAGTGTTGCTGTATTGCCCAGGCTGGTTTGGAACTGCTGGACTCAAACAATCTGCCCACCTCAGCCTCCCAAAGTGCTGGAATTACAGGCGTAAGCCACCGAGCCAGGCCTGGAGAGGAGGAAACTTTTTTTTTTTTTTTTTTTTGAGATGGAGTCTCACTCTGTCGCCCAGGCTGGAGTGCAATTGCGTTATCTCAGCTCCCTGCAACCTCTGCCTCCCGGGTTTAAGCGATTCTCCTGTCTCAGCCTCCTGGGTAGCTGGGATTACAGGCGTGTGCTAACACATCTGGCCAAGAGGAGATACTTCTGAAAAATGCTTATTTCTTAGTGTATTTCCTGTGGAGCAGTTCTTGGCTTCAGCAACCTCAGACCTGATACGGTTTGG
Organism: Homo sapiens; assembly: GCF_000001405.40. Classification (NCBI taxonomy): domain Eukaryota; kingdom Metazoa; phylum Chordata; class Mammalia; order Primates; family Hominidae; genus Homo; species Homo sapiens. Next base: position 16,800,823 of record NC_000023.11, read on the forward strand.
ATCTTGTTCCCTCCAAATCTCATGTTATATTGTAATCCCAGTGATGGAGGTGGGGCCTGGTGGGAGGTGGGGCCTGGTGGGAGGTGATTGGATCATAGGGGCCCTCATGGCTTGGTGCCAACCATCCCCCTGATAGTTCTAGCGAGATCTGGTTTTTAAAAATGTGTGATGCCCCTGACCCCTTAGCTCTCTTGCTTCTGCTCTCGCTGTGTGGCACGCCTGCTCCTGTTTTGCCTTCCGTCATGAATAAGAGCTCCCTGGGCCTCGCCAGAAGCGATGCCAGCGCCATGCTTCCTGTACAGCCAACAGAACCGTGAGCCAGTTAAGCCTCTTTTCTTATAAATTACCCAGTCTCGGGCATTCTTTTTTTGTTTGTTTTTTGAGACAGAGTCTCACTCTGTCTCCCAGGCTGGAGTGCAGTGGTGTGATCTCAGCTCACTGCAACCTCCACCTCCCGGGTTCATGCAATTCTCCTGCCTCAGCCTCCTGAGTAGCTGAGATTACAGGGACATGCCACCACACCTGGCTAATTTTTGTATTTTTAGTAGAGATGGGGTTTTACCATGTTGGCCAGGCTGGTCTCGAACTTCTGGCCTCAGGTGATCCGCCCGCCTCGGCCTCCCAAAGTGCTGGGATTGCAGGCGTGGGTCACCGAGCTCGGCCTCAGGCATTCTTTTATAGCAGTATGAGAATGGCCTAACACACCTCCCTTTCCATTACGCTTACCTGAAGTCTAGTCCCCAAAACATCCAGATAGTCAAGGACTTTCCCCCTTTACTCAGTGGTCAACTGATTTATTTAAAGGCAACCTACCTTTCTCCCAAAGATAGTGATTTCTTTAGCGTTATGATAGATTAATTCTCCAGCTAGTGGGGTTGGAGGGAAAGAGATTGGCTATTTTCTCTGCTTATAAATGAGTCTACAGTCATTGGTGAGTTCTCCTGAAGCCCATGTCTTGCATGTATTTTATTCTTAATGTTAGTGTTGCCTGTGAACCGTGTGACAGTAATAAAAAGCCCAGGCTTTGAACAAAGCCAGACTCCCTGTGTTCAGATCTTGGCCTAACCGTTGCATAATCTTGGGCAAATAAGGGATACTTTTTATTAGTGATTTTTTTTTCTTTCTTTCTTTTTTTTTTTTTTTTTTTTTGAGACGGAGTCTTGCTCTGTCACCCAGACTGGAGTGCAGTGGTGCAATCTCAGCTCACCGCAACCTCTGCCTCCTGGGTTCACACGATTCTCCTGCCTCAGCCTCCCGAGTAGCTGGGATTACAGGCATACACCACCACGCCTGGCTAATTTTTTGTGTGTTTTTAGTAGAGACAGGGTTTCACTCTGTTGGTCAGACTGGTCTTGAACTCCTGACCTCGTGATCTGCCCACCTTGGCCTCCCAAAGTGCTGGGATTACAGGGGCGAGCCACCGCACCTGGCCTTTTTTTTTTTTTTTAGACACAGTCTTACTCTGTCACCCAGGCTGGAATGCAGTGGCACAATCTTGGCTCACTGCAGCCTCTGCCGCCCAGGTTCAAGCAATTCTCCTGACTGAGCCTCCCGAGTAGCTGGGATTACAAGCACACACCACCATGCCCAGCTAATTTTTGTATTTTTAGTAGAGGCAGGGTTTCGCCATGTTGGCCAGGCTGGTCTTGAACTCCTGACCTCAGGTGATCCGTCCACCTCAGCCTCCCAAAGTGCACCTGGCCCCTTTTATTAGTGATTCTGACCGCTACTTATGTTAAATTGGCTTGGTCGCATTTCCCACTGGCATAGAGCAAGGCAAAGGGAAAAGATGACATGAAATAAGGTATGACCTCCTGCTGTGTTCAGATTCTGAGCTTGCGTTAGTAACGGAAAAGTGAGTAAGTATGATACTGTGATATCCAACCAAAATCTCAACTTAAAAGGTCTTTTTTAAAAAATAAAAGTAATACATTCATACAATAAAAAACAGTGCTTTCAGTTTTCTGCTCGGAGAAGGCCAAGATGCTTTCTTTCTTTCTTTTTTTTTTTTTTTTTGAGACAGAGTTTTGCTCTTTTGCCCAGGTTGGAGTGCCGTGGCGTGATCGTGGCTCACTGCAGCCTCCGTCTCCCAGGTTCAAGCAATTCCCTGCCTCAGCCTCCCGAGTAGATGGGATTACAGGTACCTGCCACCATGCCTGGCTGATTTTTGCATTTTTAGTAGAGATGGGGTTTCACCATCTTGGCCAGGCTGGTCTTGAACTCCTGACCTCGTGATCCACCCTCCTTGGCCTCCCAAAGTACCGGGATTACAGGTGTGAGCCATGGCGCCCGGCCTGCTACTTTCTTTGGTTGTCCCAAATTGGGGTTCGTCGGACACCCGCTGCCTCCACCATGCAGCCTAAGTTTGACCCAACAAACTTTGCCTTACAGATGTGGCACGGATCTTTAAGAACTCTCCATAACCATTAGAGATCCTGGGGACTGCCCAGTCTGTGGATTGCAATGTTGATGGCTGTCACTCTCATGACATCATAAATGACATCAACAGTGATGCAGTGCAATACCCAGCTATTTTTTTTTTTTTTTTTTGAGATGGAGTCTCACTCTGTCACCCAGGCTGGAGTGCAGTGGTGCAGTCTTGGCTCACTGCAAGCTCCGCCTCCTGGGTTCACGCCATTCTCCTGCCTCAGCCTCCGGAGTAGCTGGGACTACAGGCGCCTGCCACCACGCCCGGCTAATTTTTTTGTATTTTTAGTAGAAACGGGGTTTCACCGTGGTCTTGATCTCCTGACCTCGTGATCCACCCGCCTCGGCCTCCCAAAGTGCTGGGATTACAGGCGTGAACCACTGCGCCTGGCCAATACCCAGCTATTTAAGAAGCACAAAGGGGCCAGGCGCGGTGGCTCACGCCTGTAATCCCAGCATTTTGGGAGGCCGAGGCGGGCAGATCACGAGGTCAGGAGTTCGAGATCAGCCTGGCCAACATAGTGAAACTCCGTCTTTACTAAAAATACAAAAATTAGCTGGGCATGGTGGCGCACGCCTGTAATCTCAGCTACTCGGAGGTCTGAGGCAGGAGAATCGCTTGAACCCGGGAGGCGGAGGTTGTGATGAGCTGAGATCGTGCCACTGCACTCCAGCCTGGGCAACAGAGTGAGACTCTGTCTCAAAAAAAAAGAAGCACAAAGGAAAATATTCCAATAAAGGATCATTTGACAGCCAAAAAGTAAAATAAATTAAGGCAGAGCCAAGAATTATAAAAAGAAAAAATAATTCTTCATTTCCAACTTCTAGGTCCGCAATCCACACAAAGGTAATTATGGTGAACAATTTTGGGGATATTCTTGTAGGAAAATTGTATCCATATATTGGCTTATACAGTGTATGGATATTTTAAATTTATACTGATGTATTCATCCTGTACTGGCCATTTGCCTTTTTTCCTACCTAATTATACTATGTCGGCATACGATCTGTTTTATTCCTTTGAATGGCTGCATGGTTTTACCTTGTATGGTTGGCCGTTATTTAACCAGTTCCCTATTGGTGGACATTTAGGTTGTTTTCTGGTTTGGTGAGTAACCATTTACACTTGAGTGAGAATATCTGGAATAAACTCAAAGCGGTAGAATTGTTGGGTGAAAATGCATGTGAGTTCAGACGTTGATAGAGCTTGCTAATACCTCTACAAACCCACTCTACCAATTTAGAGCCCCCCACCCCCCGCCAAAAGTATGTTGAGTGACCTGTTTGCCCACACCAAGGTTGTTTTTTTACTCCTTTAAAATGTGGTAAGTTAAAGATGGTACCTTGGTTTGCTTTGCATTTTTATTTGTATATTGGGCATTTTTAGTTCTTTAATTGTGATCTGCCTGTTCACAAACCCTTGAAAACTGTGTCTCTGGCTCATCTGTAAGGGCTTCCTGCAGTCTTTTGGCTAGTCTGAAAGTTTTTAGTTTTTAAAAATTTGTTGTAGATTTAAGGGGTACAAGTTTCGTTACATGGATACATTATGTAGCGGTGAAATCTGAAGTCTGGGATTTTAGTATAACCATCACTACTAGGAATAGTATAAATTGGGCCCAATAGGTAATTTCTCATACCTCACTGTCCGTTGTCCCTCCACCCCAGGAATTTCAAAGATTTTAATTATTTAGCAAACTAATCTCCAGTCACCACCACTGCCCACCCCCCCCCCCCGCTTTTTTTTTTTTTTTTTTTTTTGAGAGACAGAGCCTGGCTGTGTTGCCCAGGCTAGAGTGCAGTGGTGCAGTCATAGCTTGCTGATCTTCCAAGCTCAAGTGATCCTCCTACCTTAGCCTCCTGAGTAGCTGGGACCGCAGATGTGTGCCGTCACACACGGCTAATTTTTTTATTTTTAGTAGAGACAGGTCTTGCTGTGTTGCACAGGCTAGTCTTGAACTCATGAGCTCAAGCAATCCTCCTACCTCGGCCTTGCATAGTGTTGGGATTACAGGCGTGAGCCACCGCACCCGCCCTCCACCCCCTTTTTAAAAATAGCTTCTGGGCTTTTTGCTTTCCTTTGAAAGGCCTTCTTGGCTACTCTGTGCTACTGAGATAGCCCTGCTCTGTCTATGGAGCAGTCATTCTGCTGTATATAATTTCATAAAAATAAAAAAACCAAAACAACAACAACAAAAGAAAGGCCTTCTTCATGCCAAGGTTATGGAAAAAAATTTGTTGAGGACTTCTTCAAGCTCTTTGTGGTTTTAATTTTTCATGTTTCAATCTTGGTATATCTGGAGGGGGTAAGACAGGATACCCCTTTGTTCCCCCATATGGTTTGGGAGATATCATAAATCATTTATTTCCTTTACCAATTTGAAATGACACCATTTTTAATGTAGTAAATTCCCATGTATGGGTCTGTGTGGTCTGTTTTTAAAGACAGTGCTATATAACTTAGGAAGTCTCAGACAAGTATTTCATACCTAAAATTTACATAAGATCTAACCTTTGGGAGTTTATATTTGGAAACATTGAGAATTTATTATCTTAAAGAATATAGGCATATTGTAGAGACATGTATACCAAAATCTAATTATATAATAGTGCACAGTAATATTTTATCTGTTAAAAATAAATATCCTTTCATTTCATTTCTTTGTTCTAACACAGTAAAACAGACTACTATTTAAGGAGGCATTGAGTTATGTAATACATATTTTAAAGGCTTTGATCCAAAATGGTTAAAACAGGAATTTGAGATAAATGATTGATAAAGCATTAGCTGTGAGGAAAACTGTGCTATCCACAATAGTTCTTTGGAAGATTAAAATAGCCTTAGTGTATACACTGTTTTAAATGACTTATACAAAGCTGAAGTCATTTTTGTAATTTAGCCACATGACAATGTAATTTTTATAATAGGCTTGTTTGTAAAACTTTGTATTTGGAAATGTGAAAGCCCCTCAAAATACTGGAAGCGTTTAGGAGGAACGTTTATGTTTTATAAAACCAAATAAGGCCAGTAGCTGATGCCCCGAGAGTATGGGGTATCTTTGATATCTTTCACTATTTCCTCATCCATTTCTGCCTCCACTGCCCCTCCCAGGGCAGAGCGAGCATGGTTGCACATACACTGTTGTCCGTACACTCCTGGTTGAAGTTAACAACTCTTAGGGTAAATTATTAGAAACAAAGGGTTGGAAAGATTTTTAGAGATAATTTGGTTTATCCTAAAACACAAAATTAAGGCCAAGCATGGTGGCTCACGCCTGTAATTCCAGCACTTTGGGAGGCTGAGGCGGGCAGATCATCTGAGGCCAGGAGTTCAAGACCAGCCTGGCCAACATGGCAAAACCCCGTCTCTACTAAAAAATACAAAAATTGGCCGGGCGCGGTGGCTCATGCCTGTAATCCCAGCACTTTGGGAGGCCGAGGCCAGTGGATCATGAGGTCAGGAGATCAAGACGATCCTGGTTAACACGGTGAAACCCCATCTCTACTAAAAATACAAAAAATTAGCTGGATGTGGTGGTGCGCGCCTGTAGTCCCAGCTACTCGGGAGGCTGAGGCAGGAGAATTGCTTGAACTCGGGAGGCGGAGGTTGCAGTGAGCCGAGGTCGTGCCACTGCACTCCATCCTGGGGGACAGAGCGAGACTCTGTCTCAAAAAAAAAAAAAAAAAAAAAATTAGGCGTGGTGGCACACGCCTGTAGTCCCAACTACTCAGGAGGCCGAGGCAGGAGAATCGCTTGAACCCGGGAGGTGGAGGTTGCAGTGAGCTGAGATAGGGCCACTGCACTCCAGCCTGGGTGATGGAGCGAGACTCTGTCTTAAAACAAACAAAACAAAAACAAACCACAAAATTAAAAAACAACAAACTAACTCCAATTCCTTAAATAATCACTTCAAATTATTTGAAGCTGTCCCTACCCCCAAATTAGACATGTCTTACCTCCCTAAATCCCAGAGTTAATCCCTGCTAAAAATTCTACGTATCTTTCATGATGTTTTCTGAATGCATATTGGTATTTCTAGTGTGCTGTGTATTTTTAGACATTTAATTTAGATTTATTTTGTAACTGCGTCAGAGATCTGTTTGACTTTGAACTTGCATTTTCCAAAGCTGATTTATAAAGTGAGGGAAACAGTGTAATAGAGAGAACATTGACTCTTGAGTTTGGTGGACCTGGTTTTGAATTTTCCCAGCCCCTTTTACTGATTTTAATATGATTTTGAGCGAGTTACTTAATCTCGTCAAGTCTCATTTTCTGTACCTGGGAACAATAAGGCCTGTATCTCAGTGAGGCAGGGAAGGTTAAATGGGGTCACTTTGAGAATACCTCACACAGTGTCAGCCTGAGGTGCTAAAGGTTCCCTTTACTTATTTGATAAGTTCCTCCTAGACTGGGAATCTGAGGCAAGCTAAGGATGTCTGTCTAGGAAAATGCAGAAATACACACAACTTTTCCCAACTGCTCCCTCTGAAGGTCCACTCTAGCTCTTGCTGGCAAGGACTGGGTAATTTGTGTCCTCTGCATATGCCTGGCCCTGGTCAAAGGTGTTTGAGCTCATGTGAGCAAGCAGTAGTTGAAATAATTAGGAAGTGAATGTGGGTGTTGGTAGAAGGGAAAGAAACCTAAAAATTTTTTTTTCCTTCTGGTTTTAATTTCCATGTTCTTAGTTTTGAATGTTTTGATCCAAAAAGCTATTACAAGTAGTTGATGAATGCAGAGTACTTCCTCATGTTCATTTGCAAAAATTTCTATGATAGTTGTTCTTTGCTCCTGTCATTTATTATTGATAAACTGGTGACCTCCCATTTTGAAGGCATCTCTTGGTCAGTTAGTGAGTCCTCTTAGCTCCAAGTATTGAGACAGTGGAAGGAAGATTGCGAAATATATCCTTTGACCGGAGGGGAGTGGCTAGGGTGAGGGATTATTCGTGTTTAAGGCTCTTGTAAACAAACACTTGTAGCACAGTGTTGTGCTTCTCTAAAAGGTACACATGCTGCTCACAAGATGCAGATGTCATAGCTTTTGTGTCTTGATTTTCTGCAGGGAAGGGTTCTAATAGAAATCCATCTGGAAACTACTCAGTGTTGGTTTCATTTTCATTTGAGATTGGAATTTAAATAAATATTTCCTCCCCTTTTGTTTTTCCAAATAAGGCACTATATTAGAGCTCTTCATTTTGCTGTTAAAAAACATGTTAAAGCTCTTGTAAAGGTAACTCATGGCACCTAACTTAAAAGGTGAAAACACGCCTGCTGTGAAAGTCTTGTCCCCACTCACCCAGTTTGTCTCCAGTAATGTTTCTTTGTGTCCGGCCAGAGATTGGATATACTACTCTGCTCATACATTTATACCTCCTCAAGCCTCATATCATGGCATATGGTATGTGCTACAGGGTATTTTGCTTTTTCCCTTATTAACGTGTCCTTACCAGTAATTATATAACCACCTTATTCTTTTTTTTAACAGTATGGTACTCAATTGGATGGATGTACAGCAGTTTATTCATCCGGTCTATTATTTATTGATATTTAGGATATTTCTGAATTTTTGCTACCATAAATAATGCTGCATAAATAACCTTATGTATTATGTCATTCACAAATGCACTGGTATATGTGTAGGAAAAACTGGTAAGAAATGAATTTGCTGGATCAAAGCATATGTGACTTGATGTTTTCTCCCTCCAACATCTTATGAAAAATTTCAAAGCTACTGCAAAGTTTATACTAAACATCAATTTTGCCACCACCTAGATTTTACCTTTGACATTTTACTCTGGTTGCTTTTTCAGTTATCCATTTATCTGTCCCTTCACCCATGAAGCCATCAGAAGTACATTATGTGCTAAGTTTTAGCAAATGCATGCAGCTCTGTAACTGAAATCCCCATCAAGATACAGAGCATTACCAACACCCTAGAGGTTCCCTTGTGCTGCTGGTTCCCAGTCAGTCCCTTCCCCGACTGGACTCCTTGGTGGTTAAGTCAATTTATCCTCCCACCAGGAATGCTTGAGAATGCCCCCCACCCCCTCCCACAGTGTTGTCGAAGTTTTTGATGTGTAAAATGATATCTTATAGTTGTTTTTTTTTTTTTTTTGAGATGAAGTTTCGCTCTGTTGCCCAGGTTGGAGTGCAGTGGCGTGATCTCGGCTCTCTGCAACCTCCGCCTCCCGGGTTCAAGCCATTCTCCTGCCTCAGCCTCCCGAGTAACTGGGATTACAGGCACCCGCCACCACGCCCAGCTAATTTTTGTATTTTTAGTAGAGATGGGGTTTCACCATGTTGGCCAGGCTGGCCTCGAACTCCTGACCTCAGTTTATCTGCCCGCCTCAGCCTCCCAAAGTTCTAGGATTACAGGTGTGAGCCACCGCACCAGGCCAAGATATTTTCTTCCAGTATTTTCTTCCAGCACTTCTCTGTGTGTGTATGTACATACACACAGATGGTTCCTGGCTTACTGTGGTTCAACTTGCATTGTTGACTTTAGGATGGATTTATCACTGTGTAACCCCAATGTATGTTGAGCAGCATCTGTATACATATATATAGTGCGTATACAAAATATACAGTACATTCTGTTTTGTAATTCATTTTTGTACATCGTATTTTGGGAGCATCTCTTCCCATTATTAAATAGGCTTCTCTAAGATGGCTGGGCCAGGAGAAGGATGTTTGAACAGTAGTAGACAGAAGGTAGTTATGAAGCAGTATATTTTTGTGGTTAAGAGCATGGACTCAGAAGCTAGACTGCTAGAGTTCAAATCTTTGCCCTGCAGTTTACTAACTGTGACCTTAGGCAGGATACTTAACTTTACATGCCATAGTTTGCTCATCTCTAAAATGGAGAAAATAATAGTGCCTACCTAGTGGCATTGTTGTGAGGATTAAGCTAATTAATATAGGAAAGTTCTTACAGTAGTGCCTGGATGTACTATTTACTGTATAAGTATTAGCTACTACTACTATTATTTATATAAGAGATTGATCCAAGAAAAGGCATCCAGAATGGGCATCAGAGAGAGAAGACAGAGTAGGAAATTGTACTGGGCATATGATATAGAATTCTCTGGTTGAGGAGATGAGGTCTGAGAAATCATTTACAATTTAATAAAGTTATTGGCCTAAGAATTTGCTTAATATTCAATAGCCCAGGTACAGAGCCTCAAGTAGGTTGTTAATTGAATAGTCCTTGTGGTAGAAAAATTGGGGCCTGCTATTTCAAGAGTATTTGTAGACTGTGGTTTGAATCAAGTCCTGTTGGAACTGGGCTTATTAATAAACAAAAAGATTTTGTAGAGCCAAAGTATATCTTTCATTAGCAAATGTAAAAAATACCCCAATACCACATCAAAATTAGTTGTACAAGAGAGAAGGGAAATGTAATACTGTCTTGCTTCTAATGATAAAATAAAAATAGTGGTATTTTCATTTTTTGTTTGTTTGAGACAGAGTCTTGCTCTATTGCCCAGGCTGGAGTACAGTGGTGTGATCTCAGCTCACTGCAACCTCCACCTCCTGGGTTCAAACAATTCTTGTGCCTCAGCCTCCCGAGTTTCCAGGCACGTGCCACCATGCCCAGCTAATTTTTGTATTTTTACCAGAGATGGTGATTTGCCATGTTGGCCAGGCTGGTCTTGAACTCCTGACCTCAAGTGTTCTACCCACCTCGGCCCCCCAAATTGCTGGGTTTCCAGCATGAGCTACCGTGCCTGGCCAATAGTGGTATTTTCTATAACTTGTGTATTAATGCCTAGGTTCTTTTTGTGGATTGTTTTCAACAGCCATTTTTGCCTCTGTATGCTCCCCATCAGTTGGCATTTGAGTACCATTTGTGCATAATAAGCTATTGCTACTTAGGAGGCTGTATGTATCAAATACGTGATATTGTAATATGTGATAAGAGTTCAGAGGCAGGAGTGTCTGGAAAGACAAAAAAATCGGAAGTATTAACTACAAATAGGAAGTGATGACATACAATTAAAAGGAAAATAGGTGATGTGGTGTTTGTGCACTATACAGATTAATTTAATATTCTTCTTTATGCCATATGACACCACCTATTATTCTGCATTACACAATAGTTTTTTGGCCTTCCTTATTTTTTTTTTAAGATGGAGTTTTCCCTCTTGTCGCCCAGGCTAGAGTGTAATGGCGCGATCTCAGCTTGCTGCAACTTCCGCCTCCCAGGTTCAAGCAATTCTCTGGCCTCAGCCTCCCGAGTAGCAGGCATGCACCACCACGCCCAGCTAATTTTTGTGGTTTTAGTAGAGACGGGGTTTCACCATGTTGGCCAGGCTGTTCTTGAACTCTTGACCTTGGGTGATCTGCTTGCCTCGGCCTCCCAAAGTGCTGGGATTACAGGTGTGAGCCACCGTGGCCGGCTTTTTTTTTTTTTTGAGACGGAGTCTCGCTGCCAGGCTGGAGTGCAGTGACCCGATCTCGGCTCAGTGCAACCTCTGCTTCCCGGGTTCAAGTGATTCTCCTGCCTCAGCATCCCAAGTAACTGGGACTCTACAGGCACGCACCACCACACCCAGCTAATTTTTATGTTTTTAGTAGAGACGGGGTTTCACCATGTTGGCCAGGATGGTCTTGATCATCTCTTGACCTCGTCATCTGCCTGCCTCAGCCTCCCAAACTGCTGGAATTACAGACGTGAGTCACCGCACCCGACCCTGAGTCTTTATATTGTCTTTTTGCTGTATAGTGGTAATAGTAAATGACCTGTATACTTTTTTTTCTTTCTTTTTTTTTTTTGAGATGTAGTCTTGCTCTGTTGCCCAGGCTGGAGTGCAGTGGCACGATCTTGGCTCACTGTAACCTTTGTCTCCTGAGTTCAAGCAATTCTCCTACCTCAGCCTCCTGAGCAGCTGGGATTACAGGCGCCCGCCACCACACCCAGCTAATTTTTGCTTTTTTTTTTTAGTAGAGACGAGATTTCATCACATTGGCCAGGCTGGTCTTGAACTCCTGACCTCAAGTGATCCGCCCGCCTCGGCCTCCCAAAGTGCTGGGATTACAGGTATGAGCCACCGTGCCTGGCCAATGACCTGTATACTTTTAATCTGAAAACAAGAGTAACTTTTAATTAAATCTCCTTATGATGTTTTGAAATAAGTGAATATTTATTCCTTTTTTTTTTTTTTTGTGAGACAGAGTCTCACTCTGTCCCAGGCTGGAATGCAGTGGCGCGATCTCGGCTCACTGCAACCTCCGCCTCCCAGGTTCAAGTGATTCTCCTGCCTCAGCCTCCCGAGTAGCTGGGATTACAGGTGTGTGCCATCATGCCCGGCTAATGTTTGTATTTTTAGCAGAGACAGGGTTTCACCATGTTGGCTAGGCTGGTCTCGAACTCCTGATCTCATGATCCACTGGCCTTGGCCTCCCAAAGTTCTGGGATTACAGGCATGAGCCACTGCGGCCAGCCTTTTTTTTTTTTTTTTTTTTTTTTTTTTGAGGTGGAGTTTCGCTCTTATGCCCAGGCTGGAGTACAATGGTGTGATCTCGGCTCACCACAACCTCTGCCTCGCAGGTTCTAGTGATTCTCCTGCCTCAGCCTCCCTAGTAGCTAGGATTACAGGCTTGCATCACCACGCCTGGCTAATTTTGTATTTTTAGTAGAGGCGGTGTTTCTCCATGTTGATCAGGCTAGTCTCGAACTCCTGACCTCAGGTGATCTGCCCACCTCAACCTCCCAAACTGCTGGGATTACAGGTATGAGCTACTGCGCCAGTCCTATTCCTTTCTTCCAAGTTGAGGTAACCATGAAGTCATCTGAAAAATATATCTGGTAAGGGACTTGTAGCTAGTTACATAAAGAACTCTTACAGTCCAACGATAAAATAACAACCCAATTAAACATGGGCAAAAGATCTGAAAAACATTCTTCAAAGAAGGTATACAAATGGCCAATAGGCACGTGAAAAGATGTTCAATATTGTTAGTCATTAGGGAAATGCAAATCAAAAACACAGTGAGGTACCATCACACTCAGTAGGATGGCTATAAAAAAATAATAATAACAAGTGTTGCTGAGGATGTGGAGAAATTGGAACCCCCATACACTTCTAGTGGGAATTTTAAATGGTACCAGTGAGCTGCGCGTGGTGGCTCACGCCTGTAATCCTAGTGCCCTGGGAGACTGAAGCAAGAGGATTGCTTGAGCCCAGAAGTTTTGAGACCAGCCTGGGCAACATAGCGAGACTCTCCCTCTACAAAATTAAAAAAAAAAAAATGAGCCTGGCATAGTGGCACATACCTGTAATCTCAGCACTTTGGGAGGCTGAGGCGAGAAGATGCTTTGAGCCCAGGAGGTTGAGGCTGCAGTAAGCTTGCATTGTGCAGTCTGGGCAACAAAGCGAGACCTCGTCTCCAAAAAAAAAAAAAAAAAGTACAGTTGCTTGGGAAAATAGTCTTACAGTTCCTCAAAAGGTTCAACATAGAGTGGTCATATAGCAATTCCACTCCTAGGACTGTACCCTGGAGAAGTGTCCACACAAAAATGAATGCATTAATGTTCATAGCAGAAATAGTCATAATTGGCCGGGCGCCGTGGCTCACGCCTGTAATCCCAGCACTTTGGGAGGCCGAGGTGGTCGGATCATAAGGTCAGGAGATCGAGACCATCCTGGCTAACACGGTGAAACCCCGTCTCTACTAAAAACACAAAAAATTAGCTGGGCGTGGTGGCGGGCACCTGTAGTCCCAGCTACTCGGGAGGCTGAGGCAGGAGAATGGCGTGAACCCGGGAGATGGAGATTGCAGTGAGCCAAGATCACGCCACTGCACTCCAGCCTGGGCGACAGAGCGAGACTCCATCTCAAAAAAAATAAAAAGAAATAGTCATAATAGCCAAAAATTGGAAATAACCCACATGTCCATCTGATGAATGGATAAATACAGTGTAGCCAAAAATTGGAAATAACCCACATGTCCATCTGATGAATGGATAAATACAATGTAGTCTCTCTGTATAAGGGATATTATTCAGCTACATGCATGGAATACTGATACATGCTATAACATGGAGGAATCTTGAAAATTTGCCACATGCAAATAGGCAGACTCAGCCCGGTGTGGTGGTTCACACCTGTAAACCCAGCACTTTGGGAGGCCAAGGTAGGTGGATCACCTAAGGTCAGGAGTTCGTGACCAGCCTGGCCAACATGGTGAAACCCTGTCTCTACTAAAAATACAAAAAATTAGCCGGGCATGGTTGCGGGTGCCCGTAATCCCAGCTACTTGGGAGGCTGAGGCAGGAGAATCGCTTGAACCCGGGAGGCGGAGGTTGCAGTGAGCGGAGACCGTGCCATTGCACTCCAGCCTGGGTGACAGAGTGAGACTCCATCTCAAAAGAAAAAATAGGCAGACTCAAAAGGCCACATATTGTATAGCTCCATTTATATGAAGTGTGTCTAGAATAGCCAAATCCATAGAGGCAGCAACTAGATTAGTGGCCTGGTGCTGAAGGTTATAGAAGCATTAAGGGTTGATAGCTAAGGAGAACTGGGTTTCATTTTCAGGTTATGAAAGTGTTGCAAAGTTGACTGTGGTAATGTTTGCACAACTTTGTGAATGCAGTAAAATTAGTGAACTGTACACTTTAAGTTAGGGAATTGTATGGTATGTGAATTATATCACAATAAAGGTGTTACAAAATAAATCGCTAATGGAACTGAAAAACTACAAATGAACCAATCTCATTCCTCAAGTAGCCTCAGGGTTAGGACAGGCCTCAGGGTTTTCTTGGTGAAAATTATTTATGCTTCCCCTTTTTTCTACGAATTTCATGCTCACTGTATTTTTGATACGGCTTGACACCATATTTTCTGGGATTGTGTGGGTTTTATTATCATTAAGTGTCTGAGAAATTCTGTGTTAGAGATAAGCAGTCTTCTATTCTCGTTTGTTTGTTTTTGTTGTTGTTGTTGAGATGGAGTCTTGCTCTGTCGCCCAGGCTGGAGTGCAATGGCGTGATCTAGGCTCACGGCAACCTCCGCCTCCCAGGTTCAAGCAATTCTCCTGCCTCAGCCTCCCGAGTAGCTGGGATTACAGGAATGCACCACCACGCCCAGTTAAATTTGTATTTTTAGTAGAGACGGGACTTCACCATGTTGATCAGGCTGGTCTCAAACTCCTGACCTCAGGTGATCCGCCTGCCTCAGCCTCCCAAAGTGCTGGGATTACAGGCGTGAGCCACCGCGACCGGCCTGTAGTGCCATTCTTATACCTAATGGTTTTCAGGGAATAGATTTGAAACTATTATTATTTTTTTTGAGACGGAGTCTCGCTCTGTCACCCAGGCTGGAGTACAGTGGTGCGATCTCAGCTCACTGCAACCTCCGCTTCCCGGGTTCAAGCGATTCTCCTGCCCCAGCCTCCCGAGTAGCTGGGATTACAGGCATGCTCCACCACGCCTGGCTAATTTTTGTATTTTTAGTAGAGGTGGGGTTTCACCACGTTGGTCAGGCTCGTCTTGAACTCCTAACCTTGTGATCTGCCCGTCTCGTCTCGGTCTCCCAAAGTGCTGGGATTACAGGCGTGAGCCACTGCGCCTGTCCGAAATTTTTTTTTTTTAATTGGGGAAAATGGTATTGATAGTACTCACTTTTTCCCTTTCTATTGCTTTTGTGTAAAGGGTCTCTTTATATATCTATGCGCCCAATTAGTACATGACATTTCAATATTTGATTAGAGGCGAAACTAGTAGTTACATGTGAAATGTAGCATTGAATTATCACTTTGCATCTGTTCTGTTAATAATAATACTGCTATAGTATGTTATTTGGGTATATTAATGATTTTTTTTTCTTTTTTTTTTGAGATGGAGTCTCGCTTTGTCACCCAGGCTGGAGTGCAGTGGCGCGATATCGGCTCAGTACAACCTCTGCCCAGCTAATTTTTGTATTTTTAGTAGAGACGGGGTTTCACCATGTTGGCCAGGCTGGTCTTGAACTCCTGACCTCAAGTGATTTGCCCACCTCAGCCTCCCAAAGTGCTGGGATTACAGGCATGAGCCACCTTGCCCGGCCTATTAACAATTTTAAGAAGTTTCTACAGTAGTGAAATCTTACAAATGATTTTTCCTAAAACTTGATTGTGAATCCTCTCCCACCCCAAGAGACGAAGTCTCACTATATTGCCCAGGCTGTCCTCAAACTTGCCTTAGCCCCCAAATAGCTAGGACTACAAGCATGCCCCACGATGCGTGCCATTGTGAATTTTTGAAAAACTTTATGGGTTACGCTTGAGAAACATTGCTCTATAGAATATGATACATATGGAAGTGAATTTTTAAAATCTTTTCAAATAACTTAAGAGTTTCAGTATTTGTAAGTTTTTTCTATCTGAATTAGGCTTAGAGTGTGGCATCAAACCATAACTCTGAAATAGATAACCCATTTCCCCTTAATGTGTTAATTTTTTTTAAGATGTCAAAGTATTACATGCACATTATTTTAAAAGTGTCATGAAAAGCAGCATATCTTTAATCTCTCTTCTTAGAGGAAAATATTTGTTTTGGTTCCTCTTACTTCTTGAATAATGTATAAATTGCAACTTTTAAAATAAACTTTACTGAAATACATAAATTGAGAAAAGTATACAAATCATAAATGTTAGGCTTAATGAATTTTCACAAAGTGAATGTGTCACCTCATCTAGACCAAGAAATAGAACACTACAAGCACCCCAGGAGGCCCCACCCCCAATGGTAACCGCTATCCTGATTTCTAGCACCATTTATTAGCTTGCCTTGTTTTTGAACTTTATACATAAATGATTTCCTATAGTAGATACTCTTCTAGCACCTTTTTCACAACATAGGTCTGTGAAACTCATCTATGTGGTTGCATCCAACAGTAGTTCATTCTCACTGCTTTGATACTATAGTTTATCCATTCTGCTACTGATAGAAATTTGGGTTGATTCCATTTTGGAGCTATTAGGAATAGTGCTCCTTTATTCTTGGACTTTGGATACACATATGTACACACTTGGGCAAAATCCCAGGAGTAGAGTTAACTGGGTTAGAAGGTATCCATATATTGCCAAAGAGTTTTTCAAAGTGTCCTTGCCAATTTGTTCTTATGAAAGCACAGTACTGGATTTATCAACATTAGACTATAAAATATAAGATTTTATTTTCCTTAACCTCTCTATCCCCTCCTACTTTGATATTTTGAGTTCTTCAGTTGCACAAAATGATTATAACCTAAAATCTCAAATATCTGCTCTCCCATAAATTTTGAAAGTAGCTTTTGTCCATTTGTGATAAGAGAAGGATACTAAACACCTCCTCACCTCAACAGTATTATTCAGAAAAGGAAGAGGCCCTCTTTCATACAGAGAGTAAATGCACAGAATTTAAATTTGTGCCACATCATGACCAGGAAGTGTTCACAAGGGGAAAAAACTCAAATAGGGTTAACAATGTGATAGAAGACAGTTACTGACATAAGAATAACATACTGGAATAAAGGCATCTTTACCATGTGTATTAGGGCAGGGATAGCTGCTTAAAATATCAGTCTCAAAATTTCCATGGCTTAGCATGAGAGAAGTTTATTTCTTGTTCACCTATAGTCCAGTGTAGGTTTTCTTTGTAAGTAGGGTGGCTTTCCTGTATGTACATAGGATATGGAGGCCTAGGCTTCATTAATCCTGTGGCTCTGCCATCCCTTAGGGTCTTGGAGATGTCTGCATTTTGCCAGAGTCGGGGAGAGATGGTTGAGAAAGAACTTGTGCTTCTAAGAATAAAAGTCTTGGACAGTCGTGTCCTATGCCCACATTCAGTTGGTGGGAACTTCACGTGGAAGTCGCCCCTTGGTGTAAGGGGGCTGGGGAATAGTCCCTGGCTGGGCACTTGTCTCATAGTGCCAACTCCACAGGAACTTGGGGGAGCATGGGGTTTTGATGGATAGCTAGCTAGCCATCCCTGCTGTACTGTCTCCTTGAGGATAAGATTAGAATAATTAATATTCATTAACTGGGGACAGTTTCACTTCTGTTAAGGTGCTAATTATGTTAAGTGGTGAATTTTTATGTGGAAATCAATTTAGATTTATAACTAAATGGGTTTCTTGCCTCCTTTGGTACTGAATAGTTGTGTGATTCATTTTAACTAATTTCCTTATACTTTATAGTTAGGTCACCTCTCAGTGAAACCTAGAAAGTACCATATTTACATCAATTTTGCAAACCACTAAGGAAGAAAAAACTATCAGGCTATGATGTTCCATTGCTTGTAAACATTGATTACATTAGATTTAACCCCTTCTCCATCTTTTTTCTCCTTCTCCTTTCTTCTAGTTTGAAATTGGCACAATGGAAGAAGCTGGAATTTGTGGGCTAGGGGTGAAAGCAGATATGTTGTGTAACTCTCAATCAAATGATATTCTTCAACATCAAGGCTCAAATTGTGGTGGCACAAGTAACAAGCATTCATTGGAAGAGGATGAAGGCAGTGACTTTATAACAGAGAACAGGAATTTGGTGAGCCCAGCATACTGCACGCAAGAATCAAGAGAGGAAATCCCTGGGGGAGAAGCTCGAACAGATCCCCCTGATGGTCAGCAAGATTCAGAGTGCAACAGGAACAAAGAAAAAACTTTAGGTAATAATCCGTTCAGTGGTTGGACGTTTCACATGCTAATCATTTTACTTGTGTTTTCTGCAGCCCAGATAATTTTGAACACAGCCACTTTAGAGGTGCTTAGCCAACACCCCTAGTGTCTTCGGTGAGGTCAGTCCATGTGTCTGCTGCAGTTATGTGCAGGAGGCGAAAACAGCAGAGAGGACGCTTAGTTTTTTTTTTTTCCAAATAATCAAGAATTGGCTAATTAAAAAATTTTTTTTGTAGAGACAGGTTCTCACTGTGTTGCCCAGGCTGGTCTCAAACTCCTAAGCTCAAGCAGTCCTCTCCTGCCTCGGCCTCCCAAAGTGCTGAGATTTCAGGTGTGAGCCACTGTGCCCGGCCACATTGCAGTTATTTCTGATCATTTTCAGTAATTGTGTTTAATCGTCTCTTAAAGGTCTTATTGGCCTTGGGTTAAATGAGAGAAGATTTCATTAATAAAATTTTATGTGAGTAGAAAAGCATTCTTTTTTGAAGTCACCCTTTTTCCCCCATAGCAGTCTGTATGTCAGAGTTATTTTGAGATATATATTTTGATGCAATATCTTACATATAAGAATGAACATTAAAAAAATAAAAATGGTACCTATCACCTAGCTTAAGAAATAAAAGATTACCCCTTACTTCGAAATGCCATTAGTCCCCTCCTAATCTCAGCCACCTGCCTCTCTCTGCCAAAGTCCTTACAGTATTGCTAAGGTCTTTCCCCACAGGAAGAGCTATCTTGTCATCCTTTGGTTAGTTAACCTTAGTTAACACACAGAATATACTTAGTAAATCATAAGAAAAGCACACGTTTTTAAATTGTTCGTAGGAAAAGATATGTTCTCCTGTGATTATGTGTGTCTTTGGCAAAGTGTAGTACCAACTGAAACTCCCTTTGAACTTGCTTCTATATTCGAACTTGGTTAGGAGGAAGCTTTAAAAAAAATTCCATGCCCTTTGTAACTTGCCCTTTGTCTTAACTTGGACATCAGTGATTAGGCAAGGAAATTTATAAGCTTTTAACAAGAGTTCTTATAAATAGCTCGCAGTGTTAGTGAATGAGTTAAGAAATTTGGGGTGGGTATGGGGAGGGGAGCGAGGCCTGCTAATCCAGAATTTAAAAATTGCCTTTTTCATTGAGCTGGTAAATCTCTTATTTATAATCATAGGTGTAAATTAGTTTACTCTGGATGTCAGAGCACGGGAATTGTTAGTAGAATTTACAGGTTAGATTTGATCTCATTCTTCTGGGACTTATTTCTTTTCTTGTTAACCATCAGGAAAAGAAGTTTTATTACTGATGCAAGCCCTAAACACCCTTTCAACCCCAGAGGAGAAGCTGGCAGCTCTCTGTAAGAAATATGCTGATCTTGTGAGTATTAAGCCAAGGATGTGAGAGCCATATAAAATATAACAAAATGTGTGTGTGCTTGATAAGTTTCTTAAAGTACAAATTTGATATGGCCTTAAATGTAAAATTATATTTTATTCTGAAATTGAAGAAGAGAATCTGTTTTGTTGGGGCTTTTTATTGGTTGTATAGTTTCATTTTATGAGGTAATATATAGGGAACATTGTAATACTAAGATGTGGCATAGATTTTCTAAAACTCAGTTTTAGAGTCTAAGTCAGCCTTTCCATTGCTATGTTGTGATGCCTTAGGTGCCACTCAGTTGGGGTGTAGTGGTTCCTGTCTTAAACTTTTCCTAAGGGAATTCTAGAGATTGAGGACTGTTTTGATTGAGATTGTGAGTTACATGAAATCATCTGCTAAAACAATACTTTGTCTCAGAAATACTTCTTTAGCATCTACTATGTGTCAAGCATCCTTTTTTCCATTTTCTAGAAACAGTGACCTTATCAAAGAGTTTGTTCTCAGCTATATTATTTTATTTTATTTTTTTGAGACGGAGTCTCGCCTGTGGTCCAGGCTAGAGTGCAGTGGTGTGATCTCAGCAGACTGCAAGCTCCACCTCCCGGGTTCACGCCATTCTCCTGCCTCAACCTCCTGAGTAGCTGGGACTACATGTGCTCGCCACCACGCCTGGCTAGTTTTTTTAATTTTTTAGTAGAGATGGGGTTTCACCGTGTTAGCCAGGATGGTCTTGATCTCCTGACCTCGTGATCTGCCCGCCTCGGCCTCCCAAAGTGCTGGGATTACAGGCATGAGTCACCGCGCCCGTCCATTCTCAGCTATATTACAGGTATTACAGGTAGCATTAATTCTCTTTTTGGAGTTTCTTTCTTTCTTTCTTTCTTTTTTTTTTTTTTTTTTGAGACGGAGTCTCGCTCCGTCACCCAGGCTGGATTTCAGTGGTGCGATCTTGGGTCACTGCATCCTCCGCCTCCCGGGTTCAAGCTATTCTCCTGCCTCAGCCTCCTGAGTAGTTGGGACTACAGGCGCGTGCCACCACGCCTGGCTAATTTTTTGTATTTTTAGTAGAGATGGGTTTCACCGTGTTAGCCAGGATGCTCTCCATCTCCTGAACTTGTGATCCGCCCGCCTTGGCCTCCCAAAGTTCTGGCATTACAGGCATGAGCCACTGTGCCTGGCCCGTGAGGGCAGTTTCAACTTGGAAACCCTGCCATCCTATTTGAATTGAAGAATGGGAAAATCATAGAACCCTTTAAAGGAATGGTTGCGGGAAGCTTTTAGAATAAGTGGTTCTAATATAAATGCTAAAATTATTGCCTTTTGTGACATACTTAGGTGAATTATCATGTACAATTTATATGCATCTTCATCTGTTAAAACAGTTAATTCCATATCATAAGCCATTACTTTTTTTTAAATCAATGATCAGCTCTAAAAAAATGAATTCTGAGGCTGGGCGCGGTGGCTCACGCCTGTAATCCCAGCACTTTGGGAGGCCAAGGTGGGCGGATCACGAGGTCAGGAGATCGAGACCATCCTGGCTAACACGGTGAAACCCTGTCTCTACTAAAAATACAAAAAAAAAATTAGCCTGGCATGGTGGCAGGCGCCTGTAGTCCCAGCTACTCGGGAGGCTGAGGCAGGAGAATGGCATGAACCCGGGAGGCAGAGCTTGCAGTGAGCCGAGATCGTGCCACTGCACTCCAGCCTGGGCAACGGAGCGAGACTCCATCTCAAAAAAATAAAAAATAAAAAAACTGAATTCTGTTAGTTTATTGCCTCAAGAATGACAGTTACAGGCCAGGCATAGTGGCTCACGCCTGTAATCCCAGCACTTTGGGAGGCCGAGGTGGGTGGATCACGAGGTCAGGAGATCAAGACCATCCTGGCTAACACGGTGAAACCCCGTCTTTACTAAAAATACAAAAAAAAATTAGCCGGGTGTGGTGGCGGGTGCATGTAGTCCCAGCTACTCGGGAGGCTGAGGCAGGAGAATGGCGTGAACCCGGGAGGCGGAGCTTGCAGTGAACTGAGATTGCGCCACTGCACTCCAGCCTGGACGACAGAGTGAGACTCTGACTCAAAAAAAAAAAAAATGACAGTTACTTTCCCTTAGTTTATGAAGTGGTCCAGGTATACCTCAGTTAGCTGGCATTCAGCAGCTTGGCACCTTTCACTATTTGTAGCAACAGGACGCCCTGTGCATCAGTGAAAATGTCCCAGAGCAGTCACAAATGCAAAGATGGCCGAAAACACAGCGTGGTTGGATTGATGGCTTCAGGAAAGGAATGCTTCCATTGGCTGTGGAAGCCAGTCCCCCTTGGTGCCTTTCACATGGGGAGAATCATGCAAGAAATGGCGGAAAAAGAAGAAAGACAAGAACAGAAAAGGGAAAAGAAAAAATGGAGAAAAGAGTAAAAACCAGAAAAAGCAGTGTCGAAGGTTAGCTACCCAACCCAGTGATGTGACAATGACAGACAGCCATGAATTGGTTAGAAGAGAGAACAAACAGTGATCTGGGGTGGTTGTTCTCAGACTCACACCGATCATTGAACTTGTGGTTAAAATGCACATTCTGATTCACTAGGCCTTGGTTGGGGCCTGAGGATCTGCATTTTAACAAATGCCCGGGCAACAGTGATGATGCTGCCAGACCTTGGATCACACTTGAAGTAGCAGGGGTCTAGGGTGTTTTTGTTTGTGACTTTTGGTTTTATTGTTTTGATTGTGGATAAGGTTATTGCTAAGCACCAGCAGTAATGACTGTGTTCATTTCAGGATGTGACACATTGAAGACTTGCCTAGTGAGTAATCTCTCTTTTATACAGATTTGTGCCAAAAATTTGAAAGACAAAATGTGTATTGTTTCCAGAAAATGTTCTAAAGCTTGATTTCTTGAAGCAACACATATTTCACTTAAAAGGTAGATATAGGCCGGGCGTATAATCCCAGCACTTTGGGAGGCTGAGGCAGGCGGATCACCTGAGGTCGGGAGTTCGAGACCAGCCTTACCAACATGGAGAAACCCCGTCTCTACTAAAAATACAAAATTTGCTGGGCGTGGTGGCGCATACCTGTAATCCCAGCTACTCAGGAGGCTGAGGCAGGAGAATCACTTGAACCTGGGAAGCAGAGGTTGTGGTGAGCCGAGATCGTGCCATTACACTCCAGACTAGGCAACAAGAGTGAAACTCTGTCTCAAAAAAAAAAAAAAAAAAAAAAAAAAGTGGAGTATATATATGTGAGGTCACCAAGGGAGTCACAGCCTTTTCCCAAGGATTATTCTGAAAAGTTCCCTTCCCTTTTGCCATCACTGTCTTCTGCCCGTTTATGACATATATCGTCTGATGTCATTGTGCTTGTTGCACTGACATGCATAACTGTTTTGTGGAGCAGTTGGAATGGATTTCTGTGCACTGTAACTGGGATTGTCCATTGGAGAGACCCTGTGGCCAACATGTTCACCAGATCACATGGATTCATGAAATTGTAGCATTTTGCTTTTAGCTGTGGATACCATTAACATGATCCTTAAGTACTTTATAATGCTATTCTTTCCCATCCTGTAGTCAGTTTGTACAGATTATTATAGCATAATAATCTTAATATATGCTTGGGGTAGGTTCCATTCTCCTTACTCTTTTCTTCTGAAGTATCTTGGCTATTCTTGGCCCTTTACTCTCTATAGATTTTAGATTCAATTTAGTAGTTCCGTGTGTTGGGGGGCACTATTTGGGATTTCAAAGAGCATTTCACAGAATCTGTAGATACATTTGGGGGAGAATTGCCATCCTCATGATATTAATGTAACTTAAAAAATGGTTATCCTGGCCAGATATGGTAGCTCAGCCCTGTAGCATCTGCACTTCAGGAGGCTGAAGCAGGATTGCTTACAATCAGGAGTTCAAGACCAGCCTGGGCAACGTCGCAAGACCCTGTACACACACACACACGCACACACGCCTGTAGTCTCAGCTACTTGGGAGGCTGAAGTGGTAGGATTGCTTGAGCCCAGGAATTGGAGGCTGCAGTGAGTTCGTGCCACATGGCAACCCAGCCTGGGCGACAGTGCAAGATGCTATCTCCAAAAAAAAAAAAAAGTTATCCTTTTGAGGAAAAAGTAAAATTAGATCCTTACACACCAGAGGCAACAATCAATTCCAAATAGATTAAAGGCTTAAATGTCAAAAATTAAGCTTTGAAATTTGTAGATATTATTTTGATTTATCAATAGATAAATATTTTTCAAACCTTGAGTTTAGGAAATATTTCTTATAGCACAAAAAGCACTGTCAGAGGAAAGATTGTACAAATTTGCTTTATTGAAATTAAGAACTTTGTTTTCGTCAAAAGATGCCCTGAAAAAAAGTGAGAAGATGGCCAAGCGCGGTGGCTCACACCTGTAATCCCAGCACTTTGGGAGCCTGAGGCAGGCGGATCACGAGGTCAGGAATTCAAGACCAGCCTGTCCAATATGGTGAAAGCCCGTCTCTACTAAAAAAATAAAAAAAAAAAAATTAGCCGGGCATGGTGTTTGCGCGCCTGTAGTTCCAGCTACTCAGGAGGTTGAGGCAGGAGAATCGCTTGAACTGGGGAGGCGGAAGTTGCAGTGAGCCAAGATCGCACCACTGCATTCCAGCCTGGGCAGCAGAGTGAGACTTCATCTCAGAAAAAAAAAAAAAGTGAGACGACATTACAAACTGGGGAGAACATATTTCCAACAAATATAACCAGCAGGCGATTTAGTATCAAGAATATCTAAAGAACACTAATGTGAAAAGGACAAATAGCCCTATGGAAAGCTGGATGAGAGACATGAAAGGGACATTTCATAGAAGTGGAAAAACAAAGATACGAAGATACCTTAACATAAAGGTCCATAAACATTCAAAGAGATGTTCCACCTGATAAGTGATTAGGGAAATGCAAATTAGGACCACAGTGAGATGCCATTTTACGTCTATTGTAGTGGCATAAATGAAGAAATCTGATCATTTTGGAGAGGATGTGGATCTACGTGGTCTCTTATATATTGCTGTTGGGAATATCAATTCACCATTGTCATGTGAAATCAAACATTTAGAAATCATTGCCCAGCAACCTCATTTCTGATGTTTGCACAGAGGAGAAATTCCTGACACGTGTATACCAGGAAACACATGAGAATGTTCATACCACTGTGAGTAATAACAAAACCTAGAGACAGCCCAGATGCCTGTTGATGCAAGAAGATGGATTAATAAAGAGTTTTGTGTGTATGTGTGGTGTGTTTTTATTTTTTATCTACTTGTTTGTTTATTTTTCAGACAGGGTCTCACTCTACCACCCAGGCTGGAGTGCAGTGGCGCAATCATGGCTCACTGTTTATTTTTTAGAGACAGGTTCTCACTTTGTGTGGTATGTTTGTGTGTGTGCTGTGTTTTTAAAAAGTGGAATATTATACAGCCTGTGGGCCAAATGCATCCGAAGTCTGTTTTTACACTGCCCACAAGAATGGTTTTAATTTTTAAGATGTTTAAAAATAAAGAACACGTGACAGAGACCATATGTGGCCTGCAGTGCCTAAAATATTTACTTGCTGGCCCTTTACAGAAAAAATCTGCTAAGTCCTGATCTGCAGCTACACGCCAACAATGTGGATGAGTCCTAGCAATGTAATCGAGTTGCGCTGTCCAAGACAGTAGCCATCAGCCACATGTGGCTTATTAAATTAGTGTAAATTAAATGAAAATTTCAATTCCTCATTTGCACTAGCTACAATAAAGTCAAAACAGCTAAAACCAAAAGGATTTTTTTTTTAGAGAAGTGCACACAGATGAAATGAAATTATATAGAAAGGAAAGCGAAGGAATAATGAACGCCGGATTCAGGATTGCGCTAACCCTGGGTCAGGAAAGGCAGGAGCTCTGCACCCTGGTGAAATTACAGCTAGTATGTGCCGGACCTGCAGCCTCTTAAACTGGGCAGCCGTGTACAGTTCGCAGTAATTTTGCTTTACAAAATTATGCAAAAACAATGATTTTTTTTCCTGCAAGAATTTCAGTAAAGGTGTTTTTAATATCTGTAAATGTGGCTGTAAGGATGCGTGATATGTTTTGGTAGGCCACAAGATGTCACTCTTGCTCTTCAAATTGTGACTCAGCATCATTTTCTTTTTCAGTAAAAGCTTTATTGAAAGGTCAGTAAGGCTGCCATCTTATCTGTTCATGTTGATTTAACCTTGAAACAGACTGATTTGTTCCATACCCAAAACTGCAGCAGTTCTTCTTACAAAGAACCCTGAGTGCTGTTTACTGAGTTTTAGATTCTGATGACTGTTTCAGTATAGTAGCCTGTGGGTGTAAAACTTGATGGTATCGACTCCTAAAGCATCATTTAAAAAAACAAAAACCTGCTGGGCACGGTGGCTCATGCCTGTATTCTCAGCACTTTGGGAGGCCGAGGTGGGCGGATCACCTGAGGTCGGGAGTTCGAGACCAGCCTGACCAACATGGAGAAACCCCATTTCTACTAAAAATACAAAATTAGCTGGGTGTGGTGGCGCATGCCTATAATCCCAGCTACTTGGGAGGCTGAGGCAGGAGAATCGCTTTAACTCTTGTTGCCTAGGCTGGAGTGCAATGGCGCGATCCATTGCACTCCAGCCTGGGCAACTAGAGTGAAACTCCATCTCAAAAAAGCAAAACCCGGCCGGGCATGGTGGCTTATGCTTGTAATCCCAGCACTTTGGGAGGCCAAGGCAGGTGGATCAATTGAGGTCATGAGTTTGAGACCAGTCTGGCCAACATAGGGAAACCCTGTCTCTACTAAAAATACAAAAATTAGCTGGGCGTGGTGGCAGGTGCCTGTAGTCCTAGCTACTCGGGAGGCTGAGGCAGGAGAATCGCTTGAACCCGGGAGGTGGAGGCTGCAGTGAGCCGAGATTGTGCAACAGAATAATAGTCCATCTAAAAAAATGATAATGAAAATAAAAAAATCAAAACCCCAAAGCACAATAAATTGATTGTTAAAATATTTGGATTTCAGCGGGTTTTTTGCCAGGTAGGAAATGATCTAGACAGACATTCACCCAGCAAACAGCAATTCGGGACATGCCTGGCTTTAGCACTGAGTCACTCCTGGCCTTCAACATTGGAGTAGGTTTCAGCTAGAACTGGAGCTGGTTTATTTTCCAAAGGGTTAAGGCTGGAATACTTGGGCAGTGTTCCCAGTGGGCCCAGGAAAATTCAGGGGCAGGAGGTATCCAGTTGAAGGGCATCATCCTTCAAAAAGCACAAGATCATAGCTGGAAGTTGAGGAGCCCATGTTGCTTGTGAGTTGTTGGGTTGAAAGCAGGGAGAAGATCTGTGATCAGTGTCTGAAGTCAGAAAGCTGGCAAAATTCAGGACCCCAGGGGATAGCAGGCCAATACGGAAGTCAAGAAAGCCAGAGATTCAGGCTGCTGGGTTCAAATCCCACCTCACCCCTTACTGATTATCTGTACTAATTAAAGAATGTTAGGCAACTTATTAATGTCTCCAGGCTTATACATTTCTTCTATAAAACCTGGATAATAAAGGGTTGTGAAAATTAAATCTGTCTAAAGGATTTTTTTTTAAAAAAGAAAAAGATGGATTATTTTCTGCTGCCCTAAATTTGCTTACTTTTTTGTCACAACTGGAAGAGGAGAGAAGAGAAGGGTGGCAGTGTAGCATGGCATGAAACAATTTAAATAATATATTAAACCATAGTATTTGACTTTTTGAAAATGTGTTCCATAGCTCTCATTATAATTCTAGCCATAACTGTAAGATTTTTACTGTACTTCCTAAATACAAAGTGCTTATGAATTTTAGCTGGAGGAGAGCAGGAGTGTTCAGAAGCAAATGAAGATCCTGCAGAAGAAGCAAGCCCAGATTGTGAAAGAGAAAGTTCACTTGCAGAGTGAACATAGCAAGGCTATCTTGGCAAGAAGCAAGCTAGAATCTCTTTGCAGAGAACTTCAGCGTCACAATAAGACGTTAAAGGTTAGTTGCTTCATTTGTCTGTTTTTTTCAGGAGGGACTTATCTGATTTCATAATCAACCCTGTGCCTATCTGAAATAAATCCTTGTCTCTACTTGGAGACAGATACTGCCTTGCTTTTTATTTTGCTTGGCCTGATGCCTTGTGTGAGGTCATTGTAAATGTAAGACCAATTCTTTCTACGTAAGTTTTGGTTTCCTGTTCAAGGAAGAGCACCTTAGTTGCCTCATACTTGGCTCCCGGGAATCTACGCTCAAGGCCCTCCTGCTTAGAGCCATGGCTTAGGAAGCTCAGAATTGCCAGTTTTCTGCTGAGCACTGATACAGCTGATCACCAAGTAGGAAAAGCTGCAGTGAAATGAGAAACTAGTAACAGACAGTCTGGGAAGGGAGAACTGCTGAGCTCCTGGGTGGAGCATTGCCCAGTTCCACTGGCCCACCCCCAGCCATTCAGTTGCTAAGTACTTTTAGGAAACCACTTATACCTTGGCTGATTGTAAAGGAAGAGGGAATAGGTATCCAAAGATTCATTGATATCAACAGGGGAAGAAGGAAAGGAGCAGAGCCGTGGGAAGGAATCTGCCTCTTAGAATGGGACAGACTCCCTTTATGCCCTTTATGCCCCAATAAACTCCCTTTATGCCCCAACAAACTCCCAAGGCCCTAGACTATAAGTGCACTCTTGAAATGGATCTTCACCTGGTATGGGAGCCATTATTACCTTCTTTGCTTTTGAGCCCTTGGATTTAGATGTCAAAGTAAGTGGTATTTTTTTTTTCCCATAGGAAATCAATATTTTGAGTAGGCTGGTAACAGTTCAGACATGTAAAGGTCTTTTGACACTCATATCCTAGCAAGAATTGAAAGTAAGCTTTGAATTTTTTGTTTTTTCTTTTTAATCATCAGAAAGTAGTTACAGAAAGGAAGCTTTTTGAGATGAGGATTCCATTTGTCCTTTGCCCTTTAGGGAGTAAGTGTGACCCAGAAAGTAAGCTGCAAGGGGGCAGGATCTCTTCCGACCCATCTAAGATGATGGCCTGTGTAACCGGCGAGTATTGCAGTAGAGTGAATTGTAGACAGCCATAACATTTATTTTGTAGCAGGACAGTTTGCATCTCTCTGGTTATCTGTCTACTTAGGAAAAACTGCTTGCTTTTCAGTGATAGCCTTCTGGTCATAAATAAGGGGGAGGAATTGTAGTTCAGAAGCAACACGTCAGGGCAGCAACAAATGAACCCACATTGCAGCAGCTTCTCTTGTGAGCATCTTCTCTATAGGTCTGTATTATTAACAAAAATTATTTTGGGTAATAAGGAGGAAAATATGCAGCAGGCACGAGAGGAAGAAGAACGACGTAAAGAAGCAACTGCACATTTCCAGATTACCTTAAATGAAATTCAAGCCCAGCTGGAGCAGCATGACATCCACAACGCCAAACTCCGACAGGAAAACATTGAGCTGGGGGAGAAGCTAAAGAAGCTCATCGAACAGTACGCACTGAGGGAAGAGGTAATGGCATTTGGTTTATTTAAACGGCTTCTCAAGATTAGCAAAAGTGTCACCATTCATACCTAAAGTAAAACTGCTGTCACGGGTGTTTCAGAACTTTGCATATGCATAGTGGCAGTCGGTTATTTATTAGGAAACGATCAGGCACCACAAATGAGATCATCACTTGATGTCCCAGGAGTCACTGGGTTTGGGACTTATTTGAGGTTATTTCTAGGAGACCCGTTTAAGTACTGCTTGTCTTCCATGAAATACTGGAAGATTGCAATTTTCGCATGTAGATTGTTTTCCCTTATCCAGACTAATAGTGAATAAATATTTGGGCCCCAAATACCCTGTATCTCAGACATCTATGATAATCTCTACAGTATCCACTACCATTGCATTATACTTGTACAGTTAATGTTTCAGATTTTTTTTTTTTAAATGAGGGCTTTATATTATTTGGGAGGAAAAACCTACTTCTAACCCCTTCTAACCCCTCACACATAAGCCCATTGAGGGTAAAAAGTTTACTGGGAAGATCCATGGCTAATGAACTTGGCCATTGGCCTTCAATGAAGACTTTTGGAATTATTTTATAAGCTAATCTGGAAGTTCAGAGGTAGTGTCCTCTGAACAAAGCGAGGAACTTGAAAAACCAGGTTAGTACCTATTTGCTAGAAGGTACTAACCTGGTTTTTCAAGTTCCTCACTTTTAGAGGGCCGATGGACAGGGTTAGAGGCTTTAGGTTTTTTTAAATGGTGCATCTCTGCCTTTTAACATTTAGTAAAATGTTGGGCTTGTTATGTTATGTTCCTTACAGAAATGGATTCAAAAAGCTGATTCAAATTAAAAAAAAAAAAAGATCAGGCATCTGTGTGTTACTTTATCTTGTTTTCAACTCAAACTTTATAGTTTTACATACAGCCCTTCAAAAACTGCTATTTTTTTTTTAAAGATTTTATTTTTCTTACTGCCTTTTGTTTTTTTTAAAAAAAAATTATGGAAAATTTCAAGCTTAACAAAAAGTAGAGAGATAATATAGCACCTGGCTTCAGCAGATGAAACCGTAATTCCGTGTGTGTGTGTGTGTGTGTGTGTGTGTGTGTGTGTGTGTGTGTGTGTGTGTGTGTATAGAGACAGTTTCTTGCTAAATTGCCCAGGCTGGTCTTGAACTCCTGGGCTCAGGTGATCCCCCTGTCTTGGCTCCCCAAAGTGCTGGGATTGTAGATGTGAGCCACTGTACATGGCTGATAATTTCATCTCTGTTCCCCTAGATTATTTTGAAGCAAATCCAAGATGTCAAATATTCCATTGATATTTGAATGTATAGCTCAAAAAAGTAAGGATTTAAGTATAACCATAATACCAGTTTCATACCTAAAAAATTAACAAATAGGCCAGGTGCAATGGCTCACGCCTGTAATCCCAGCACTTTGGGAGGCCAAGGCAGGAGGATTGCTTGAGCCCAGGAGTTCGAGACCAGCCTGGTAATATGGCGAAAGCCTGTCTCTACAAAAAATACAAAGACTAGCCGGGTGAGGTGGTACTCACCTGTAGTCCCAGCTGCTCGGAAGAGTGAGGCAGGAGGATCACCACCACTGTACTCATGGCTGGGTGATGGGAGTGAGACTGTCTCAAATAAATAACAATTACTGAATATTAAGTATCTAGTCACTATTCAAATTTTTTGGATCAGCTTCTTTTTAAAAGAGAAATTGTTTGAAACAAGATCCAAAGAAAGTCCATTTCACTGGTTTATATAACGCCAGTCTCTAAAATATAGGTTCCCCCCCTTTATTCTTACACTGTATTTATTGAAGAAACGTCTTTTTTGTCATAGAGGTTAAATTTTCTTTTTATTAGATTATAAAGCCTTTAATTGTCTTAAAATGATTCTTTTAGTTTTGTTGTTTGTTTTGACAGTCTATGTACCTCATAACTGATGTAGCAGATTTGAAAATCAGATTTGTTTAAATCATATTGTATGTGTCTTATGTTATGTTCTTTGGTCAGAATATAATGATCAAATTACTTGCAGGCGCTCTCTTGAGAGCAGTCTGTGGTGCTCTCAATACATAGTTAGACCACCTTACTTCACCAACCAGCATTTTCCCCTCTCATGTAGGGTATTGTAACTGGAAGAGTTCCGTTTCTCCAGCTGGGAAGGGATTGTTCTGTTGACTTTATTATACATCAGTAACCACTTAACAGTTTTGTTTGGAAATACTAATGAACTTTTACCAAATGTCTAAAGTGTGCCAGGCACCAAGCACCTTACCTAGTGCCACCATCGCATTTACTGTTACAGCTCTGCAAGGTAGGTGGAGGTATCCCCCTGTACAGAGGAGGGCACTGCGCTCCAGCGTGGAGAGGAATTAGCCCAGGGCCACACACTGGCCAGGATTTGACCTGGGCCATTCCTACCATCATACCATGCTGCCTCCAGCTAAGGAATTTGGGAAAATATGGGGAGGGAAAAAAGGAACTGTGTGCATGATGTATGGTTTAGTACTTTGCTCTTCTTATCCTTCTTTGTCTTGGTGCACTCTGAGCCTTATTTTCAGTGTGGGGCAGAAATAGGAAATACCAAGCTGGTGAGGGGGACAGCCCATGTCTGACAGGGTGGGGGAACAGGCAACAGTCAAAGGGCCACGCTTCTGCCCATGTGGGATGGTTTGCAAGGTGGTGTCAAATTGCCGCTTCTCTCAGCGGAGTATACAGGGACAGAGAGAGAGCTGGTGTTCTTAGCTGCAGTGGTAGTAGCAGAACAGCAGGGTGAGCAGGGTGCTGTAACTGCTGTGATGTTTCCTCCCCACTGTGTTCCTTTCTTTGGTGAGTGATGGAAGAAACTCTCCTTTTCCCATAGCACATTGATAAGGTGTTCAAACATAAGGAACTGCAACAGCAGCTCGTGGATGCCAAACTGCAGCAAACGACACAACTGATAAAAGAAGCTGATGAAAAACATCAGAGAGAGAGAGAGTTTGTAAGTTCTACTTCTTAAAAACAAAGACATTATTGCCAACATTGTAACTGAGGCCATTTGAAACATCAAATTGTAACCAAGGCCGTTTGAAACATTTATCTATTCTACCTTTAATGTAGCACCTGGGGGCATGCCAGCTGGTGTTTTGCTGTAGATTGAGAAGAGAGTATGTGGTGTGTGTGTGTTAGAAAGCATTTGGCTGTTTATTTCTATTTAACCTTTTATACAGAAAATATACTGGAAAGATTATACCAAATCAGTGGGAAGACCTGCACTTGTTGTTTTTCTGTGCTTAGAATATTTAGTTCCCATCTTAGATAATGGTCATCAGGTTCAAGAGTTGTGTGCTCACATTTAGCATGTTAAATTTGGTGATTCAGTTTAACAACAAGCTTACCAAGCCACAGCTCTCCTATATATGATTACATTTTGTTTTCAAACAAGTAACTTGAAACTGGGGAAGTCATTTATTTACTTACTCTGGTATAATTTTCTGATAAAATTTAAACAGAATTCTCTACCCTAATCACTCAGCATTGTTGCCAGTGTATGCTCAGATTCTATTGCCTGTCAGTAATTGTGAATACAGTGGAATCTCATTGGGTATGTATATTACCATGTGCAAATTCAGCTAAGTGCTTATCCACAAGGGAGAAATGATTGCAATAATGCAGACTGTTGCATCCACAGCCCTGACATGAGCACAGTGTGAAGATTCAGTTCCTGAGTGGCCCTCGTCATGCGGGCATGTCACACTGAGTGCATCTAGGGTTTAGAGAGACATGTTTTTCACAGTGTCATCCTTCCATATGAACTGACAATAGTATCCAGTGTTCAGCTGAGAAATGGTTATCATTTCCAAAGTTGGAATATAAATTTTATACACACACACACACACACACTCATATTCATTACATGTGTGTACTTTCTGGTTGCTTCAGTAGGACTTTTCTAGGCTTCTTTGGACTATGTGTGATATTTTACTTCAGGGACTGAATTTCACAACTGCCTACTATGCAACTTTGTGATTTTCTTGAAAGCACAAGTACTATATATAAATGAAAATGTCCACCCCCTCCCCGCTTTCTAAAAAAGTGCTCAGAAACCAGGTCTCAAGATTGATTGCGTTGCTTTCCCCATACGCTTTCACTCTGCCTCGTCTTGCCTCAGGGAATAGCGGGGCTTTTCTAAGTCACCCAGATAATATCAAGATTATCAGCCGTGTTCTCTGCTAATACTGTACATGTAATTATTTTCACCTAAAACACAACAATTTAACTCTGAGTTTTAGAAACCATATTAGGCCCCCAGGGTACTTTTTCTGCTTCAGCAATAAAAAGATTGTTCCTGCATTCCTAAGTGTTAACCAGTGGGACAGATAGAAGATACAGGTAAATGGCAATTTGTGGAACAGACTGTTTCATCTGTAGACCTGTGGTTCTTGCTAAAATAGAAGGATGAAGCCTAACTCTGATCATTTGATATTTAGTCCTGCTTGTAATTACCATTAGCATTTTGCCAGAATGTTTCTGTTTTCTAGTTATTAAAAGAAGCGACAGAATCGAGGCACAAATACGAACAAATGAAACAGCAAGAAGTACAACTAAAACAGCAGGTAACTTCACAGCAGGGGATAGTACAATTTGTAAGAAAAATCTGTGGTTCCTTTGATTCTGCATATCTTCAATCTCCTCTAAGATGGTTTTGCTTTTTGCTTTTTCCCAGCCAGAGCTGACCAGGACTGAGGCAGAAATCTCATGGCCCTCTTGGTATTTTCCACTTTATTTAGGTTAACTACCTCATCCCAGTTTGCCCAGCACTTTCCTGGTTTTGGTACTGAAAGTCTCGTGTCCCAGGAAATGCCCCGTCTCAGGCAGCCTGGGACGGTTAGTCAACCTGTCTTCAGTGACCCTTTCTAAGAGCCCAGATAATTCCTCCCTTTTTCAGTCGGTTACACTAAATTTCCCACTAAAGGAAAACTGATACATCTGCATATTTTATTTATTTTGTATCAAGTTGAACCACGTGAAATTGCTAAACAAGACAAGAATATGTCCTTGGCCTAAAAAAATGGCAATTTCATATAGTGAACTCTAATATCTTTAGAGTTTTGTGCTATAAGCACGTAAGTTGTTTTAAAAACTACATATAGCTGGGTGTGGTGGCACGCCTGTAGTCCCAGCTACTCAGGAGTCCGAGGCGGCAGGATCGCTTGTGCTGGTGTTTTTCATCAGGGCCCTCCCTCTTGTTCATTCCAGACCCTGTAAGTGTGTCCTGCTGTGATCTCTCTCTGTGGTTGCCTTGTGTGGAATGAGTGTAGGAGGAGTTAGCTCCTTAAAAAAAAAAAAAGGTACAGGAAAGACTTGCCGTGGCTTTACAGATGGGTAAAATTAGGCATTTCTACCTATACATTCATCCTTTTTTTCAGTTAACTAGATTACATTTGGCTGAAAGAAGTGTTACTTAAAAGTTTATCATATAAGTTTTTGTGAAGACTCTAGATTAGCTGTAAAATAACACTGAGACCTTGAGACTGGCATGATCTTCATGAGCACCTCTTTGGAGTGCTGCTTTTCTTTGGGAACATCTTACAATGTGATGAATTTAAGGTCCTATAAAGCTAGCCTAACTTAGAGTGAATATTCAAGAGGTGTCAGATATGAGGAATCTTTGGAACCGAAGATCATGCCAGAAAGCTTCTAGGAGATTTGAATCTCTTACTTATCAGCCCTATACAGTCAGTTGTCCATGTAAATAGAGATGAGAATTGATGTGGAGAAGGTACGAAGTCTCCAGATGGCTTTGGAAGATGTTCCTGAACGTGGGTGTCATTGACAATGCTGCGGAAGTCACCAGAGGGCCCTTTTACCAAGCCCCCAGGCCAGCTCCAATTCTATTGTACTGTCACCATCGTAGCTTCTGTTGTCTGTGATCTGTACCACTCAGAGTCCTCTTATCCAGTCACTATTTGTTTCCTTTGCTGTCACCTCTTGTTTTCCTCTAAATGTGGCTGTCCTTCCCAAGCATGTCTCACCTTCTCTGCCCTCACCATGTCATTTCCCAGCATCTGCTGGTGTAACTCAAAGTCTTTGTGCTGTCTTCACCCGCTGTTTTGTAATCTAGCCATGGAGGTCCATGTGTGATAATAGTGGCCACTTATTGGCTACCCACTGGGCCAGCACTGAACTCTCACATGGGACAGTCTTTATTTGGATGTTCCATTTTCAATAAAAGTGGACTGTGCCTGCGAGGCGCAGTGGCTCATGCCTGTAATCCTAGCCAAGGCGGGCGGATCGCTTGAGCTTAGGAGTTTGAGACCAGCCTGAGCAACATGGTGAAACCCCATCTCTATAAAAGATACAAAAATTAGCCAGGTGTGGTGGTGTGTGCCTACAGTCCCCTCTATTCAGGAGGCTGAGATGGGAGGATTGCTTGAGCCCAAGAGGGAGGTCGAGGCTGCAATGAGCCGTGATTGCGCCACTGCACTCCAGCCTGAGCGACAGAGTGAGACCCTAAAGGACCACATCAAAACTGCTGTAACTTCTAATGTCCCTCAGGCACTAATACTGCTCCCTCCCTCTGCGTGAGCACCACTCTTGCCCCAACTCCAGGCCTGTCATGTCAGAGGCCCCGTCAGTGTCTGCTAACAAATCCTGTGTGTTCTCCAGGTCACCCTGCATTTCTCTTCCTGCTTTGTCCTCATCCCAGGCCAGGCCCTTGTGCAGATGTGGCTTGGCCATCTCACAGGGACCTCGTCTAGCCTAACAAGCACAAGGTCACTGTGAGATGACTAACTTTCAGTTGGCTTCTGCGTCCACCACACCACAGTGCGTGCTGCTTAAGTGCTTCCGGGATGGCCCGTCCCCCTGCTGGCTGTGGCTGGGCGGGCACCATCATATTCCACCCTGCCCTGCATCCTGTGCGCTAGGTGGTGCTGGTGAATATTCTGCATCCAGCACTGCTTATGCTGTTTCTTGGCCTCTGAAGATCCTTTATTCTTCTCTGCTTTTCTTATATCTATCGTGTGATCTTGCCCAAAATACTTTATTCCTCTGGGTCTCTCTCTGTTCCCCTATCCTGAAAATAATGTGATTATGTTGGATAGTCTCTGAAAGGTTCCCTCCTGGTCTAAGATGAACTCATTCAGCTCACCTATGAGGGCCAGCTCAGGCCTCCCACATGAAGCTTCCCCTAAGTATCCTGAGCCTCAGTGTGCCCTTCCCCGTATACTTCTCTGGACTCCTTTCTAAGGGGGAGAAGATGGTGACTCCATTTTATATTTTGCTTGCCTTGTTGGTTAGCATTTTTCCCTCATCCTTAAATAAAAATTCCTTGAGGGTAGGACTATGTTAAGAGTAGATCTCTTTACGTTTTCTTTTAATTTTACTCTCACCGAATTCTTCTTCCCCAACCAAACCAATTCTTTGGCTTCTGTTGCATTTTCCTCCCTTCGTTAAGGAAAGAGATACCATTGCTATCAAACTAAGAACTCTGCAGGTGGTATTCTAAAGGAATGATCTTTTCCCAAGGACAGTTTTCACTTGGCAGGAGAGGGGTAGTTGGGCGAGCACTCCACATGCATGACGTTTATAGTCACCACATCCTTCAGGCTGTGTTATGACCAATGGGTGGAGATCTAATATTAAAGTCAACAGAATGTCCTCAGTTTTAATGCATTTCTGTGGGTTGTCAGAACTTTAGCCATCTATGTCTGGTGTCCAAGGATTGGATGTGCATTTGTTCGTATTTCTATCACTTGTAATAAGTAACCATACTACGTTCTTTTGAAAGTTTGGGAACTGGAATTGTTTGCATGGAACTCAGAATGTTTCATACTTTTTTTCCTATAGCTTTCTCTTTATATGGATAAGTTTGAAGAATTCCAGACTACCATGGCAAAAAGCAATGAACTGTTTACAACCTTCAGACAGGAAATGGAAAAGGTATTTACATATTTTTAGTAGAATAGTATATCAAATGGAATTTGTATAAGCTCTTTTAAGTGTGATTACTATTTTGCTGAGTTTCCTTTGTTATGATACTGTCTTCATTTTCTCTTTAGTGATCCTCCAGTGGCATTTTTGGTCATTTTGCCCTCAATGTACCCCAAGTAGCTAATGTTCTCTATGCTCTTAGAATTCTACCTTTATTATAGTGAAATCCTATATTAAATGCAACTTGTTAGAAATAAAGTGGTGGTTTTTTTGGTGTGTTGCTGTTTTTTGTTTGTTTTAACCACTTTAGAGGATCATCCTCAGCCCTCTCATAAAACTCTGTGTCCTTGGAGATTAACTATTGAAAGACATCCAAGCCCAGAATAATAATCATATATTTTGGTTGGTTGATATATCAGTGTTTCTACCTTTTTTAGCTTCTCTGTTTTTCTTATCTTTACTCCCACTGAATTCTTTCTCCCCTGACCCAACCAATTCTTTTGCTTCTGTTGCATTTTCCTGCCTATGTTAAGGAAAGAGATATCCTTGAGATCAAGCTAAGGACCAAAGTATATAATTCTATGCATATCCAGCCAGCCAGCCAGCCTTATTTTACTTGGCATCCTTCCCTTAAAAATGGGGGATTTAAAAACATAGCGTTGGGTTGGGGAGAAGTACAGTAGTGCCTGGCACTTTGTTAGCATTCAGTAGATGTTAGTCATGACTATTATTAGATCTCACATAGTGGTGGAGACCGTGCGCCCTGGGTTAATGTCCCAGTTGCATCATAGAACGTGTGACTATGGACAAATTGTTAAACCTTTCTGTTCCTTCACTGTTAAAATTGGTAACAAAAACCTGCCCTTCATGAAATAGAGTATTTCAGACAGTGCTTGGCACATTAACATGTACTCAGTTACCATGTGGCTGATTGGTGCTCAAATTACCACCTCCAGGTATTTTTAGACCTGGTAATCTGGAGAATTCCATGAGCAGCAGATTCGTTCTGCCTGCCAGTCCTTTCAGTTGAGGCTGCAATTGAGGGGGCGCTGTTAGGCACAGTGCAGGTGATAGCTGGACGCCAGCACAGACTCACTGTTGAGGTGGAACAGAGAGTTCCCGCCTCCTGGATCTGCCATCCTTCTGGTCCTCTGGGACTGGAACACATTCCTCTCTGTCCGTGGCTGCAGAGATCACCATGGGTCAGCAGTCAACCTAGGTCTTCCACCAGCTCTTCCCATGGCCTTTGTCCCGGTTTGCCTTGTGTTACAGTTTTGTGGGTAATTACCCAAGGCACAGGGCACTGGCTCTGTCTTATCCTTGTTTCCCTTAACACCACCTGGCTCAATGCCCCGACCTGGATCAGAGCTGGTGTGCAGTCAACAGTAGATGAAGGCATATTGAGAAAGTAGCTAGCTACAGGCATGGATAAATGCATCCTGAATTTCTGAAAATTGTGTTCTGGTAGCATAGGTTTAACACTTCCCTGATTTGGGGACCCACTTTATCTTTAGCAAAATCTGAAGTAAATCAGCCTCACGAATTGTGAGGATGACCAAAGCTGAGGTATTAACTACTTTTATCTTCTTGGTCACTGGAGTCTTACCTGAATCATGCTGCCTTGAGTTCTGAAACTGATGTGTTCTTGGAGGTTGTGGTGGAGTGTCAGTTCTTAATGTCTTGTGGGGCTGAAGATCGCTGTCCTCCCAAGAATCTGAGGAATTCGTTTAATGGACAGAAAACTCAGTCATGGGCATTTTTTCATACAACTTAGGGAGAAGGAGGGCTTGTCTCTCGCTACCCGGAGCTGGGATGAAAGCTGCACTTCAGCCTTAACTGAGTTCAGAGTGTGGTGGCTGACAGCTTCCTCCATGTGCTGCTGCCTCTGAAATTGAGGAGATTAAATTTGTTTTTCTCATAATACAAACCCCCTTCTTTGGTTCCACCCTAGGAGCTTCTGAGATAAGCTCTGCTACCGACAGGCAGGCACAGCTACTTCTATAAAGACACACACAGCTGTCAGCTGGGTGAGGGAGGTGCAGGGATGGGGGAGGGGAGGGGCACAGAAACATTTTTGTGTACTGGGACAGGGAGTAGAGATAAGGAAGGGAACTTAGAATTTAAATGTGCAATTGTATTCACAGATGACAAAGAAAATTAAAAAACTGGAAAAAGAAACAATAATTTGGCGTACCAAATGGGAAAACAATAATAAAGCACTTCTGCAAATGGCTGAAGAGGTGAGATGGTTTCCTGCGACTAAGGTGTAGTCTTAGTCATGGGGACTCCTTGAGTTCAGGTACCTATCGGGGCCGGGGACGTGTGCTGTAACACTACTACCATAGTTGAGGACTCCAGCCCGCGTTGGGGCGGGGGTGGGGATGAGTTGCTGGGTAGAATCTGTGACTTCTTTCCTGGCAGTTAGGTTAGGGACAGGGCCCTGAGTGAGGGGCTGAGCTTCCTACCACCCAGTTAATCAGCCCAGGCTTGTGTCGGAGATAGCATAAAACATCTAGATTTTGCTTTCTTCTACAGCAGTGATTTCTCAAACTTGAGCTTGCATCAGACGCCTGCTTGTTAAGACCAGGATTGCTGGGCTTCTCCCAGAGGCTGAGTCACTAGTTCTTGGGGGCGGAGGCAGATAATCCGCCTCTCTAACAAGCATGCAGGTGATGCTGATGCAGCATGTAGGGCCTTTCTAGCTTGACTTATTAGGCTTTCAAAAAAAGCAACAAAGTACGTTTTGCCTGTTTTATATAACACTTCAGGAAAGAAAGAAAACGCTGGGGCACATGTGTACAAGAACCTTGTTCTCGGCTGGGCACAGTGGCTCACGCCTGTAATCCCAGCACTTTGGGAGGCCGACGCAGGCGGATCATGAGGTCAAGAGATCGAGACCAGCCTGGCCAACATCGTGAAACCCCGTCTCTACTAAAAATACAAAAATCAGCTGGGCGT
This sequence comes from Homo sapiens, assembly GCF_000001405.40. Classification (NCBI taxonomy): domain Eukaryota; kingdom Metazoa; phylum Chordata; class Mammalia; order Primates; family Hominidae; genus Homo; species Homo sapiens. The sequence continues at coordinate 16,840,635 of NC_000023.11, forward strand.
AGTGGCACGTGCCTGTAGTCCCAGCTACCCAGGAGGCTGAGGCAGGAGAATTGCTTGAACCTGGGAGGCGGAGGTTGCAGTGAGCTGAGATTGCACCACTGCACTCCAGCCCGGGCGACAGAGCGAGACTGTCTCAAAAAAAACAACAAACTTCTCATCTAAAAATTGGAAGAGGAGAAATCTATGTAGAAGTGAGTCATTTTCTGTATGTAGGCCTTTGTGTCTGCTACTCTTTGTCATATCTTGAATTTCCTTAATAGTTCAATAGGAAATGTCTTAAAAAGTTTATCTTTGGCTCACGCCTGTAATCCCAGCGCTTCGGGAGGCCAAGGCGGGCAGATCACGAGGTCAGGAAATCAAGACCATCCTGGCCAACATGGTGAAACTCCATCTCTACTAAAAATACAAAAATTAGCTGGGCGTGGTGGGGCGCGCCTGTAGTCCCAGTTACTCGGGATGCTGAGGCAGGAGAATCACCTCAACCCAGGAGGCAGAGGTTGCAGTGAGCCGAGATCACGCCATTGCACTCCAGCCTGGCAACAGAGCAAGACTCTGTCTCAAAAAAAAAAAAAGTGACAAAAGGAATTTAATTTTGTCCCCCTGAAACAATATGCTAAATCTCATTCGGTATAGTTATGGGTGCAGTCATGCTAGCTAGCTAGAATGTTAGGAGGCTGAAGAGACGGAACATGTTCCATAGGTGAGAAGTGTCCAATATGGCTGAGCTGGCTTAATTTTTTTGTAACCTGATTGATATTTAACAGGGTTACAGAAATCCTCTTTTTTCTTACAGAAAACAGTCCGTGATAAAGAGTACAAGGCCCTTCAAATAAAACTGGAACGGTTAGAGAAGCTGTGCAGGGCTCTTCAGACAGAAAGGAATGAGCTCAATGAGAAGGTGGAAGTCCTGAAAGAGCAGGTATCCATCAAAGCGGCCATCAAAGCGGCGAACAGGGATTTAGCAACACCTGTGATGCAGCCCTGTACTGCCCTGGATTCTCACAAGGAGCTGAACACTTCCTCGAAAAGAGCCCTGGGAGCGCACCTGGAGGCTGAGCCCAAGAGTCAGAGAAGCGCTGTGCAAAAGCCCCCGTCCACAGGCTCTGCTCCGGCCATCGAGTCGGTTGACTAAGATGAGGTGTGATCACTGTATTGAGAGATATATTTTGTGTATAACTTTCTCTGTTAGTAGTTAACTATTGGTTTTGTGGTGAAAATTTTCTTACTTTTTCTACCATATCTGTATTTTCTTAGAACTACTGGACTTATGTGGTACAGGAGGCTGCTTAGCAGTTTTGAATAGTTTAATCTATAAATTTTCCTCAGCTGTGTTGCACATCAGCCTCGTTCTCCCTCCACTGGAATGCATGTGTTCATTGCCTTGTCCTTTCTCTCCCTGCTCCTTGCACATTATCATCCTAATGAAAATTTCACTGACAGGGCCGACCATTACAAGGGAACTTTGTTCTGACGATGGTTCCTTGATGTGAAAACAATATTAATTTAAACGTCTTAGCCCCCCCCCCCATAATATTATTCAGAAAAACAAAATACCAAGGCGATTAGTTTTGTCTAATAACCCATTTAAATGCCAAGTAAAAATAAAACTCCTAGTGTTGGGTCAGAAGCATATTTGATTGAAATTAGCTTTTTGAAAACATTTATATCTCGGGACAAATTGAGATGGCCACATGCCTAGAATCCTAAGTTTCGGCAGAATATGTATATAAAGATGTCACTTGTGGACAAAATAGTACATAGAGGCAAATCACTAGACAAATAAGCTTAGTGTTTACGTGACTGAACAGTCATCCTGCTTTGGTTTCAGGTGTGGGATTTGGACCATGAGGGGCTCCCGTAGAGGATGGCGGTTTGTGTTTGATTCTGATTTGGGATTTCAGTACATATTCTCCACTTCCCATAGAAGGCCACTTATTCTTTGAAAACTGGTGTTCATGTTTGCCGTTCAATGAAGTCCCTTGTCAAAGACAAGGACGGTCAATTCACGTGTCACTTTCACTAGGCAGAAGTTTCTCCAATACCTTCTGGCTACTTGAAAGTTACTACAAAAATTCCACCAGCAAAGTACTCCAGGTTTTTCAAAAGGGAATTTTCATTATGGATCAGTACCAACCGAAATTGATTTTCATTTCCAAAACAAACACTGGCACCAACATTTTTACTTTGGGAAGACTTGGCAGAGTGTTAGTCATGATCTGTTACTTACGTGTTCAGTCTGTTTTCTCACCCCCTTCTTAGTTACCATCTCTTTTTTAAGAAGAAAAAAGAAAAGCCACAGTATTATCAAGGTCTCTACACTTGGACTGGGGGAAAATTTGAAATTAAGCACATAACTTTTGAATTAGTTCTTTGTTTCAATGTTGAATGTGGCGCAGTTATGCAGATGATTAATCAGGCTGCACTGATGGAAGTTTTGACTTTGTCCCTGGTATAATTTGCATTGAAATGCTTTATGAAATAAAAGGTTCTACTAGAACTGATGTTAGCACATTCCACTGAGCAAAACTATCAGACTGACACTTGTTAAATTGCTTACTGGACTGAATAAACTCTGTTTTGTCCAGTTAAAAGGGTTTTCTCTTTGTTACAAGTGTTATTTGTAAAGTCCTGTCACATTCATGGTCGAAACTGGGTTGAAAGAATTGAAAATTGTCCAACAGATAGATAGATAGGAAACCGCCTGGAGTGGAGGAGGGTTGTATCTAAGCCTCCACTATCAGTCATGTTAATTCAAGGGGCCACAGTGGAGGAAAATAAATCCACAAAGTAGATTATCTAATTACCATCAAAATGAGTCAGAAGCAAAAAACACCACCCTCCAACAGCCTCTTAGGAGTACACCCTGTTCTGCTACTAAAATACTAGACTCATTTCCCTGGTGGTGGGGGGGAATGCAGGTATAGATCAGAAATATAATCCACCTTAAAATTAGTACTAATGATCACATTATTTCACAAGAACTCTGCTGGATGTACAGCTCTTAACATTTTATTAAGCCATTTGTGTAGCCCACCACGTTTCTTTGTGGTGCTTGTCCTGTGTGGAAGATTGTAAATCTTGGGCCTGTTGCATACTTCCAAGGGCTTTAAAGCAATGTGATTAACAGTACTTGGCCTGCTGCTTTTGGCTTACTTTGTATTTTTAGCTAGATGCTATTATAGTGTTGAAAGGATATGGATTCTGTCTGGGATGCATTTGTTGTCCTTTCAGAACCCTTCCTCCCATTACCCTGTGAATAAAAACAAATGGGACCCCCTGAGAAGGACATCTTCCTACAGTGATCACCTCACCAGCCCAGTGTTGTGGCTTTGTAGCGCACCCCGTATCTACCATATTCTAGAACACTGTAATGCTACTAGGCTGGCCCAGAAAAGGTTTAAATGTTGAATTCACTTAAATTGCAATTGTTGCACCATCATGGAATCGTGATGTGTATTATTTATATTGGCGGTGGACTCCAAGGTGTAGAGAAAACTTGGGTCTTGGGTAATATGGACCATTTCATCCTCAGACTTGTTAGGAGTACATTTCTTGGTCTTGAGACCAGTATTTTTCAGTTATGTATGCAACTGCCTTTATTACACCTGGTTATCACAATTCAATTCTCAGGTGTTGCAGAAAAATCTACCTCTTTCAGACTGTAGATGGAAATAACTGTGAAAAAAATGATGCAGATATCTTCTAGTTTGTGCTAAACACACTGCTTTATTTTTACAGCCCACGTCTTTCATGAGGATACGAATTGTTAAGAGGCAGTCTCGTTTTGCTTTTCAAAGACATTTTGTAGAGATTTTTCACTAATGTGAATCTGATTTTATCTACTTGATTCTGTATAGATTAAGTAAATATGTATGATAAACTTAACAGCTTCTGTGTATTCTTTCATTATCCATGTGACCTTAACTGTAGGAGTCCAAAGGTACCATTTTACCCATTTCTACTCAAAAAGTAGACTCCCCCGCCCCCCCCCACTAAGCTTTTAAAAAAACACAAGTTTTATTTTAAAACTTTATTTCTGCAAAGCCAATCAAGAAGTGTTGGAAGGAAAAAGTGTAAAAGTTATTCTTGCATATTTGGGAACAGCAAGCACTTAGTTTGAGAAAATGAGGACTTAAAACAGTTGAATCAAAGGCAATACCCTGCTACTTGTATTTAAAATCAATGGTGATGTTCTTTCTTAAGCAACATTCTTCTCTTCCCTAATAGCTACAATATGATACAGTACGCAACAGCTCACTTGAAAGTGCTAGAATCAGAGGATAAAGAAGCCATAAGCCACCCCACTTACATTTCCTACTATACAATGCCTTTTTGGCGCTTGATAAATCAAGCATTCATGTAGCATTACATTCAACAGAAACATTTCTCGTACTTTGGGTTTAAGATCCTTGTCCCTCCAGTTCGGATGTCGTGACATCTGACTCTTCATCATTGTAAATATTTTCAGCCTGGAGATAACCAAATAAATTCACAGGTAAAAACTCCCTATGGTTTTCACATGGTCATGTAAAAACAATTTAATCTATTTAGAACTTAATAGTTTCATTTTTACATTTCTCTCTTAAAAACTTCAATAAGGAAATGGTAGGCTAGCCAGTATTTTGAAAAATTCTTTGCCAGTGTGTAATTCCGTATGTATACTTAGCCACCCATCGATGCACTACTTATTTCAATCACTGTTCATAAGAGATGTTTTCCAAAGGCACTTCAAGCATCGTTTAGAGGAAGTGGTAGCCCAGATGTTATGGAAGTCTCGGTTAACAACAACTTAGAAATGTCAGCTACTTAGTGCTCATCCTCAGAGAACTTGCTGTCATTTGAATGCCTTGACCTCTCCTTCCTGTATCCCTCATGCCTACCACACAGAACAGACACTGGAGACAGAGTAGCGACGCCAAGACTCCAGTGTATGAAGAGCACAACAACAATGAAAATCAGTGCAGATGCAGAGATTTCTCCTGACCTGACAGGTGCTACAAATAGCAAACAGTGGACGAAGCACCATATGGGACTAAAGATTGTATTGTTGAAATGGAAAAAGTTCTTTTAAACGGTTTCTGTAAATGTTTGGCATAATATGCACCTACATATTCGAAATAACTTTATTACATTATGTAAGTAGTAAATCTCTCCTTTACAAGACAGTCATTCAAGAAAAACATTTTAACTCACCATTTGCCATATCTGCATGATGTTATCCTCAGACACTGAGCAAATGACCCAAGGCTCATTGGGGTTCCAGCTAAAATCTGAAATCTTAGCAGTGTGTCCTCCATGAATAAACTGTTACAAGAACAAAAAAAGCTTTGATTTCATATACTCTCCTGTTAATCCTAACAAAGGTTTTACTAAGTTTTTAGAGCTATCAGTATTTCAACTGGGGGTGGGTGCTGTCTGGTTTTAGAAGGTGGTACAGGCTCAGTAATCTATTTATACTTATTTTGCAAATTTCCAAACCTCCAGAATAGGTGACAGAATATAGTACAATGGATACCTGTATACCCTTTACCTAGATTCACCAAGTGATACTAGCATAACTGATGCTTTATCCATGAGCCTATACAATGAAATGGCTGAAGACTTCAGCCTGCATCCCTTAAGAATGAGGACATTTTCCTAGTCAAAATGCCATTTCCATACTGATTATGATGAACATTAATCCAGCATCATTTGCTCATATACAGTTAGGTGCAAACATCTAAGGTAATCAATCCGTTATATGCCATGTAACATACTCTTCTATTATACAAGGGGCCTGAGGAGTCTTCTGGTTCTTCCCCTCTCCACTTTACTGAGAGAGGCATACTTCTTGCCCATCTTTCCAACGTACACAGACAGCACCAGGGTGAAAGAAAATCCCTGGCTCCAAAAGCATAGCTCCAGATAGTCCCTCATAAGCTATGCCTAAGGTGAGAGCTTTGCTAAACAATTCTGAAGAGAGCAGTTGTTCCCCGCAAGAGACAACCTCGTCGGAATGCACTATGCCTTATTTTTTTATCTTAGAATTAAGATTTAAACGAAACACTTCTTCACAAGGACAGTACTAAATACACTGTTTGGAACTGGGACATCACACTTTCTGACAAAGTCTGATTTGACTCTAGTTTGACAATGAGGTCTCTGCCTGCCAACTAGGTATTATGCAATGTATCTATTTTACCGAATAATCTTATCGGGTTAAAAATATGAGGTGGGGCTGGGTAAAACTCACGCCTGTAATCCCAGCACTTTGGGAGGCCAAAGCAGGCGGATGGCTCGAGCTCAGGAGTTCAAGACCAGCCTGGGCAACATGACAAAACCCCGTCTCTACAAAAAATACGAAAATTAGCCGGGCGTGGTGGGGTGTGCCCATAGTCCCAGCTACTCAGGAGGCTGAGATGGGAAGACAGCTTGAACCTGGGAGGTGGAGGTTGCAGTGAACTAAGACTGCGCCACTGCACTCCAGCCTGGGTGACAGAACCAGACCTTGACTTAAAAAAAAAAGAGGTAAATAGCTTTTTAAAGTACTCTTAAGGGGTACACAAGTGAATATACTGGCCGGGTGTGGTGGCTCACGCCTGTAATCCCACCACTTTGGGAGGCTGAGGCGGGCGGATCACGAGGTCAAGAGATCAAGACCATCCTGGCCAACATGGTGAAACCCTGTCTCTACTAAAAATACAAAAATTAGCTGGACATGGTGTTGCGCACCTGTAGTCCCAGCTACTCGGGAGGCTGAGGCAGGAGAATCACTTGAACCCGGGAGGCAGAGGTTGCAGTGAGCTGAGATTGCACCACTGCACTCCAGCCTGGGCGACAGAGAGAGTACTCTTAAGGGGTACACAGGTGAATATATTTTAAGATCACTGGGGCTTAGAAAACATACAGGAGTTATCAAAGCATACTGGTGGAATAGTTTACTACTTTGTTTTTGGGACAGGGTCTCACTCCCATTGCCCAGGCTGGAGTGCAGTGGTGTGATCATGGCTCACTGCAGCCTCAACTTCCCGGGCTCAGGTGATTCTCCTACCTCAGTCTCCCAAGTAGCTGGGACTACAGGCACGCGCCACCACACCTGGCTAATTTATGTATTTTTTTTTTTTTTTGGTAGAGACAGGACAGGGTTTTGCCATGTTTCCCAGCCTGGTCTTGAACTTGTGGGCTCACGTGATCCACCTGCCTTGGCCTCCCAAAGTGCTGGGATTCCAGGCAGGAGCCACCATGCCCAGGCCCAGTTTACTACTCTCAAATGTCCCTTGATTTCAAGCTCTCTTGTAAAAAGCAAAATCCTAGTGTATTTTCTCAAGGACCTTGGAATTGTTGCAGAGGCATAATATACAAAGTAATACGCTTTCCTTTCTCCCTAAAAAAAATAGCTGGAGACCTTGAAAACATTGTACTATGTGAAAGAATCAGTCCCAAAAGACAAAAGTCATATTTATATGAAATATCTAGAATAGCCCAATCTTATAGTGCCAGAAAGTAGCACAGTAGTTGCCAAGGGCTGGAGGAAGAAGAGAATTGGGAGGTGATAGCTATAGTTTCTTTTGGAGGGGATGAATAATGTTCTAGAATTGATTTGTGGTGATAGTTTTACAAGTCTATGAATATACTAAAAACCACTGACTTCAAGAACAAAAAAAGAAAAAAAACCCCCAAAACCCAAGAACACTCCCTCCCCACTGAACTGTACACTTTAAAGAAGTGAACTGTGTGGTATGTAAATTATATCTCAGTAAAGCCGTCATCAAAATAAAAGGGTCTGGAGCATTCTTACAAGGTGGGCTTAGTGAACATCTTCTGTGTGCAGGGCTTGCTCTCAAGGACCTTCTTTACCTTTGAAAACTTGTGGACATTCAATATACTCCATAGGTTCACAGAAAAAATGAATAAATAAAACTCATGGACAAAGTACAAGTGTGCCAAAAATGAGTACTGGCATTAGAACTAAAATCGTAAATGACAGAGTGATGAGTGACTATCGGCCAAATAATGGGAGGAGACAAATGTTGGATTCAGAGCAAGGACAGGGAACCATTGCTAAATCCGGCAATGCTTCATAGAAAAATGACGAAGTGAGCACTGAAGGACTCAGACGGGAAGAATGAGGATGGGCAGATACCACCACATAAGCTTTCAAAGGGCCAAGGAGATGCGTGATGCTTCAATCAGGCATGGGAGGGAGATAGTGGGCTCTGCTAACATCAAGATTGAGAAAGCACTCCTTTTCTGGGCAGGAAACTTAAAAAGCATTTAAAATTTTTTCTATACTGTTAGGAAATGTTAAGTACTGCCAACTGAATAGCAATTATACTCACTCCCCATCCCCAAACCATCACAAATACCAGAGTTGAAATCAGTGAGAAATTACTATATACTATTTTCCAGGACCTCAAACCATTCTCAGTGAAACATTCATAAAAACCTACTGGGCTCCATTTACTATTTTTGATAAATGTCAAAGCCCAGTTGCAATAACCTTCAGGGCCTCCATTTTGAAACCATCTGCAAGAGCTAGAATTCGAAGTTCTGACCCATTCTCGAAATAAAGAGATCAATGACAATCCAATCTGCATATGACATTTCATCTTCTATAAGCCAATGCGTACCAGGAGTTCTGGAGGCCCATCTTCTGCATCTTCTGCTGATTGTTCTTCCCCAATTTTACTGTAAGAATAAAGAATATAACGCTTTCATCAGTGAAATTCTTGTAGCACGAACATCTGCTAAACCAGTATCAGCCCAGAAAGTAATCTTAAAACATAAACACACTCACAAAAACAACTTATTTCTATACTACAATCAATTAGGTTTTTTTTTTCCTTAGAGACATGGCCTCGCTATGTTTCCCAGGCTGCAGTCAGTAGCTATTCATTCACAGGCACGATCACTGTGCACTACAGCCTTGAACTCCTGGGCTCAAAAGCGATCCTCTCGCCTCAGCCTCACCACATCTGGCTACTGTTTATATTTGGTGTAAGGACGGGATGTTTACTTTCTGGAAATAAGTTAGAGTTGTTCATAATTGAAGTTGCAGAATGAGGAATTATTGTCAATAATAAACATTAACTCAAAATCCCTTCATTAACTGTTTATTGCCTTAGAATTAAAAGGTGAAATGTATAGTTAAAAAAATCTACACATAAACTGATGTGCAATCCCTATACTTCACTCAAAGCCTGTTGCATCCCAGGAGTAAAATATAATTACAAATCAGTACTATAGATCTGTCTAAAGATATGGCAATAAAACTTTGAGAAATGTGTAAGCCAAGGAAATGTTTTTATGGTTTTTCTCTTAAAAACTTCAATTTGTAGAATTTGCCAGTGCTCAACAGTGAAATCACTCTTTATGTATCAATATCAGCCCTGTCCTTATACCTAGCCCAAAGACTTTAGTAGTAACAACTACTAAAAAACAAAACCCAGCCCTCCAAGTGAGACATTTTTTTCCTTCCCACAAAACTAACCAAACAATCTCAAACCTGTGGGATTGCTAGACAATACTTATCTTCCACCTGTCAGTATAGTTGCTAAAACTCACCATTTTAATCCCAAATTTTATCTAATGTAATTTTACAATTTTTTGTAGAGACAGGGTCTATGTTGCCCAGGTTGGTCTCGAACTCCTGGGTTCAAGCGATCCTCCTGCTTCAGCCTCACAAAGTACTGGGATTATAGACATGAGCCGCCATGCCTGGCCCCCTATCTAATGTAATTTTAATATTAAACAAGCTAAGAAATAATTCTAAGAAGAAATTACACACAATGCTCACAAATTATTGGCACCTTCAGGGGCAATTCAGTTGCCAGGGCATCAGACTTCCAAACCTTGCTGTACGCTTCATACAACCTCTTTATAGTTTTGATTTAGGTTTTATTTTACTACTAAAATTGTTTTTAAATCAAATACAATGCCCCCAACTGTCTGCTTTAAAGGTTTTCTACATCTTCAAGTATTTATCACGGCAAGAGTTTGCTCCATCAGAACCCTGAACATTAGCTATTTTAAGTTTTACATACAAGCATTTTATTCTCCAGCGTCTCTTCTATATACTGAGGATTACTGCCTCTATAATTAAGGCAGCCTTGGTTTTAATATATAGGTTGAGCATCCCAAATCCAAAATGTTCCAAAATCCAAAACTTTAAGCACCACGTGACACTCAGAATTTGGACTTTCACACCGAGTGCAATGGCTCATGCCTGTAATCCCAGCACTTTGGGAGGCCAAGGCGGGAGAATCACGTGGGGTCAGGAGTCTGAGACCAGCCTGGCCAATATGGCAAAGCTCTGCCTTTATTTATTTATTTTTTTAGTAAAAAATACAAAACCGGGCATGGTGGCTGTGGCAGTGCTTGTAGACCTGTAGACCCACCTCCTCGGGAAGCTGAGGCATGAGAACTGCTTGAACCTGGGAGGCAGAGGTTACAGTGAGCCAAGATTGCGCCACTGCACTCCAGCCTGCGTGACAGAGCAAGATTCAGTCTCCAAAAAAAAAAAAAGAAAAGAAAAGAAAAGAAAAAGAAGAAGAATTTGGACTTTCAGTTCAGATTTGAGATGCTCAACCAATAAAGTATAATGCAAATATTCCAAAATCCTAAAAATTCCAAAACCCCAAACACTTCTTATTCCAAGTATTTTGGATAAGGGATATTCAACCTGTACTAAATTCAGTCCACTTCAAAGCAATATATTTAATACAAGCAGGAAATAAGTTATTTTTTGGTAATTTTATGATTTAAACTTAAGATGACATCTTACGGAGGAGTATGTAACTGAGCAACTTTATTAAGTTCTAAAGGCTCAGATGAACAAGTAAAGGAGTCTAAAATTCTTAGAACAGCAAGTCTGAACTAAAGGAACTTTAAAAATTGGCAGAAACTCTTTATACAATGAGGCCCCAGAGAACATAAGCTCTCTGACAGCTTGGGCTGTCCTTGTCCCCTTCACAAAGGTCTCCCCAGCAGTTACACAACCCACAGCAGGAGTGCACATCTGCAGAATGAATCACTGAAAGCAAAGTAAATGGTACAAAAACCCAGAAAAAACAGTCCTGCCTACACGTACTGAGATCCAATGAGACATAAAACAGCTAACATCTTGATTTCTCTATATCAAGTGTGTTTTAAATACAGTCATTTGAATGCAAAAACAAAAACAGACACATACACCTTCATGCCTGAATATTAAGAGACAAAACTCACACTAGAGAAATTTATTTTATGGTCCATTTGCTGCTTCACTTCTATTTTACAGAACAAAGGCTCTTTAGGAAGATGCTTAGAAGTTTCTTTAATATTAGGTTTCTTGAAGGGGGGATTACCAAATTGCTTTTCTAGTTTATGAATGACTATGTAACTTGCCAGATAGGCACATTTATGCAGTATCTTGTCACAGGACTGTAAGTTACCTTAAATCCCACACATTCAGGCGGCGGTCAGTACCACTTGAAGCCAGAATAGTTTCATTATGTGGAGACCAGTGGACCTAGTAATAGATAATTTTGAAAATGTATTTAAAGAATCATCCGCTGCTAGGTTTGTGGCTGTTGTTCTAATCTGATATTTTCCCATCTTGCACTCTATTATCTTATCCTTGGCCTGATGGCCTCACTCTCTTGTCCCCGACTTTCAAGTGCTCTGCAAGGGCTCAGCTCCATCCTGTCCTCAGGAAGGCTGCACTCCCCAGCACTGAGGAACTCAGCCTGGGATCTCAATAAATTTATTCGACCCCATAACCATCCCAGAAGCTTTTTAATTCTTCAACAAGGTGTACCTTACCCTATGAGCATCTCCATGTAACACCACGTACAAGACATTTTTTTCAATAGTGGACCCACGAGTCTGGTATAGCTTAACTGATGAATCCCTGGATTTCATTTCCTGACATACAGACACCAGAAAACTGTCACATACCTGGAAAATTTCATCTTTATGAGATTCGAAGGTATGGAGTTTTAATTTTAAGTTACGCAGATCCCATAAAGCTACGGTCTAAAGAAAAATAACAAGTGAAAATGATTTCTATGCTTTACCTAAGAATTTTCAAATATCTGATTAAGGCACAAGAGAACTGGGTTTTATAAACACCAAATAATGCAAAAACTTCGAAACCTTATCCGCAGAGCCGGTGGCTAGAATAAATTCGCTGTAGGGATTGAATGAGAGGCAGTTGACTTCGGCAGTGTGCGCATCCACCAAGTGACTCGGCTTGGAGGTGGTATTGGACCTGGTGTCCCATCTAAAACACAAAGGTAAAGGCACACGGCACCCAGGGATGACACACTCACATTCGGCCTCACATCACTGTCACTGCACTCCACAACTAGCTCCACTATGTGCTCCCCTTCATGAAGAAACCAACCACACAGCTGGTGATTCAGACCTCGACCACTAAATGATACATTCGAAACCTACAGAGAACAAGCTAGGGCTGTTAGTCCTGTTTTTTAAATTAGATTCCTATTTTAATTACCAACTATTTCAAGTGTACACAAAATACAGACTATGTAGAGAATAATGTCACAATCTGATACCTAAAACTAGTTTTGACAAATGCCCAGTATTTTGTCACATTTGCCTCAGGTATTTCTTTATAAGATTATAAGTGAATGAAGCCCTGTGGCCACACCTTGATGAAATCATTTTCCTCCTCGACCTCCAACTGGCATCACTCTGGATCTCAATTTTGATATTTACCACCACACCAAGTATGTTCCTTCACATGTCCATACCTAGTTTTCTTTTTTTCTAAATAATAAGTGATCCTCCCACTTCAGCCTCCTGAGTAGCTAGGACTACAGGTGCACACCACCATACCCAACTAATTTTTTGTTTTTAAATTTTGTGTAGAGTCTCACACTCCTGGTCTCAAGCAATCCTCCTGCCTCAGCTTCCCAAGGTATTGAGATTACAGGAGTAAGCTACCTAAAGCTGTTTTTTAAAGCCATAACTTAAAAAAAAAAAATCAAACTACAGCCTGCAGCAATCACTGATGGTCATTCAGGTCACCCATTTAACAAGATCCCACTGAATTTTCCACCTTACATCATAAGTTTCTGATCATCAGCAACAGATCCAAACAATGACTCGTGCAGCAGGTGCCAGGCCACATCCTCTACAACAGCTGAGTGGCCAGTAAAGATGGCTTTAGCATCCACAATTTTGCCTTCTTTTGGTCCTGCGTTTATATCCCACAGACAAACAGTCTAAGAGAGAAGGAGAGAAAAAAAAAAGAACAAGGGCTATAAGAGACTGATTTTTTTTTTTTTCCCTCGAGACAGTGTCTCAGTCTGTCACCCAGGCTGGTGCGATCTCGGCTCACTGCAGCCTCCGCCTCCAGGGCTCAAGCGATTCTCCTGCCTCAGCCTCCTGAGCTGGGATTACAGGTGCAAGCCACCATGCCTGGCTCATTTTTTTTGTATTTTTAGTAGAGACGGGGGTCTCACCATATTGGCCAGGCTGGTCTTGAACTCCTGGCCTCAAGTGATCCGCCTGCCTTGGCCTCCCAAAGTGCTGGGACTACAGGTGTGAGCCACTGTGCCCGGTCAAGAGATTGAATTTAAATGCTAACATCTTATTTAAAATAATTTCATTACAAACAAAACTATTCAACTATATAAGTTTGAGGTAAACACAAGAGAGAAAATATAAGCAAACAGAAGAGTATGTGGCTGCAGCCTCCATGTGAGGTGCAGAGGAAAAGGACACTCCACTGTAATGAGGGGGAGGGGAGACTGAGTACAGTGGCAGGCAAGGACACTGATGCTGGAATTTCTACCTACATACATTCAGACATTCAAGTACCCCAAATTCACTTAGACAACACAACAAATCACCAAGAGCCCGGCGCTCAGCATCTACTGAACACAAATGCACATCCTAAAAGTTTACACTGGGATGGGAAGACTGGGAATTAAAATTAAACTCTGCCTCTCACATAGCAAAAGCCTCATGGACAAGTCTTTCACTTCATGGCAGAAACCACCACAGACATCAGGAGATGGGACAGGTAAACGACACTGGGCCAGAAACCTCTACTAGTCTACTCTGAGAGGTCAAGGCCTGGCGCCCACAGACAGATCCCCAATGATGTGCTCCTTGAAACGTCAGCAGAGCCCAAGCAGAGGCCATGGGGCCTCTGCTTGGGCCTCAAAGGTCACAGCAGCCCACAAATAAGGAGGCCTCATGATGTGGGCCTTGACATCCTATCACAGAAAGAGTTAAGAGGAAAGTTTTAATGAAAAAATATTGCAAGGTATAGGGCAACGATTCTCATTCAATAGTTAATAAGAAATAATACCATGAAGGTATATTAGCACTAATTATAGTTCCACCGACACTGGTATGGGTTTTTTTTTTTTTTTTAATTCATAGCACGTGATCATGAAAGGGCTTCATCTGTTTTTATTAAATCACCTTTTTTTTTTTTTTGAGACGGAGTCTCACTCTCTTGCCTAGGCTGGAATGCAAGGGCACAATTTTGGCGCACTACAACCTCCGCCTCCCGGGTTCAAGCAATTCTCCTCCCTCAGCCTCCCGAGTAGATGGGATTACAGGTGTATGCCACCAAGCCCAGCTAATTTTTTTGTATTTTTAGTAGAGACGGAGTTTCACCACGTTGGCCAGGCTGGTCTTGTACTCCTGACTTCAGGTGACCCACCCACCTTGGCCTCCCAAAGTGCTGGGATTCCAGGCGTGAGCCACTGTGCCCAGCCACATGAAGGACTTTCTGTAACAAAGCTATTTCCCAGTAATGGCTATTTTCCCAGTAACAAAATTTTTTTTTACACAATACATATGCCCTCAGTCTCTGTTGTTACTTACACATGAAGACACTCAATGTGTGTGAACTGAAGAGAAAGGAACATGTGGTGCTCCTGCCATTCACACTGACTCAGAAGGACCTGGCAAGATTAGCATGATGCTTGGCATGTGGGTAGCCCCTGGTAAATGTCAGCTATTATTATTACTACCAATTCCCAGCCTGGTCTCTTCAAAAGGTACTAGTAATTGGGTTACTGAGTACAATCCACTTATCCACTTTCCCTACTTGGGAAACCGTCTCATACACACTTTGAGGGAAGCATCCTTTCAGAGAGCCTATAATCCCAGCTCTTTGGGAGGCCAAGGAAGGTGGATCACTTGAGCCCGGGAGTTCAAGACCAGTTTGGGCAATACGGCAAAACTCCATCTCTACAAAGAATACAAAAATTTGCTGGGTGTGGTGGTGGGCGCCTGTAGTCCCACCTACTTGACAGGCTGAGGTAGAGAACCACTAGAGCTGGAAAGGTGGAGGGTGCAGTGAGCCGAGACTGAGCCACTGCACTTCAGCCTGGGTGACAGAGCAAGACCTTGTCTCAAAAAAAAAAAAAAAAAAAAAAAAAAAGTGAAAAGACAACAGAATGGGAGAAAATTTTTGAAAATCATAGGGACTTATACCTAGAATACATAAGAAACTCTTATAACTTGACAATAAAAAGACAAAATTAAAATATGGACAAAGAATTTGAATACCTATTTCTCTAAAGGAGATATGCAAATGGCCAGTAAGTACAAGAAAAGATGCTCATCATCATTAGTCATCAGGGAAATGCAAATTAAAACCACAATGAGCTGGGCGTAGTGACTCATGCCTGTAATCCCAGCACTTTGGGAGGCCAAGGCAGGAGGATTGCTTGAGCCCAGGAGCTCAAGACCAGCATGGCCAACATGGTGAAACCCTGTCTCTACTAAAAGTACGAAAATTAGCTGGGTTTCATGGTGCATGGCTGTAATCTCAGCTACTTGGGAGGCTAAGGCAGGAGAATCGCTTGGACCTGAGAGGTGGAGGTTGCAGTGAGCTGAGATCGTGCCACTATACTCCAGCCTGGGTGACAGAGACAGACTCCGTCTCAAAAAACAAACAAAACAACAACAACAACAACAACAACAAAAACCAACTCCCCACCCCCAAGCCAAAAACAAACAAAAAAAAACCCAGGAAATACCACTTTATGCACACTAGGATAGCTATAATAAAAAAGACAAGCATTAGTGAGGATGTAGAGAAACTGGAACATTTGTACATTGCTTGTGGAAATGTAAAATGGAAAGCCACTTTGGAAAACAGTTTGGTAATTCTTCAAAAAATTAAACAGAGATACCATATGATCCAATAATTCCACTCCTAGGTATATATCCAAGAGAAATAAAAACATACATCTACACAAAAACTTGTAAACAAATGCTTGTAACATAATTCAAAATAGCCCCAAAGTAGAAAGAACTCAAATGGTTCATCAACTGACAAATAAGCTAACTGTGGTATATCCATACAGTGGAATATTGTTCATCCATAAAAAGGAATGGAACATAAGTAATGTTACTTGAAAACATTATGCTAAGTGAAAGAAGCCAAACAGAAAAGGCCATATATGAGATTCCATTTACATGAAATACCAAGAACAGATAACTCTATAGAGACAGAAAATAAATTAGTGCTTACCAGGAGCTGGGGGAAGGCAGGGAATGAGTGGGGAGTCACTGCTTAATGGGTATGGAATTTCTCTTTCAGAGAGCGAATGAAAACATTCTAGAATTAGTGGCAATAGTTGTGCACCTTTGTGAATATACTAAAACCCACTGAACTGTACACTTAAAAAATACTTTATATTAATCAGGTCCCACAAACACTCTACAGTTTCCATTTTAAGGGCCTGGAGGGTCCTCTTTTAAATAATGGGAGGCCTTTTGCCTATGCTCCCTCCATTCTAAGGCTACTTCAAAAGAGCTCTGTGGAATCCGAAGACTCATACAGGGCAGTATGAAAACCATCTCTCTAAAGTCCTGGGGGAATGTTACCACAATAATCAGCAGTATTATCTTAGAAAACCTTTCATCTATATAGTACTCCTTCAGCACAGCTGTGACACGTCAGCTCTCACTATATGAACAAATTACAAAGAATACGTTTCTCACATGGTCATCAGATGCACTTAGGAGATGTCCACTCAAATTTGAATTCCAGGAGAGACCATAGCCTTCCTTCTGGTGACCTCTTAATCTGAGATCAGGATTACATTCTCCACTTGGGTCTAAGAAAAGATGAAAAACATTAAGTTATTCTCTGTTTATCAGAACTGGTGAGAATAAATTCTCACTCCTTCATTGAGTGAACCATTACAGCAACTGCACACGAACGAGATCTGGTCTTTAATACCCAATGCAAATTGAGCCTCATGACCATTAGATGATTGGTTTCTTTGGAAAACCTAATACTATCCCCAACACAAAAATATTAAAAACTATAGCTATCCTACAAATTTGGGCAGTGGTGACCGTATCCCCGCAACCCCCCAATTTTTTAGAAATATTTCTAACACAACAGGTCTGGTTGCTCAGTCCTTGCATGCCTCTAGGGTAGCCTGCAACCATAAATGACCCTTGGCCAACCCCTGGGAATGTGACCCTCAGAAAGTTCTTCACGTCACTGACTGATAAAGTTTTGTAAGCCCAGAGCAGTGGGGTATGCCATAGGGACCTGTCAAGACTTGTAGGATTGTTTAGCAAGATTCACAATGTATTTGGCTTCACTATTGGGGTCCTCAATTTTGTTACCATGGCTGGTCATAGAACAGGATGTGCCCACGCCAACAGACCTCCACAAAAATCCCAGATTCTGAAACTCAAATGGGCTGCCCTGGGTAGAGACATTTAGCACATGTTCCTATGGTTTGCTGCTAGAGACAAAACATGTCCCACGTGGCCCTGGATGGGAAGGACTCAGACGCCTGTAGCTAACCCCTCTGGACTTCCCCTGATGTGTATCTTTTTCTTCCTACTCTTGCTCTGGATTCTTTGCTGTAATAAACTTTAGCTGTTAGTATAAGCTGCTTTTAGGTAGTTCTGGCAAATCCCTGAACTTGAGGATGGTTATGGGACCCCCAAAGCAATTTTTAAACCTTTAAATATTATAAAGTATGCTACTTTGACCTTAAAAACATTACCAGTTTGAATCAAGAAAACTGCTCAAGTAATGACCTAACTCTATTATTACATACCTGGTTTAGCAGGGTGTTTTGTATAGTCAAAAACCAACACATCAGAAGATGGTGTTTTTGTAGCAATGATGTGAGGATTCTGCGGCATGTAACGAGCACGGTTTACTTCTCCTTCGTGATTGATTTTAATTTCACATTCAATTTTTCCTGTTACAGAACCAAAGCCACCAAATTCTAATGTGAGGAGAAAGAAACACACACACACACACTCAGGATTAAAATTCACAAATCACTTAGTTCAATCAACCTAACAGATTTTGACCTGGCAGAATACAACACAAACTGACAAGACAAAGACAGAAACATGCATAGAGAAAACCCAAAAATGTGGGTTCATTTGCCACATCAATTTATTCTTAAAGCCCATTTGCACTGGAAAATATTGGTAGCTGCCTTATGCAACTTAATTCAGTTCCACCTTGGATCTAAAACAACTGTCCTCTTTCAGTTATGAAGATGATATAGTTATTCACTGAAATTTCAAGTAACCATATAATAAGCAGACCAATAGCTTTTTAGTTCAAATACAACTCACTGTAAGTACTGCACTGAATTAGCATCTTATTTTAGGATTCATCAAAACAGGAAAGGTTTTAACCCTCCACAGTATGAACACCCTTTGAGTCTGAAGTCAGAAGCATCCTCAAATCAATCAGAAACCCACGCTAACCCCTACCTGTCCCTAAACACACATACATTGGCCCTGCCAGCATACTTGGTTTAACTGCTAGTGCAGTGCCAAGGTTAACCTCTCCGCCCATCTGGTGTGTGAATAAGACTATAGTATTAAATAATCATGAAAAAGGCCTTGTAAAGTAACAAAGTCATATAAAAAGTACGGTAACTTCCAAGAAGTAGCAACATGTTAGCAGAAAGAATACAAGTAGAGAACATCTAAGCAAATACAGCAAACAAGAACATTCTTTTTTGTGCTCATAGATAAAAAAACCTGAATTAGTTGCTGACGCTTAAAAAGATAGGAGGGTTCACATTACAATTGTGTTATTCTTCCTGACCTATATTGCCTTTTCTTTGCACATTCCATTTTAGCTCACCCTGTGTCTCAGGTCAGGGACAACTAACACAAATGCCTACTGGAGCCAGACAGGTAAGAAGTAAAATAGACCGGGGCCTGGAGCAACCACCAAAAGGAGCAAACCATTTCTCAGTTCCAGGCAGCTCCTTCTATGTGGAATGCTTAATGAACACTCGCTTCCATGTCTTAATATCAGTATCTAGCCGTTCCTCTCTGAAGCAAACATAGCTTACTATTTCAGTGTGGTTGAAAAAACCGTATCTCAAATCCACGATTACTCCAAAGCTCCTCTACCCACTACTCTCATGTGACCACATGCAAAAGGATCCTTTTTCCTCGTAGCACCTTCTGTTCCATGGTGTCAATGGAAGAAATGTGCCTCGGCATGCTAAGACCCCTCCTGATCCAATCGTCTCCTCCCTCCTGAGACTGCTCCAAATCTGCTCCACTTTGACCTTCAACATCCCATTCCATGGACTCCAGTGGCTCTAACCCTTCTGCTACAAAGATACTCAAGTTTCCTGATTCCTTTAGCTAAAACAACCTGAAGAGCTCTCCTTTAAAAAAAAAAGGGGGGGGGGCGGGGCTTCCAAGTAGGATTTACTTTGAACACAGAGTTTTGTTTTCTCAAACTTAAAATTTTGAAAAGTCACTGTCTTAATGATAATATCCATTAAAAAATGTAACTCAATATTGGCCGGGCGTGGTGGCTCATGCCTGTAATCCCGGCACTTTGGGAGGCCAAGGCGTGCGGATCATGAGGTCAGGAAAGCAAGACCATCCTGGCTAACAAGGTGAAACCCCGTCTCTACTAAAAATACAAAAAATCAGCTAGGTGTGGTGGCGGGCGCCTGTAGTCCCAGCTACTCGGGAAATCGCTTGAACCCAGGAGGCAGAGGTTGCAGTGAGCTGAGGTCACACCACTGCACTCCAGCCTGGGTGACAGAGCGAAACTTCGTCTCGAAAAAAAAAAGAAAAAAAAAAAGAAAAAAAAAATATATATACTGAATATTAACAAAGGTATTAACTGAATTATTTCAGCTACTTGTTAGAATACACTGGATGTGTAACTTTAATAATATATTAACATCATTATGCAGAGACTGTTAAACTGCAAGCCCGGTAAATACATACTTCAGGGCTAAAAGCCATTTAAAAATTTCTGATTACAATATATTCAGGCCGGGAGTGGTGGCTCATGCCTGTAATTCCAGCACTTTGGGAAGTTTAGGCAGGCGAATCACTTGAGGCCAGGAGTTCGAGACCTGCCTGGCCAACATGACAAAACCCAGTCTCTACTAAAAATACAAAAATTAGCCGGGCATGGTGGTGGACGCCTGTAATCCCAGCTACTCTTGAGGCTGAGGTACGAGAATCACTTGAACCCAGGAGGTGGAGGTTGCAGTGAGCCGAGATTGCACCACTGCACTCCAGCCTGGGCGACTGAGCGAGACCCTGCCTCATAACAAACAAAAACAAAACACAAAAAAACCCCAATATTTAAAGAAATAATGCATACAGTTGTCGGGGAATGAACAGTAAATTGTGGGAGTAGTAAACTGGGTAAATCACTTTGGAAAATAGTTTTCTATGAAGTTGACAATGAATACACCATACAACCTAGCAGTTTCACTACACTAGAGAATGTAGTATTTTTGAGACAGGATCTTGCTCTGTTGCTCAGGGTGGAGTGCAGTGGTGTGATCCTAGTTCACTACAGCTTCGAACTCCTGGGCTCAAGCGATCCTCAGCCTCCCAAGTAGCTAGGACTACAGGCATGCGCCACCACACATGGCTGATTTTTAATTTTATTTTTTGATAGAGACAATGTCTCACTGTGTGCCCTGAGTGGTCTTAAACTCCCAGGCTCAAGCGTTCCTCCTGCCTTGGCCTCCCGAAGTGTTGGGACTATGGGTATAGCCACTGCACCTGGCCAGTATTTTATTTTCAATAAGAAAAAAACCCTAAGGCACATATTAGAAAGTGCTAATAGCGTTAAGCCATTTGGGACTGTGAAGAAAGAGTTAATACAGCAGTCTGGGTGCTTAGCCCTGGAGTCTCTGAGGAACACTGGGACCCTATTACTGACCCTTGGCTAACTCCTGGGAACATGCACCTCAGAATGTTCTTTCTGTCACTGATGAACTGATGATTTTGTGGTGTGCACCTGGAGCAATGGACCGCGTTGTACCAGTTTGTCAGGGTTACTCTGCAGATATCAAGATTGATGACACGTACCTTCTTTTATTACTGGGTCCTCAGTTTGTATTACTGGGGTCCTCAAGTTACAGTTGCTGTGGCTGGTTGTCAGCAGGATGTGCCTATGCAACTAGTCCCCCAAGAAAGCCTCAGACCCCAAGACCCAAACAGGCTTCCCTGAGCAGAGATATTTCACACATGTCCCTGCAGTTTGCTGCCGGAAGACACATCCTGTGTGGCCTTGGACAAGACTTGTGCCAGACCTCCCTGAACTTGCCGATGTACATCTTTTTCCTGCTGCTTTTGTGTTCTTTACTGTAACAAACTTTAGCCACAAGTATAATTTGCTCTTGGGAGTCCTAGCAAAATCACCAAACTTGGGGTGGTCATGGGAATACCAAAACAGGAGAGTATATGTTTGACAAATTAAAAAAAGAAAAAAGCAGCCAACAGATTCCTGAATTAACCCTACCACTACTGCCTCTCTCCTCAAACAAAAAATACCCATTGCACACACCAACACATATTACTTTTACCAAAGTGGAATACTGTAATTACACATAGCAGTTAGTCACTTAATTTATCTTGGATACCTTCCTATACCAGTGCCTACAGATTTTTCTCATTAAAAAAAAAAATTTTTTTTTTAAATTTTTGGTAGAAATGAGGTCTGTGTTTTTCAGACTGGGCTTGAACTCCTGAGTTCAAGCAATCCTCCCACCTTGGCCTCCCAAAGTGCTGGGATTATAGGCGTGAGCCATGGCACCTGGCCTTTCTTATTAATTGCTGAGTAGTATTTCAAACATACCATGTGCTTAACCAACTTTCTATGAACCAACATCTGGGTTACAAGGTTGATCCTAATTTTTCAATTCTGCAATTACGACTAAAATCCTTGTGCACATGTGGGTGGGAAGTTCTGTAGAATAAAGTCCTAGAAGTTAAATTACTGGGCCAAAAGCTAATAGTATAGTTTTAATAGCATATGCTTTGAAAGAGACATTTTCCCTTTGACACCAATATTGGAATATATGATATACCTACCACCCTTGTCACTGTCACAATGGGAAGCATCAAACTGTGCATCATCATTGGGAATATGTACTCGAGCAACCACCAGATGATTCTGCTCATCAGACGTATGAGTCCCCAGCACTAGCCAATGAAGGGCATAATCTTTTCCTTCAGGTCTGTTTAAGAAAGAAAATAAGTCACACTAATCCTACAAGAAATCTCCAATTGCTAACAAATTCAGTCTAGTTCCCTCAAAATACATTCATATTTCTTTAGCAAATATATACTTAGCATCAACTGTGTATCTTCTCCCCCTCTGGTTACCAACTTTACAATCCCCACATATGCAAATATAAGAAAATATTCTAGCTACAACATGCAGAGGGCTTGCTTCTTTCCCAAAGAGCCATCCTCCTGTGCCTCAATTATCAGCGTGAACACTACCTTTTATAGAGCAGCACTCCGGGGAAGGTAGGCCCAACTCAGTAAACACAGACAAACATCTACACAGGAATCCACCAACAATCCCCACACTCATAAATCACAACTTCCCACCTAAAGAAATCTTCTTCCCACCTAAAAATATCTTATACACTAGATGTTTCTTATTTCCCAATAAGAAATTCTACAAGGTAGTATGGACAGAAAGTGTTGAATCAAAAAAACTTAGCTTAAATCCTGGATCAAACTAAAATGCAGTTGCTTAAAACACAACCTCCCTGGGGCCTCAGTTTCTTCACTGAATAAAATAGGCTATAAGTGCAAATGGCATGATGTGAAACTCACTGACGTTTATGATACCTAAGTTTATGAAACGAACATTCTCAATTTTACCGAGGTATCTTTGTTACCTTGTTCTGTGGAAACACCTTGAGGCTGAAGAACTTGCCCAAACCTCTTGGCACCTTGGTCCGAGCAGTGATTTTTGCATCAGTATCTATTAAAAAGGCTTTCCCATTTGTATTATCTAGAATACAATTTTCAACTGTGCTCCATGGTCCCACTTCAATGAAGAGGACTGAGAAGTAGGGGTCTAGGCCCTAACACAAGACAAGTTAGGCCATTTATCTGTTTCTAAATTTCAGCTGCACAAAGGATTCAATTTTTTTTTTTTTTCTAAAAAGATTGAAGATTACTTCTAGGCAAGTAATTTAGTAATAAGAAAATACAAGATGCAATTTTACCAAAATTTGGCTTACGGTAAAAAAGTGTGTGCACATGGAGAAGAGACACACACACACACAGACACACTCCCCCCAAAACAGAGTAAGGCAGCCGTGACTAAGCAATAGCAACGTGTTTGAAAAAAAGACAAATGGGCGCCGTGGCTCACGCCTGTAATCCCAGCACTTTAGGAGGCCAAGGCAGGCGGATCACCTGAGGTCAGGAGTTCGAGACCAGCCTAGCCAACGTGGAGAAACCCCATCTCTATTAAAAATACAAAATTAGCCGGGCATGGTGGCGCATGCCTGTAATCCCAGCTACTCAGGAGGCGGAGGCAGGAGAATCACTTGAACCTGGGAGGTGGAGGTTGTGGTGAGTCAAGATCTCAAGATCACACCATTGCACTCCAGCCTGGGCAACGAGTGAAACTCCGTCTCCAAAAAAAAAAAAAAAAAAAAAGAAAAAGAAAGAAAACATGGGTCTTGGTTGATACATGCACAGTGGGCCAAGAATATGATGTGGCTATCAAAAAATTAATTAATTCCATCTTAGGTGGTCTTTATATGTATGTAGGGGGCAATGCACATGAGCACATGTGCCCCCCACCCCCGACCTTTTCTTTTTTTAAGAGACAAGGTCTCACTATGTTGCCCAGGCTGGCCTCCAACTCCTGGACTCAAGTTGATCCTCCTACATCAACCTCTTCAGCAGCTGGGACTACAGATGTGTGCCACCATATCTGGCTTGCCCACTTATTTTTAACCAGTAAAACCATTAAAATTAGGCTCTAAGCAACATACTTTATGAGGACTTGGATAAAAATCAAACCTTTACAGGGAATAGTGGCTTAAAATGAAAGGGTAAGCCAGGTGCAGTGCTGTGCACCCGTAGTACCAGCTACTAGGGCTACTACGGAAGACTGCTTGAGCCTAGGAGTTCATGTCCAGCCTGGGCAACATAGCAAGACCCTGTCTCAAAAAAAAAAAAAAAAAAAAAAAAAAAGAATAAATATTTGGCCGGATGTGGTGGCTCACGCCTCTAATCCCAGCACTTTGGGAAGCCAAGGCAAGCGGATTGCTTGAACCCAGGACTTCGAGACCAGCCTGGGCAACGTGGCAAAATCCCATCTCCACAAAAAACAAAAAACACAAAAACAAAAAACAAAAATTTAAATAAATATTTAAAAAGAGAAATAATAATGCTTGAGAGAAAGAAGGCACCACAGAGCAATGCTGGTACTGTCATCAAAGGAAAAAAGTCACTTGTTTTTTGTGGAGTTGAGCAGGAAAACTAAGACCAACAAGTAAAAAATAACAGGTAGGTCAGTTTATCACAGGCCCTTTCTAAGGAACACTGTCCCAAGACGGACTGGAGGAGCTTAAAAATCCCTCTGGACTCAAATTTAATTATTCCAGTTTTCCCCAACTTGATCATCATATGAGGACTTTTCTTTTTACTAGAAATCCCTTCACCTCCATCATTAAAACACAGCCTGTTTTCCTAAACTAATCAATATGACACTATTTTCCTCCAATACTGGATGTACCTAAAGGCTGCAGAAGGACTAATGGTTAAGAAAGCCTATTCATTTTCAGTGCAGAATCCTTTGACCCCAGTAACTACCACTAGGAAATTTAGCCAAGCATCACATAAATCTGGCCTATTGCAAGATTATTCTCAGCAGTATTGTTTATAGAAGGAAAAAGACTGAAAATAACTAAGTATCCATCAGCAAGGAACTGGTATCATACATTACACAGTGTATCCATAAACAAAATTCTATGGCACTCTTGAAAAGAACAAGCATATCCAAGCATGCTGACAGGAAAATCTCCAATACATACTCTTACTGACAAACTCAAGTGAAGAACTTGCTACCATAAAAAATGAAGATACAGGTATGCACTTCTACACGCTGGCAAGGATGGGTTAGGAAATTGAAAACAATGACTGGGGAAAGGAAGTAGGACAGTAAGGGATGTGGAAAGGGGACTTATTCTTCACTCTATGTCCTTTTATACTTCCTGAATTTGAAAAATTACAAAGCTTTTTAGGTAGACAATAAGTTAGTCTCAATATATTTAAGACATTATTCAACAAGAGATATGAAATAACTATCTAATTAAAACAAATTTCTTAGAGATACTTAAATAAAACCTTTTAAAAGCCAAATCAACACCTGTAATCCCAGCACTCTGGGAGGCCGAGGCGGGCGGATCACGAGGTCAGGAGTTTGAGACCAGCCTGACCAACATAGTGAAACCCTGTCTTTACCAAAAATACAACAATTAGCTGGGTGTGGTGGCACAAACCTGTAATCCCAGCTACTCAGGAGGCTGAGGCAGGAGAATCGCTTGAACCCGGGAGGTGGAGGCTGCAGTGAGCCAAGATGGTGCCACTGCACTCCAGCCTGGGAGACAGAGCGAGACTGTCTCAAAAAAAAAAAAAAAAAAAAAAAAAAAAAAAAAAGAAAGAAAGAAAGCAAGAAAGCAAGAAAGCAAGCCAGCCAGCCAAATCAATTATTTGGACAATTACCTAACTCAATTGAAGGACAATAGCTAAGAAAGTCCAAGTAATCGTTATGAAGCATGTTGTAAGTCAGCAGAAGAAAGGCCTATGAGGTGGAGTAGGATCTTGTTCCTCAGAGTCAGGCATTGAGAATAGTCAACATTTTTACTGTTCTGTATGGTGATAAAACACAGTCCCTTTATACCCCAAACTGAACCCTGCAAAGCACCACACAACAATCCTCAACATCCAAGAATGCAGGCTGCTTGGCATTTTCTTACATTCTCTAAGCCACTGCACATCCCACAACCCAATCCCACAACAGCTTTGTATACAAAGAACACCATGATACACATTAAATAATTTAATTAAAGCATTTTGTTACATTCCTAAGTATTACATATTATAGGTAACATTTTTTTAAAAAAAACTTCAGCAAGTAGCTTTCATTGAAATCCAAATGAAGAAACAGAGCTATTTCAATCCTGACAAATTATTTCTGAACAGGAAGGGGTGGGAGAATCAGCATCAGTCACCACTTACCGTGTACTTATGCTGCACCAGGCACTTTAACATGCATGATCTTATTTCATTCCCTCAAATGTAGGTAGTCAGTATGACCAACATCTCCATTTACAGCCCAGACAACACGGCCCCAGTTCATGAAGCTAAGAAGTAGGGGCATGATTTTAACCCAGGTCTCTAAGTTTAAAGCCCCTGCTGTTTTCTATTATGTTACAGTGGGTCAAAAAGATCCCCCAAAAGGTAAATTTAGTTAATACATTTTAAATCTGCTTAACAGACCAAAGAGGCAAATGCACACGATGCTCCAAACCAGAACTTGAATACCCGAGTATATGATGCTTAATCTATTTTTCAATCTGTTGTGGCTGTAAACGTCAATGCTTCCAAGTCTCCATCATTTAGTTCTTCTCTACTCTTCCCACATCTGTACATTTATATTTAGATTTTTGGGAAGCCTAGTGGAAATTCCTATCTGTATAGAAATCAATGTTTGCATATGGAGAACCCGGCCACTGTAAGAGCAGTTTTATATACATTAGATTATTATTATAATAATTATTTTTATTTTTAAGAGATGGAGTCTCGCTCTCGCCCAGGCTGGAGTGCAGTGGTGCGATGTTGGCTCACTGCAACCTCCGCCTCCCAGGTTCAAGCAATTCTCCTGCCTCTGCCTCCCTGTAGCCTGTAGCTAGGACTACAGGTACACGCTGCCACGCCCGGTTTTTTTTTTTTTTTGGTATTTTAGTAGAGATGGGATTTCACCTTGTTGCCTGGGCTGGTTTTGAACTCCTGAGCTCAGGCAATCCGCCTGCCTCGGCCTCCCGAAGTGCTACGATTACAGGCGTGAGCCACCGCACCCAGCCAAAATTAGCTTATTATTTTTATAACTTGTTGCAAAATCCTCTTTTTAGGTTAGAGTTTCATTTAATCCTCTTTAAATTATATGTCCGCAACACCCAAATTTAAGATGCTTGTTTTTTGTTTCTTTGAGAGACACGGTCTCACTCTGTTGGCTAAGCTAGAATGCAGTGGCGCAATCATGGCTCACTGCAGCCTTGAACTCCTGAGCTCAAGCTAACCTTCCAAAGCACTAGGATTACAGGAGTATAAACCACTGTGCCTGACCCCATATTTAATACACTTTAAAAGTACATGGTCAAGTTCCTACTAGAAAAGGTGCAAGTGAATGAGAAAGGCAGTCTAATGCAGGGACCAGCTGTGTGATCTTGGGATGGCACTTAAACTCTCACTCCCAGTTTCCTTATCAGTAAAACAAGGATGATGAAAAGTACCTACAGCATAGTACTATTATGAGGATTACAACAAACAACAGGACGTAGATTCTTCAGATGTGCCAGGCCCTGTTCTGAGTGCTCAATAAATGCCAGCAATTATTACCAGAGAAACTGCAGATGTAACAGAAAAGAATACTCTTATGAAGACTAACAGCAATCTCAAAGTGTATTCCATAAGCCGATA
Organism: Homo sapiens; assembly: GCF_000001405.40. Classification (NCBI taxonomy): domain Eukaryota; kingdom Metazoa; phylum Chordata; class Mammalia; order Primates; family Hominidae; genus Homo; species Homo sapiens. The sequence continues at coordinate 16,868,601 of NC_000023.11, forward strand.
ACATCTTTTCTTTGGTCAATTGTTGACAAGGTCTTTTTCCCTTTACCAATTAAAATGTATTTATCTTGGATGACTGTTACGTGTGTTCACTTTGTAAAAATTTATCAAGCCATACAACACTTAAGATGTGTGAACTTTTCCGTAAATATTCTATTTTTCAGTAAAGTTTTAAAGAAACGCATTAGTTTGGGCCCAGAAAGATGCTGCTCTACATTCAAGCCCAGGAAATGTCAAATATATTCAGTGCTTCCTCCAAACACGATTAATCTCACAACAGCTTCTTTCTCCCCTTTTACCACCACACTATACACCAGAAATCATCCCACAAATCACGTAAGTTTTGAAAATAAAAACCACCTGCCACCTCATGCAAGGGCTGATTACATACTTATGTTCTATGCATAAAACGCCAAAACTAGGAAATTCAGAACGACAGTTAAATTTAAACAAAATAAAAGTTGCCAGAAACCCTTACTTAGTCACTTCAGGAAGCCACTGAACGGTAAGACTGGGCCACTGAAGAGCATGGGTCATAACCAGGTCATATAGAAACGGTGTATTCTTCTTCCAGATTTTATATTCTTCATTGATGACACGCTCCTCCACAGTATCTTCAAACACTGAAATTTGGAGAAAGCCCACACGATTAAGTGGCTGAGATAGATCAAAGTCAGAAATTGGAGGTCACCTCAAGATGGCCACACCTCATGTACTCTTTCCTTTTACCTCTAATTTGGACACGGACAACTAACTGCTCTTCCAGAAGGTGGAGAAAATACTAACAATCAGGAAGCCTATTTTTTCCATTGAGATCAATACCCCCTGCGTACACCATGTTGGGTAGTCAATTACACGGACATGGAAATTGTTTACCCTGTTACAGCTGTTCGCACCTGTTCTAAGATGACGACCTGTACGTACAGGGGCTGCGCGACCCAGTCGGGAAGACAAATGCACGTGTAGCAGAAGCCCACAGGCCTGGTCTCTCCAATCCCCATCAGGGGAGGCCCCAGCTCCCACGACGCCCGCCTCGGCAGCCATAGGCCTGAGGACCCCAGCAACCCCCGGACAAGGGCCGCGACCCCGAGGCGGTCAACGCGCGCGCGCGCGTAGAAAGAGCCGCGGCGCTCGCTTCCCAGCGGCGGGGGCCGCCTCCGCCCCGGGGCCGAGGGCGCCGGAGGGAGCGCAGCCGCTGGAGGAGGGAAGGGAAGAGGGGGGCCCAGCCCTCGGCCCCGCGCCCGGCTCCGGAAGTGCTCGGAGCCCTCGGCGCGGCGGTCCCGTCCCGCGCAGGCCCCTCGAGGCGCGCGCCCAGTCTCGCGCCCGGCCCCGCCCCCTGCTCCGCACGCCAATTCGCGCCTTTCGCCGGCGCGTGCCGCGGCCTCGCGCGCCCGCCGCCCCCCGCGGCCCCGGCGCGCGCCGCCCCGCAGGGCCTCTTACTCTCTTTACTCGCCATCTTGCGTCGGGTCGTTCGCCCCTCGCCGCCGCCTCGGACTCCTCTCGTTAGCCAAGAGCAGCCCGACCGCTGGCGCTCCTGCCTTTCCCAAGCGCGTCACACTCCCCACTGTCGAAAGCCCGGGCCCCGTCTTGCTGCCTGGGTGCTCCCCAGACGCCGCGTCCTTCTTTCCTGCCTCCTCCCCGCTCGCGGGTACCGAGGTCTGAGGCGCTCTTCTCTCTCTCTCCAAACTTGGAACGAGACTTTTCAACCCGCGCCTCCCAGCCCGCCCAGGCAGCTGAGCGCAGGCGCATCCGCCCTGGGAAAAGTGAGAGGAGGCGGAGAGGCGGGTCTGGGAGCCAACGGCTCCGGCGCCGAGACCAATGACGCGCGGCGGGCGGGTTTCACGCGGCGTTCGGAGGCGGGCTTCTGGGGGTGGGCGGAGCGTGCCGCGGCAGGAAGTTGGCGATGCGCAGGCGCGAGGGCTCGCCCGGCGCTCCCAGGGCCGGCCGCGGAGGCGGATGGGGCGCGCGGGGGCGGGGCGGATGAGGGCCCGAGGGGGCGGGGCGGATGGGGGCGCGCGAGGGCGGGGCTGATGGAGGCGCGGCTGGCCGGCTGAGTGGGGGCCGCGAGCCCCGGGGCGGCGAGCCTTGGGGCCCGCGGGGCGTGGTTGCTTGTAGCGGCAGCGGTGGTGGGGGTGAGAGGGGGGCAGGGAGGCTGCCGCCGCTTAGCCAAGCAAAATCTCAGAGCAAGAGGGGAAAATGGTTCCTGTTCTCGAGAGATTACTGTGCCTTCAAAGTCTCCCTGATAATCACGGACATGCAATTCTCTGCACCCCTGAAATGTTCTCCTCCAGCCGACTGGCCTTTCCTGGGGCCCGGTCGGGCCGAGGTGGGGCTGGTCTCAGACGGAGGAGAGCTTTTGGAGAGGCCGCGGGCGTTTTCTGCCTGCAAAAGCCGCCGGGCCGCCCTGTTAGGCTAAATGTGCAGCCTGTGGCGGCACAGGCCGCCGGCGGGCCGAAGCCGATTTACACTGTTACATTTTAATTTGTTCGATGTTTGGGTCCTTAAGATGATGGTTTGCGGCCTCTTCGCGCTTCAGGGGATTTTGTCCCTGCACTGGCGTTCCTTTCTCATCCCAGCCCCGGCCCCTGCTGAGTCATTTTTGTCACCTGCAGGGGTCCCAGCGCGACCCCACCCCAAGCTGGCGGAGCTGGAGAGAGCAGGGCTGAACTACCCTGGGCCTGCTTACCTGAGCCCTGCTCTGCTCAGGAACTTCATAGCCCCTGAGGAGTGTGTCGGGGGAGGAGAAAGCTGGCTGCAAGGCCAAAAGGGAAATAGAAGAAAATGAGGGCCAGGAGCAGAGGGGACGGAGTTGGGGGAGGCGACCAAGGTGCCTGCGTGCAAAGGGAACCGAAGTGTACGTCCAGCTCCGGGAGAGGCTCCTCTTGCAAAAGCACCCCCGGAACATTTGCTGCCTTGATACCTTTCCAAGTGCCTTCATGCTCAGATGCTATCTTGCAGATGCCGCTGTCATGCCCACTTTTCTGACCGGGACGCAAACCCAGACGTTAGTCAGTGGCAGAACCAGTCACATTCCCTTCTGTAGATATTTACTGTGTTGTTTCCGATACAATACCGTTCATTATTATAACGCCCTCCCCCCATTCTGGGTCAAGGAATCTTGTTAGTGCCTAAGGCTGAGGGGGTGGCTAGAGAGGGAAGAGAGTTGGAAGGGTGTTTAAGCAATACAGCCCTCATATTCTAGGACATTAGTTGGCAAGACTTTTTCTAAAAGGACCGAGATAGTAAATATTTTAGGCTTTGGGGGCAACTGCTCGACTCTGTCGCTTTGCAGCGCAAAGCAGCCATGGAAAATATGGATGCATTTGGCTGCGTTCCGATAAAACTACAGACACTAAAATCGTTTTCACGGGTCACAAAATCTTTTGATTTTTTTTTTCTATCACTTGAAAACGGAAAAACCATTCTCAGCTCGAGGGTCATACAAAAACATGTGGTGGGTTAGATTTAGTCGGAGGACTGTAGTTTGCCCACCTTGTTCTAGAATAATTGTACCTTATGGCTCTGCTTCAAAGAGAACCTCGTGTGCAAAGCAAGAGGCGGCTTGGGAGATGATTTGTATCCCTTTAATACAGTGTACTCATTTCTGACAAGTAGACATGATTTCCAAAACCTATTAAAAGAAATGTTTAAAGGACTGAAAGAAAAGAAATCTTCCCAGACGACTTGGCTTTAAAATCTTGATACTGTTTACCTCAGTGAGGGTCAGAGAAGGAAATATGGAACAAATATTTTGGGAATTTCTGAGAATATTCACACACTATCATGCATTTAATCCGAAAGTGTCATGTACAGCATATTTCATTAGTTTTGCATTTTTGTTGTTGTTAAATTGAATCTGTCAATTCTATTTAATTTTTTGGCCTTTTTTCCATACTACTTTTTTTGCATTAAAAAAAGTGATATGTTTTCTCTCTTGGATTGCTTAACTGTTGGGTTTGTTTTGCCTTTCTCCCCAGCCTCTTAGCTCTGGTCCTAATCTTTTCTGGCACTTTTCTGGGGTTGTTCTTTTTGTCTCTCCTGTGCTCAGCTAATAGAGTAAGGCACAAACAGGTGCACACACACAAGGAAGGGATGAATTTTATTTCATTTTTTCGAAAATGCAAATTCTAAATGGACTTCATGATTGCGCTTAGTCACAACTTGAAGTTTGAAAAACACTACACTATGATTTTTAAATTTCTATTTCTTTCTTTTTTTCTTTTCTTTTCTTTTTTTTTTTTTTTGAGAGAGGCTCTCATTCTGTCACCCAGGCTGGAGTGCAGTGGCACGATCACAGCTCACTGCAGCCTCAACCTCCTGGGCTCGGGCAAACCTCACACCTCAGCCTCCCAAGTAGCTGGGACCACAGACACAGGCCACCATTCCCAGATTTTGTTTTGTTTTGTTTTTAGTAGAGACACCGTGTTGCCGAGGCTGGTCTCGAACTCTTGAGTTCAAGGATCTGCCCACCTTGGCCTCTCAAAGTGCTGGGATTACAGGCATGAGCCACCGTGCTGGGCCTAGTTTTTAAACCTTTAGCTGTTGCCGACTACCCTTTATAAAATAGCAACACGCCCTCATCCACCCCCACAGGTAATCACCTCCTATCCCCTTTACTCTATTTTCTGTTTTTTCACAGCGCTTATCGCTTATCGCCATCTGACAGATGTTTGTCCACAGGCTTTTTCTTGCACACTAGAATGTAAATTAGAGGGTAGGATTCTTGTTTTGTTGTGCCCTCAGCACCTGGACCGGTGCTCACCACATGAGGAAGCTGAGCCAAAGTGGTGAGGTTTCTTGCCAAGGTGACATAGCTAGTGAGTGTTGGAGTTGGAATTTGAATTTAATCAGTCTTATATTAAGACAGCGAAAGTGATCCTATGGATAGAACAAACTATTTACTAAAAGGAATCAGAGACATAGTACCCAGACATACCTGCAGAGTGATTCCATGTTCATTAGCAGCTGTGGTTCACTAGGTTGGGGGCAAAAAAGTTTTAGCCATTCAAAAAAATTTTTGAAGTACCTACTGTGAGCCAAGCAGTGTTCTGGAAACTGCAGCTAGCTGGATGAACAAGGCATACAGAGACCCTGCTCTTTTATACTCTCCTTTATTGTTTGTTTTTCTTATTACAAAAACAAAGCTTGTTACAGAAAGATCTGAAAATTATACAAGCAAAAGAGGAGCATAAGGAATACCAATTTTGTTTCTGGCCAAATTGTTTTCATCCAGTCATTATTAGGAGCAGAAGAAAATACGCTAACATATTAATAGCTGTTGTCTCTTGATACTAGTATATTGTTGTTTTATTCTTCATATATTGCCCTATTTTAAAATTTTTTCCATTGGATGCATAGTGCTCATATAAATAGAAAAAACGCATGCATTTTAGAAAAAAAAATGTCAGAGGAGTAATACAAATGAAGAGTTGTCTTAATGTGATAAAATTCTAAGAAATTTCTTTTAAAATATTGTTTAATGCAATTGTGTGAGAGGGAGTTGAAGGAAAATTCTTTTAATAGAAAATACACTGTTCTTTGAACTCGTACTTTGTTTGCATTGACTATTCTGATATTTTATTAGGAAAAGTGAAGTAACTGTTTTATACTTACAAATGTGTTAATATGTAACCTTTGTGGGGTGTCCCTCTGGATTTCTAAAAGACCAACCTACCCTGTTGCTAGCTATTGAGGCTAAGCCACTTGAGCTCTGCATTGGGGACAGTGAATAAAGGAAATGACCTAGACCAGAATCACTGAGGCTTAGACTTAGAATCACTGGGGCGTGGTAAATAAATATTTGTCAAACGAAAAATAATGAACAAGAAACTCTTCTTAGGCTTGTCCCAATCCATAAGCAGCAATGAGAAAGCTTTGCATGTAAACCTTCTTTTTTTAATTTTATTTTTAATGGACATCACAATCGTATAAATTTATGGGGTACAATGTGATGTTTTGATTTATATTTACATTGTGAGATGATTAAATCAAGCTGATTAACAAATTCGTCACCTCTCGTACTTAACATTTTTTGTAGTGAAAACTCTTAAAATATACACTCAGCAATTTTGAAATGTATAACACATTACTATTTATTATAGTCACCATTCTGTAGAATAGATCACTAAAGCTTATTTCTCCTAAATGTAGAATCTTCTTGTAGACACATAGCCCTGAGTGTTTCACTCCAAGCACAATGTTCTTTTATTCAAAGTTTTCATATACAATGCATTCTTATTTACCACTGAAGACCTCTTCTGAAATTTATTAAAGTGTACGTTTGTTGTAATTTCTGGCCACCATCCATTTTTCCTTCTCCAGGAAACAGCATGCTAGATTTCTTTTGAGTGAACTACTCTTCCTTAATCAGTTACAGTTTGGGAGGACTGTGCATCAGGATGTCCCACTCTCTACCAGCTAAAAGGTAGGGCGCCTGACCCCAGTGGGCAACACCCTTCTTGGAATATGAGTTCTATAGATTCATGCTGGTGAAACACCTGGAGGTGCAAGTCCGTTGATTCCTGCTTCCTGGATCTCTGGAATGGCTCTGGTTCCTACCCTTTCCAAGTTGGCTCCTTTGATTCTGTGAGCTCTTACTTAGCTTTTCAATTAGCAATAATCACGCCTCGGATAAACCTCATTGGCTACGATACTGCCACTGTGCAAAGCTCCTACGTAGCTTTTATAGATTTCCTTTTTCCTTAAGTTAGCCTGTGTCCATTTGTTGCCTACCATCAAAGAAATCTGATATTTGCATAAACCTACCTCCTTCTCTCTCTAAGTCCTGAATTTAACCACAGATTATCCTGAATAAGGAACATGACATTTGTAGCTGGAGAGGACACACACACACACACACACACACACACAAGGAGAAGTAAAACTTGGGGAATCTAAATCAGATGAGTGGATTGACTATCCTGGTTGAGATCTTATACTATTCTTTTGCAAGATGTTACCTTTGTGGGAAACTGGGCAAAGTGTACAGGGGATCTCTCTATACTATTTCTTACAACTGTGTGTGAATCTACAATTATCTCAAAAATTGTAATTAAAAAGTATAAATGGCGTGCAGACCACATGTTCTCACTCATAGGTGGGAATCGAACAATGAGAACACATGGACTCAGGGAGGGGAACATCATACACCAGGGCCTGTTGGGGGGTGGTGGGCTGGGGGAGGGATAGTGTTAGGAGAAATACCTAATGTAAATGACGAGTTGATGGGTGCAGCAAACCAACATGGCACATGTATACATACGTAACAAACCTGCATGTTGTGCACATATACCCTAGAACTTAAAGTATAATAAAAAAAATAGATAAAAAATAAATGGTGTGTAGAAAAAAATAAAAAAACCTTAATGATGCTTTCAGTACTGTTCCATTTATCAACTGAAATAAAAGCAACAGTTCCTGTATGTGTGGAGTGGTTCTTTAAAAAGCTTTAAAATTATAGACAATTTTAAACACACAAAACAAAACAGAATAGTGGAATGAACTATCTATGTACATACCATCCAGCTGCAATAGTTATCAGCTCATAGTCAAATGTGTTTCATCTCTCTCCCCAATCCACCCTTCCGATCTCTTATTATTTTGATGCAAATATTACACATCACACTATTTCATCTGCAAGTATTTCTCTATGCATCTCTAAAAGATAAGGACTTTTCAAAAAATTCAAAATAACTACAATACATTCTCATATGTAAAAAACTAACAGTAATTCCTTGATGTCAATATCCAGATAGTATTTACATTTCCTGCTTGTGTGTGTCTTAGCTTTATGGAGGTATAATGTATGTACAATACACTGCACCCATATAAAGTATACAATTCAATGGATTTTGACAGATGTAAACACCCATGAAACCACAACTACAATTAAAAAAAAAACAAAAAAACAGAACATTTCAATCACACCCAGAAGTTTCCTTGTGCCCCTTCCTCCATCAATGACTACTGAGCAACTACGGATCTGGCTGCTGCCACCACAGATGAGTTTGCAGAGAACGTGATTTTGGAAAAAAACCTACTTAAATGGTACATAATTTTATAAAAATTAGAAGGGTGTTTAGAGAATGAAGAAAGATGTGCATATATTTTTGTCTGGTATATTTCAATAGTGAGCCCCAAGGCAGAAAGCAAGTTAAATTTGGAATACTCCAATAGTAGCAGCCCTTACTCAACATTTTTTGGGGGTATACTATGTGCCAGATATTTTACCTATATTATCTAATCTGTCTCCTGATAACCTTACAATTATTATTAATCATGTTATTATCATCAAACCCATTGTACAGTTGAGTATACTGAGGCTGAGAGAGGTTAAGTAACTTGCCCATGATCTCACAGATTGCAGCTGAAAATGTTTAGATAAAAAAACAGATCGTCTGACTCCAGAGACAATTCCCTTAAACACTGAGCTGTAGTCAGTTTATCAGCAAAAAGAACTGATAAGAAAATAACACCTCAAGGTGTTGCTAAAAAGTCTTACCTCTCTTTGACAAAGGAGCAAAGGCAATTAATGGACAAAGGATAATCCTTTTAACAAATGGTGCTGGAATAACTGGACTTCCACAAGAAAAAAAAAATCGAAGCCAGATATAGGCCTTACACTTCTCACAAAAATTAACTCAAAATGGATCAGAGACCTAAATGTAAAATGCAAAACTACAAAACTCCTAAAAGATAGTATAAGAGAAAATCTAGATGACTTTGGGATTGGTGATCACTGCTTAGACACAACACCCAAAGTATGATCTACCAAAAAGAAAAGTTGATAAATTAAACTCTATGAAAACTTAAAACTGCTCTGCAAAAGACATTCTTAAGAGTACAAAAAGATAAGCCATAGAGAAAATATTTGCAAAACATTTATCTGATAACGATTGGTATCCAAAACATATAAGCAATTCTTAAACACAACCTTAAGAAAACAAACAGCTCAATTTAAAAACAGACACCTGAACAGACAATCTGAACAGACACCTCACCAAAGAAGATCTACAGATGGCAAATAAGCATATGAAAAGATGCTCCACATCATATGCCATTACAGAATTGCAAATTAAAACAAGAAGATACCATTACACATATATTAAAATGGCTAAAATCTATGGAACAGTAAAAAGATCGGTGCTTGCCAGAGATTCAGGAGCGGGGAGGGAGGGATGAATAGATGGGATTTTTAGGACAGTAGAACTATTCTGTATGGTACTGTAATGGTGGATACATGTCATTATATCTTTGTCAAAAGCCATATAATGTACAACACAAAGACTGAACCCTAATGTAAACTATGGACTTTGGTTAATAATAATGCATCTATATTGGCAGATCAGTTATAACAAATGTGCCATATTAATGCAAGATTAACGTGTGAAATTAAAGTAATAGAGATTAACATGGGTGAATTAACATGGGAAACTGTATTAATGGGAACTGTACTTTCAGCTCAATTATTCTATAAACCTAAAACTGCTCACAAAAATAGCCTATTAATTTAAAAAGCCTTATCTTCTCTAAGACTCATTTTCCTCATCTCTGAAGTGAGGAGTTGGACTAGATCTCAGAATGAAATCCTGTATTTATAAGTAGAGATAAATTGTTTTTTTATCCCCTTACATTTCCAAAAGGGTTCACTTTATTATTTTTCCCTTTCTCTGCCATGTGGCTTTCAATGATTGCATTGATAGATCAGCCAAGCTGGCATCACTTGGCTGTGGGTGTTCCGGCAAAGAATAGGCTCACACAGAGGATTCAAAAGTTTTCTTTATCAAGTCTTTTTGGTGATCTTTTAAATAAAACTTTGGGGGAAAACGTGTTTCTCAGGTCTAGCAAATGTTTTCTGTTCCTTAGTTTGAAGGTCATTTTGTGTATTCATCTATAATTTAGCTTCAGCGACCTTGAAAATATGATCATTTCAAGTTAGAGTAAATATTCAAATTTTTTGGGGAAATCCTTTATTTTTTTTTCTTTTCTTTCTTTTTTTTTTTGATATAAAGTCTCGCTCTGTCACCCACGCTGGAATGCAATGATGTGACCACAGCTCATTGTAGACTTGACCTCTGGGACACAAGCAATTCTCTCTGGACTATAGGTAAATGCCACCATGTCTGGCTAATTTTTGCATGTTCTGTAAAGACATGGTCTCTCTATATTCCAGGCTGGTCTCAAACTCCTGGGTTTAAGCCATCCTCCCACCTGGGATCCTCCCATGTGGGGATCACAGGAGTGAGCCACTGCACCCGGCCAGGAAATCTTAATTATCCTATGATTTTAGTGAAATCCTTTGTTAACCATGCCATGTAGCCAAATATCACAGTAATTTAGTCTTAAATGAACATAAAGATTTATATAGTAGTGTAAATTGGTCACATGGACTTTATTGTTTCATCCTGGCATTAAATTAAAAGACATTCAAGAGCATCATGGCCATATGAACTCTGCCATTCTAACTTCTCCTTGCTGAAGGGAGGTACAACATTTATATAAGCCACCATGTCCCATTCTCCCTACTGGCAGTCATAAGTGTTTGGTCATGTTTAATGAGTCAAACTGAGTGAAGAATGAGGTATTAGAGAACTAGATTTAAAAAAATCAGCAACCATCATAATGTATATCATAATGTTATTTAAGTTGTAAATGTATAAATGTGCTGTGGATGATTCCTATTGAATCGTTTTTTTTTTTGTGAGACGGAGTCTCATTCTGTTGCCCAGGCTTCCCAGGTTCAAGTGATTCTCCTGCCTCAGCCTCCCAAGTAGCTGGAACTATAGGCGCCTGCCACCACACCTGGTTTTTTTTTTTTGAGACTGAGTCTCACTCTGTAGCCCAGGCTGGAGTGCAGTGGCACGCTCTCAGCTCACTGCAACCTCCGCCTCCCGGGTTCAGGCGATTCTCCTGCCTCAGCCTCCCGAGTAGCTGAGACTACAGGTGCGTACCACCACACCCTGCTAATTTTTTTGTATTGTTAGTAGAGACAGAGTTTCACTGTGTTAGCCAGGATGGTCTCGATCTCCTGACCTCATGATCCGCCCGCCTCAGCTTCCCAAAGTGCTGGGATTACAGGCGTGAGCCATTGCACCAGCCCATATGTTATCATTTAATTCCTAAGGAGTCAGGGTAATTTGAGTTGATGTACCTTAAATTTACATTAAATAGTATTTTGTTTTTCTGGGGGTAACTTAAATTTACATTAAATAGGTGTTGTTTTTCTGGGGGTAACTGTTAACACTAAGTATTTTTGCTTATGTTATATTAATTATTCTTTTCTAGTCAAGAAAGAAGAGACTTGCCCCATCCACCACTTTACTACCATTATAGAAAGGAATGTTAAATATGTATATTTAGATTGCTTACAGCAGTGGCTTTTACATTTTTCTTGGCTGCAACCTATAGTTACGCATACATTTTTCATCTATATGTCTATCTCATCTATCTATCTGATACTGAAACATTTTTTTCAAAAAATAGTACTTATTTTTGTTATGTATAATATACTCTGATATGATCTGTTTTGTTCTATTTCATTTTAAAAAGTGCTGCTCATGACCCTCTAATTTGATTCCACGAATGGGCCAAGACCAGCAGCTCGAAAAATGTGGCTTGGAGAGCTCCAGATAAAATGTGCAGTGAATAGACAAAATTATCACATGTAATGATAAAAATGCACTAAAAGAAGGTTTTTACCACTTCACTTCTGAATAAATGTAAAAATTTAAAACTAACATACCATACACTATTTCTGGGGAGTAGGATTGAGAGATAAATCCTTTTAATTTTAGCTTCAAGATTGTTTGAAAAATAATTTTCACATAGAACTTTTATAGTAAAAAAAAAAAATCTAACATGATATAGTTATTTACCCCAACGAGCTGATGTTGTACTTTCTAAAAGTAATGTTTTATAAAAAATAGTAAAAAATTGGGCGTAACAGGAACATGGAATTATAGGGTATTAGTTGCATAAATTGTAGATTATTCATGGGATGTACTATGGAATCATCATAAATGATTATGTAAGGTCTAGCTCAGTGGTTCTCAACCAGGGGTAATTTTGCCTCCCAGGGGACATTTGCCAATGTCTGGACACATTTTTGGTTGTCATAACTGGGAGAGGGGGATGCTTCTGGCATCTAGTGGGTAGAGGCCAGGAATGCTGCTAAACATCTTCCAATGTAGAAGACAGCCCCCCACAACAAAGAATAATCCCCAAATATCAATAATGCTGAGACCAAGAAACCCTAGTCTAGCTAAAAGGCTATATCTATATTTAACTCATTTTGCAAAGCTGTAAGTAATCTTTTTGGTACATGTACACCCAGAAAAAAAGAAGCTTTCTACCTAGGAAACCAGACTACCTTGTGTCTTGTAATTGTTTAATAAATATTTGTTAAATTATTACATAAGAAAGAAGATGAAATCTGTAAATACTGAAATGGAAAGATGTCCACAATATATTTGACTGAAAAACAAGCAGGTTATAAAACAGTATAAGTGATCTACAGATTTAACGCAATCCCTAACTCAGTTAAATTCTTTGCAGAAATTGATAAGCTGATCCTCAAATTCATATGAAAAGTCAAGGCATCTGGAAAAGCCAAAACAATCTTGAACAAAGCTGGAGGACTCACACTTCCCTAGATCAAGACTTACTACATGCTACAGTGATCAAGACAGTGTGGTACTGGTGTAAGGATACACATATATATTAATGGGATTCCACCAACTGACAAATGGGTAAATAAAATGCATTGTGTCTATACAATGAAATATTGCTTGGCAATAAAAAGAAATGAAGTCCTGATACATGCTACAACATGGATAAACCTTGAAAACATCATACTAAATGAAAGAAGCCAGACACACAAAAAAAACATATTGTATGGTTCCTTTATTTATTTATTTATTTATTTATGAGATGGAGTCTCGCTCTGTCACCCAGGCTGGAGTGCAGTGGCGCGATCTCGGCTCACTGCAACCTCCGCCTCCCAGGTTTAAGCAATACTCCTGCCTCAGCCTCCCATGTAGCTGGTTTTACAGACGTGTGCCACCATGCCCAGCTAATTTTTTTTTTTTTTTTGTATTTTTAGTAGAGTTTCACCATGTTGGTCAGGATGGTCTTGAACTCCTGACCTCAGGTGATCCGCCCACCTTGGCCTCCCAAAGTACTGGGATTACAGGCGTGAGCCACCTCGCCCGGCCGTATGGTTCCATTTATATGAAATGGCCAGAATAGACAAACCCATAAGTACACAAAATAGATTAGTGATTACCTAACGTTGGAAGGTTTAGGGGAAAATGAGGAGTGATTGCTAATTTGTCCACTTTCTTTTAGGAGGTATGAAAATGTTCTATAATTAGACTGTGAATGTACTAAAAGCTAGTCACTTGTATGCTTTAATTGGGTGAATTGTATAGTATGTGATTACATCTCAATAAAGCTAATTTTTTAAAAAAGAAGAGCCAACACGATGTGTCTCTGTGCCCCAGAATGTAGTGGGCTCAGATAAATGTGGAACGTTAGCGGGTCAGCGTGTACCTGGTTTCCAAAAACATTCTTTGTGAAACTCTTGATTGACGAGTTGCAGCTGCAGGAGAAGGGATGTGACTTGGCACTTGCTCCCAGACAGGGACAATGCACCGAACACAGTGTACACACGTAGGTGCCCATTTGAAGGGGTAGCTGTTCTGAGTTGAAGAACTGCACCAGGTTCAACCCAATTCTTGTACTGTGCATGTCCTGCGTGGGGGAGGGACCCGGAAGCTGTGCCAGACCTCAGGAGGCAGCTGCTGTTTGGCCACGTGCATTGCTCACTGAATATCTCTTAAAGTTAAGTAAACCAGTGTAGGGGGAAATGCCATTATGTGTAGTACAACCGTATATTTAGCTGTATTAGTGATTTTATCTGGGTGACAGGATTTTGAGTGATCTTTATTTTCTTTGTATTTCTCTGTGTTTACTGATTTTGTGTGTGTGTGGAAATATTAATATATTAATGTCTTCAGAAAAAAATCTGTACAAAGAGGTTTAGCTGTCCCCCCGCCCCGCCCCTCCCCAGCACCAGGGGTGTTACTGGTGAGGCTGAAATCCCAGGCAGAAGAGTCAGCGGCCGCCCAGGTCCCTCACGTTTTGTGCATCCTGTGGCGAGGGTGCTTGGGGACCCGCAGAACTCAGGCGGGGACTGCTTCGCGGGAAGCCCCACCCCGCCTCCACGGTTCTTCATTTCTAATGCGCAAGCGTGAGAACAGCCTTGCATGGGTGGTAGGTCGGGCATAAACTCTTGGGCTCAGGCTCCAGGCAGGCTAAGCTCTGGTGCCAGCTGTGTGGGGGAGTGCCCGGAAGGGCCAGGTGCCCGGCACCCAGAAACAGGAGTCCCCTTCATCCAGTGGGAAGTGGAGTCTCAGTCTAGTCCTCCCAGTCCCCACAGGGGGAGCCACAGGTTCCAGCTTGTTTGTTGCCAGGTGCCACTGAGAGAGCGCCTGGGATCATTCATCGAATAATCCTGCCCGTCTCTCCGCACTTTTAAACAGCCATATAGTACCATCCTTTGTTTAAACAGAGAACGTCTTTATCCCACAAGGGTAGGTAGTCCAGGAAATACCGAGATATAGGAACAATAGGATTACGGAATCAAACCTTCTCAAACAGATTTTCCTTAGTAGTCTCTAGAGCATTCAAAATGCATATTCTATTTTATGTCTCTTTTCTTTCTAGTAGTCAGATTACTGAAGATTACTAAGCTATCCCTTTTATAAATGTGCTGCTTCGTCAGCTAAACGCAGACCAGTTTCCACCTCTAGCCACGGGAGGGCGCACAAATCAAGTGACGTTTGGTATAACATGTTTTAGGACCTCCTGGCTTGGGTTGAGGAAAAAAACAGGGGCATTGTGGTCCTCTCATGAATGTAGAGCAGCACTATCCAATGGAACTTTCTGCAATGATGGAAATTTCCAATATCTGTGTTGTCCAGCACGTCAGCCACTAGCCACAAGTGGATATGTGGCTAAAATGACTGAAGAAATTAAATTTTAATTTTAGTTCATTTAACTATACATTTATTTTTATTTTTACTTTATTTTATTTTTTGAGACAGGGTCTTGCTCTGTCACCCAGGCTGGAGTGCAGTGGCGAAAGCACGGCTCACTACAACCTCAACCTCCTGGGCTCAAGTAATTATCCCACCTCAGCCTCCCAAGTAGCTGGGACTACAGGCCTGAGCTGCCGTGCATGGCTAATTTTAAATTTTTTTTATAGAGACAGGGTCTCTGTATGTTTCTCAGGCTGATCTCGCACAACCATCTCGGCCTCCCAAAGCACTGGGATTACAAGCGTGAGCCACCGCACCTGGCTAATTAAAAATTTAAATAGCCACACATGGCTACTGGTTACTATATTGGAGAAGAGCATTAGACTGTATAGGAATATTGATTTTTCTGAATGGCTTTACAAAGTTGGCATTTAAACGACTTTGAATCTAACAACAATACCTTAAGGGTAAAGAAAACTAACATTGATGTTCCCACCATTGGCCAGCTTCTGTGCCAGGCAGACTTACATTCCCATCTCATTTAACCTTTGCTATGCCCCTCAGTGAAGGATATTAGTATGCTCATTTCATGAAGATGCAGCAGACCCAGAGAGATGAAGTAACTGGTTCAAAGTCATCAAGAAAGTCACTGAGCTAGATAAATGCATCTAACATTCATTGAGAACCTACAATATGCCAATAAATATTTCAGCAAGGCACTATTACAGACACTGGAAATCTATAATAGAAACCAATGCTAGGCTGGGTAAGGTGGCTCATGCCTGTAATCCCAGCACTCTGGGAGGCCGAGGTGGGCGGATCACCTGAGGTCAGGAGTTCAAGACCAGCCTGGCCAACAAGGTGAAACCCTGTGTCTACTAAAAAAAAAAAAAAAAAAAAAAACCAACCCAGAAATCAGCCGGGCATGGTGGCGGGTGCCTGTAATCCCAGCTTCTGGGGAGGCTGAGGCAGGAGAATCACTTGAACCCGGGAGGCGGAGGTTGCAGTGAGCTGAGATCACGCCACTGCACTCCAGCCTGGAAGGCAGAGTGAGACTCCATCTCAAAAAAAAAAAAGAAACCAATGCTAGATATGGGGACCTTTTTAGCAGATGCTGTCATTTTGTCCTATATAGCATTTTCTGATTTATCAGAGGACAATCCGTACATTTTAGCACATTGTATTCTCAGAGGTAAAAGGTACTTCCACATTAGCCCCTTATTGCTCTCTGATGTATGAAATTCTCTAATCACTGTGAGCTCTGATCAAGGCAGGGAGATAATTGCATTTCATTTCCAACTCTGTCACTAACTAGGCCTATCCCCTTAAGTAGATGGTTTGCTCTTCCGGATCTATAATTTCCTCATTCCTCAAACAATGTTTTTAGCCCAGGAGAGATCCAAAGGTTATTTCGTATTTCACTGATTATGAGACTCATTCTCTTTTTCCCCCACATTTTAACATCTCTGAATTAACGTTCATCTGAAATACGTCATAGTATAGTTGGCAACATATTTTTTCTTAGTTTTATATATAAAATAATGGTGTATCTTATAATCATGGCACCTTGAGCTAGACGAAATATGATCTGTGTAATTTAATAACGTCATTGAAAATATGTATCTTCATATTTATTTTAATATATCTGAATATATTAAAACAGAAACAAAGACAATGACCTTTTATTGTGATTCTAAATCCAATTTAGAATATTAAATTACATATGTTATAATCAGAGCTTGCCCAAGTAACCATGCAACACACAAACTCAAAAATCTCCACTGCAGGCTGGGTGTGGTGGCTCACACCTGTAATCCCAGCACTTTGGGAGGCCAAGGTGGGCAGATCATTTGAGGCCAGGAGTTCCAGACCAGGTGTGCCAACATGGAGAAACCCCATCTCTACTAAAAATACAGAGATTTGCCGGGTGTGGTGGCATGCACCTGTGATCCCAGCTTTTCGGGAGGCTGAGACAGGAGAATCGCCTGAACCTGGGAAGCAGAGGTTGTAGTGAGCCAAGATTGCGCCACTGCTCTCCAGCCTGGGTGACAGAGCAAGACTCTGTCTCAAAAAAACAAAACAAAACAAACAAACAAAACTTCACTGCAGTGTGCTCCCATGTAGAATGGAAGATCAGCAAGATTCATCTTAGACAAAGTTGGGGGATGGGTACAATTTTGTTTCTCTTGAGTTTCACATCCTTTTTCTTTATTTCTCTCCTTCAGGTACTTAAAGCTTTTAAGCAACTTCTCCTCTGTGATGCCTTCTACCCTTTCTTCCCTCCCTAACCCCCATCTCTATCAGCTACACTTGAGAGTCAATTCATTCCAGGGATATTTTCTCATGAAGATTTATGACCAAGGGAATCACCTGGTATTATACCAGTGATGTGTTGGTATATGTTTAATAACCGGCTCTCTGGTGGTGGGGGAAGGCCTGATTTGCAGCACTTGCCAATTTCTGTGGTATAAATACTCCTGCAGTGGCTGATTTCAAGCTACCGATCTGACGTCAGTCACCTCATAAAATTCCTGAAAACTTCACAATGAGCTCTCATGAACCAGTATGACCCTTCTCCAACACATCACTGCTTGGTACAGACCTGATTATTCCATTCTTCTGCCAGAATCCTGTGATGATTTCTGATTGGCTCCAGAGTGGATTCCAGTTTCTCCAGCTTGATATTTAAGAGCAGAATATGATCTCATGGGTGCTGAAGCTTATGCAGTTTGGGGGCCCTCTTTAAGAACAATAATACGAACTTCATAGTACAACATTAGATACAAAAGTGAATAAGTATTTGGAATGAGAAATCACGACACATTACAAATGTTAAAAAGCTGACAAATACCAGAAACATCACAAAATCTGGAAAAATCACATAATATGCTTGGAAGAACTTTCCCCAGGCTTGCTTCTGGCTTTGTGCATTTTAAGCCTTTTTTTTTTTTTTTGAGACAGAGTCTCACTCTGTCGCTCAGACTGGAGTGCAGTGGCGTGATCTCAGCTCACTGCAACCTCCGCCTCCCAGGTTCAAACAATTCTCCTGCCTCAGCCTCTTGAATAGCTGGGATTACAGGCACACACCACCAAGCCTGGCTAAGTTTTGTAGTTTTAGTAGAGACGGGGTTTCACCATGTTGGCCAGGCTGGTTTCAAACTCCTGACCTCAGGTGATCTGCCCACCTTGGCCTCCCAAAGTGCTGGGATTACAGGCATGAGCCACTGCACCTGACCATAAGCCTCGTTTTTTGTCCACTACCCACATCTGGTGCCAGGTGCCCTCAGACATGATCATATTGTGATATGTCCTCTGGCAGTGGGGTGTAGGAGTATTCCTGAGAGCTATTCCTTATTTGGATGGCTAATCAATGACTTAATCATTCATGGAAATGACCGTCAAACATGTATGTTTCTCTAAACCCTAGCCAAATATATCTCCAACTCAACTTCCCCTAGCTAGATCCCCAAAATGCCTGTAGCCACTCTAATGTCACTGAGTATAGCGGGAAGTGTATCAGTCAGGGGTCGATCTGATAAGCAGAACTGCCATGAGAGATCTAGAATAAGGGATTTATTATAGGGATTCGATCCTATGCGACTGGGGGAAGAGTATGTGTAAGCTGTCACCTCCATGTTTATTGTTGAGCCTGAAGTTGCTATAGGTCAGCCAGACCAGCATTTGGAAGGAGAACTGCATGTGGATAACAATTGGAATGCTTACGGACAAACTGGAACACGTGTCCAACCTCTCACCACCTCTTGTCATGGTGTCGTGTGTGGCCTGCACGAGAAGCTGGTACTCTTTGCCACGGAACTACACATGCATTTGACCCAGGCTTTGGAGTCACTGAAGGAGCTGTCCAGTGTCGCCTAAGTGAGGGATCAGATCAGTGACACTGCCTGCAAGCTGCCACAGTGCCTACCCCCACACCCCCAGACTAACCTTCAGAGCTTCAAAAATATGCCCGCTGGTGTACATCTACCCTCCACATCGCCTGCAGAATGTCTCTAGTGGCCAGTGCTAACCTGGAACCACATAGAGCTGAGAACTCTGGGAAAAAGCTCCAGCTTAGCACTATGCTCTGTGCATATATTGAGATGGAGGGGAAGTTGGAATGGAGACAGTGTTTCTAACTGATTGCAGCTTAAGCATTTTACTTTTGCAAATTTATTTTATTTTATTTTATTTTTGAGACAGGGTCTCACTCTGTCGCCCAGGCTGGAATGCAGTGATGCAATCTCGCCTCACTGCAGCCTCAATCTCCTGAGCTCAAGCGATGCTCCCACTTCAGCCTCCCAAGCAGGTGGGACTACAGGTGCATGTCACCATGCCCAGCTAATTTTTGTATTTTTTATAGTGATGGAGTTTCACTATGTTGCTCAGGCTGGTTTCGAACACCTAGGCTCAAGTGAGCCTCCAGCCTTGGCTTCCCATAGTGCTGGGATTACAGGCATGAGCTACCGAACCTAGCCTACTTTTGCAAATTTAAACACATGGCCATGTGCACATTGCTAGGACCTTTCCTTAAGCTTCATTATCTTCATGGTAAATCCATCGTGTCAGACAACCAATAAAATCTGGTTCCAACCTACCTCTCAACCTTATCTGATCTCCCTTCCCTTCGTTTTCTCTCTCTATCTCTCTCTGTCTCAGTCTCTCTCTCTCTCTCTCTCTGACACACACACACACACACACACACACACGCACACACACACACACACATTTACTGAGCTCTTATGCACCAGGCATGTTCTAGGCTCTGGGAATCCAGAAGTGAACAAGACACAAAACTTCCTCGCCTCATGGAGTTTACATTCTAATGGGATGTCGAAGACGAAGCAAAGAACCCCATTTGTCTGTTGGCTGCTTATAAGTGCCCTGGAGAAAAGTAAAGCAAAGAAGGGAGGTAGGGAGGTAGCAGGGAGGATTTTGCGGGGGTTGGTCAGAGAAGGTCTTGCTGAGAAGGTTGAGCAGAAATCTGAAGGAGGAGAGGGAGGGAGCCACATGGCTATCTGGGGACACAATGTCCCAGGCCCAGGGATATAGCGCAAAGTCCCCGAGGCAGGGGAGGCAAGGCGAGGTGGATGGGCTTGTTCTGTTTTTGAAGGACTGGAGCAGAGCAGCTCTGCACTGCAAGGTCACTGAGCTATGGCAATCAGTGGGCGAAGAGGTCAGCAAGGTGGGTGTGGGTGGCTCAGGCAGGGCCCTGTGAGCCATTAGCCTTTCCTTCCAAGTGCAACTTTCAGTTTTAAAGGATCACTTGGCTTTCTATGCTGAGACAGACTGTAGGGGGACAAGGATGGACTTAGGGGCCCCAGTTAGGAGGCCTTCACAGTCATCCCAACCACTACGCTCTGCTCCGAGTTTGCCCAGCAGACCCTGCTCTGTCCTGTTGCTTTGCTTTTGTTATTTGATCCCCACCTGCCTAGATTAATCTTCCTGCTTTCTCTTTTCTTCTCAATTATGCCAAATTTGATGTCTTGATTTGATTTAAATTTCCTGTTAAAATTTTGATAGCATAATTTTATTTTTGCAAGACTTCCTCCTGAACCTGATAAGAGACAGTAGGTGAACTGATTACGTGACAAGGTGTCTTTAAAAAGGGAGACTAGGATCTCCCCAACAGGGCCTGGAGTACCGCTTACATCCCTAAGCCTCACTCACCTCAGCCTAGTCTGGACCCTGCAGGTAGATCCCCACAGATGACATCACAAAGGGAAATTAGTAACATTATCATGATAACCTGACAGACACTAGACAGCATCTTACCCAAGTGATCAAAGCAAACATCACCAGCAATCGGGCAAGTTGACGTCATGAACCTTCTGATGTGGTTCCCCGAGAAGAACACATCATCTCTTATGTGGTATCCCCATCCAAAAATGTATAACTCGGTTGGGCGCGGTGGCTCACGCCTGTAATCCCAGCACTTTGGGAGGCCGAGGCGGGCAGATCACTTGAGGTCAGGAGTTCCAGACCAGACTGACCAACATGATGAAACCGTGTCTCTTCTAAAAATACAAAAAATTAGCCAGGCGTGGGTGTGGGTGCCTGTAATCCCAGCTACTGGAGAGGCTGAGGCATGGGAATCACTTGAGCCCAGGAGGCAGAGGTTGTACTCAGCCGTTATTGTGCCACTGCACTCCAGCCTGGGCGATAGAGGGAGGCAAGACTCTGCCTAAAAAAAAAAATGTGCCAGCCTGGCCAACATGGCGAAACCCCGTCTCTACTAAAAATACAAACATTAGCCGGGCATGGTGGCGGGTGCCTGTAATCCCAGTTACTCAGGAGGCTGAGGCAGGAGAATCGCTTGAACCTGGGAGGTGGAGGTTGCAGTGAGCTGAGATCGTGCCACTGCACTCCAGACTAAGTGATAGAGCGAGACTCTGTCTCAAAAAAAAAAAAAGTGTAGCTCAATCTACTCTTGAGAAAACATCACACAAACCCAGACTGAAGGATTTTCTGCAACATATTAACAGAACCATTTCAGATGAAAGGAGATTGAAGAGCCATGACATGATATATGCCATGTGTACTTGTGGATTAGATCCTGGACTGGGAGAAAGTGCTGGAAAGGACATTATTGATACAATTAAAAATTTTGAATATGAGCTGTAGATTGGATAATAGTGTTATAGCACCTTTAAATTTCCAAATTCTTGTGATTGAACTGTGATTATGTAAGAGAATGTTCTTGTTTTTTGGGACGTACACTCTGAAGTATTTAGGGGGTAAAGGGACATGATAAACTTACTCTCTTATAAATCAAAACTATTTATAGCTATCTACATTCATCTATCATCTGTCTATCTATCTATCTAGAGATGGTAAAATGTTAACAATTGATAAGTTTGGGTGAAGGGGGTATATGGAAATTCTTTGCACTATTCTTGCAACTTTTCTGCAAGTTTGAAATTATTTCACAATAAAAACTTTTTCCAAAAAGTGACTACAATTTTAAAATTCTAGATGAAGGGACTGGAGATTAGAATCTTTCTTTATAACAGGCATCTCCTTTGGTTCTGAAATAACCATGAGTGTTATCAAATAATCATCTCTCTGCAACAACAGAGCGGTTCAATCATTAATTTTTTGATAGCTTTGAACCTTGCAGTTTTCATTTGCATCTTAGGTCCACTAGCTCTGTTGAAGTGGGCAATTAATAAGGTTCAAACAGTTATAAGTTTAAATGTCTGACCAACCTGCTTATCTTTAATTGTTTGAGAAGACCAGAATGCTCAAGGAAAAATTGCTTTATGTAAAAATAGCATGTTATTAATAAGTGAAGTAACTCCGTATACAGGCATACAGTTTTTTCTTTTTAAAAATATGTTATGTATTTATTTATTTATTTGAGCTATCTACTACCAAAAGGAATATTTACTTTTAAAACTAGAGATGGCAGTCTCACTATGTTGTCCAGGTTGGTCTCGAACTCCTGGGCTCAAGTGATCTTCGTGCCTTGGCCTCCAAAAGTGCTGGGATTACAGTGGTGAGCCACCATGCCCAGCTGAGGCACACATTGCATGCTTTATTTATTTATTTATTTATTTATTTATTTTAACACCACTAGAATTTAGAATAGGACTTGGAATACAATGATAGTCTGTCAATTGTCAACCTTGGCTACACATTGGAATCACCTGAGGAATTTTAAAAAATGCTGATGCTTGGGTTTTCCCCCCAAATTTTGACATAATTAGTCTGCTGTGCAGTGTGAGATATTTAAAAGCACCCCGGATGAGCACACTGCAGTGGAGATTTCTTTCTTTTTTTTTTTTTTTTTTTTTGAGACAGAGTCTCGATCTGTCACCCAGGCTGGAGTGCAGTGGTGAGATCTCGGCTCACTGCAACCTCTGCCTCCCAGACTCAAGTGATCTTCCTGCCTCAGCCTCCTGAGTAGCTGGGACTACAGGTGCATGTCACCACACCCAGCTAATTTTTGTATCTTTAGTAGATATGAGGTTTCACTCTGTTGGCCAGGCTGGTCTGAAACTCCTGACTTCAAGCGATCTGCCCACCTCGGGCTCCCAAAGTGCTGGGATTACAGGCGTGAGCCACTGTGCCCAGCGTAGTACATGACTTTTGCACATGCTCTTTCCTTGTCTCTTTGCCTGAATAGCTATTTATGTGTCCTTCAAATATCTGTCCAAGTGTCACTTCTTCAGGGAAGCCTTCTCTGACCTTTGACCTTCCTGACCATGTCACATACCCTATTAAAAGCTCTCATGGATTAGCTGGGTGTGGTGGCATGTGCCTGTAGTCCTAGCTGCTTGGGAGGCCGAGGTGGGAGGATCACTTGAGCCCGGGAGTTGGAGGCTGCAGTAGAGCCATGATCACATTACTGCACTCTAGCCTGGGTGATAGAGCAAGACGCTGTCTAAAAAAATATATATATAAAATTGCTGGGCCTGGTGGCTCATGCCTGTAATCCCAGCACTTGGGAGGCCAAGGCGGGCGGATCACCTGAGGTCAGGAGTTCAAGACCAGCCTGGCTAACATGGCGAAACCCCGTCTCTACTAAAAATACAAAAATTAGCCAGGCGTGGTGGCTGGTGTCTGTAATCCCAGCTCCTCGGGAGGCTGAGGCAGGAGAATCACTTGAACCGGGAGGCAGAGGTTGCAGTGAGCCGAGATTGTGCCACTGCACTCGAGCCTGGGTGACAAAGGGAGACTCTACCTCAAAAAAAAAATATATGTATATATATTAAATAAATAAATAAATAAATAAATAAATAAAAAGCTCTCACAGAGCATGTGTTTGTGTGACTATTCAAGAAATATCTGGCTTCACTGAAGCTCCGTGAAGGACAGGACTTTGATTTTGGTCATAATTGTCTCCCCTGTTCCTGATTGTGTCTTGCATAATAATATGTTAAATTTCATTAATTTAACATATTAAATTACACCTGCTTCACCAGGATGATCCATGTCATGAGCCTTAACTGTTTTGCTGCTGAGTTTACTAAAATTACATTTAGGATTTAGCGTCTATATTCATAAGTGACACTGGCTGGGAATTTTCAGTTTTTAGGCCTGTATCTGCCATGGGTCAGTCAGGAGACAGAAACCACATCAGTCACTTAAGCAGAAATTAATGTAAAGGATCTTGACCTAGGAAAGACTCAAAAGAGAACTCTAAGGTGAGCAAAGGAAGGCTGAGTGAACAAAGGAAGAGGTTGGAATTACTAAAACTTAGAAACGTCGAGGAAGGAACTGGGACCCAGACCTCAGGGGAGAGGGCGCCATCCCCTGCTGCAAGGAACTGCTGCAGTCAAGATGTAGAAAGCAGATGGGGAGGAGCAAGACTATTTTCCCTTTTCCCGATTTACAGTCTCTATCTAGCTCCCCCTACTGGCAGAGCCTAGCAGAGAGCAGCTGACAAAGCGGAAATGTTTGCAGAGTCCCAGCCCTGGCAAGGACCAGTTTGGAACTGGGAGACAATAACGTACTATCGGGCCCAAGGTCTTCGAAAAATAATCTTTTCCTACATGTACCATAGATTGTTACAATTTATATAATCCCAATTTATCCCCTTATTAGATGTGTATTTTTTGGATGAGTTTTTAAATTTTCCACTCTGTTTACTCATCTACAATAAGAGAGCAATAATCCTGTACCTATCTCATAGTGTTATTATTTGCAAGTTTCAAATACATTCTCTGAGAAACACAGCAGTTTTGGGTGCTTTTACTCTTGGAAGGTCTTTTACAGATTGTTCTCCACTGTTATTAGTGCTTAATTTGTTGTTGTCACATTTATTTTTATAAAGAACCATCGTGTGTTTACCTTATCCAGAGTCAAGAAGACTAAGCCCACCTCAAACTTAACATGTCTAGAGTTGAACTCTTAATCCCTGTGCACAACCTTTACCTTATTTCCCTGCCCAGTTGTCCTTATCTCAGTAAAGGGCAATGCCAACCAACTCATTATTCAACCAGAAACCTTGGAGTCATCCTCAATTTTAAAAAAAGTTTATTTATTTATTTATATTTATATTTATTTTATTATTTTTTTGAGACGAAGTCTCACTCTTGTCACCCAAGCAGGAGTGCAATGGTGGGATCTCCACTCATGGCAACCTCCATCTCCCGAGTTCAAGCGATTCTCCCGCCTCAGCCTCCCGAGTAGCTGGGATTACAGGCGCCCGCCACCACACCCGGCTAATTTTTGTAGTTTTTTAGTAGAGACGGGGTTTCTCCATGTTGGCCAGGCTGGTCTCGAACTCCTGACCTCAGGCCATCCACCCGGCTCAGCCTCCCAAGTGCTGGGATTACAGGCGTGAGCCACCACGCCCAGCCAAAAAGTTTATTTTTTAATGATTATGCATGTTGTGAGTCATCAGCCATCCAATTATAAGTGCCTGTTTCATCGAAGTCCTTCAGAATGATTTCTTAAAATTTAAATCACAAATGGCAGTATAACTTTTCTTTCTTTTTCTTCTTTTTTTTTTTTTTTTTTTTGAGACAGAATCTTGCACTGTCGCCCGGGCTGGAGTGCAGTGACGTGATCTCAGCTCCCTGCAACCTCCACCTCCCAGGTTCAAGCGATTCTCCTTGCTTCAGCCTGCCAAGTAGCTGGGATTACAGGCGCCCGCCACCATGCCCGCTAATTTTTTTGTATTTTTAGTAGAGACTGGGTTTCACTATGCTGGCCACACTGGTCTCGAACTCCTGACCTTGTGATCTGCCCGCCTCAGCTTCCCAAAGTGCTGGGATTACAGGCATGAGCCACTGCGCCCAGCCAACATTTCTTTCTAGAATAGTCTTTACATTTCTTTCTTTTTTTTTTTTTTTTTTTTTTTTTGCCATTTTGATCTAGGGGTATTTAGTGATTTTTTAATTGCTAAAGACACAAAAGAATCTATTAGTATTTGGTGAATGTGGGTTTTCCTTTTCAGCAATTTCTTTTGATTCTACCTCTAAAATGTATCTTGAGAGCCCTCCAATTCTTTCCATCTTCATGGCCACCAGCCCAGTCCCAGCCACCATTAACTTTCACCTGATCAGAGCCACAGGCTCCCACCTGGTCTTCCCAACACCACTCATGAACATTCCAATCCATTTCTCATAAAACATCAAGGGATAGTTGATTAATTTTCTTCCCTTCATTAACTCTTCTTATGCCTTTCCATTGTACCTTGAATGAAGTCCAAACTCCTTATCATAGTCTCTAAGGCCTTACGTGATTGGACTCCTGCTTACATCTCAGGGACGTTTCATATCAAACTTCCCTTTGCTCACTGTGCACCAAGAACATTCTGATCTTTCAGATCACTGAGCTTGCCCATTTTTATTCCACCTTAGGGTCTTTGAACTTACTGTTCTCTTTCAGCCTCTCCACAACCCCAACCCCACTCCTCCTTCTCTTCCTTTGAGTCTCAGCTTAAATGTCATTTTCCCAGGGAGACCTTTGTCAACCACCTGATATAAGTCAGTTGACTGCCCTCCCTATTACTTTCTAGGCTAGTTTCATACTGCACTTTCTTCCTAGTGCTTATCACACTGCGTGAATTTTCTTTGTTTATTTACTTTTGTCAGTATTCCTTGCTAGAAAGTAAGTGCCAAAATTCTAGAATCATTTGTGTCTTGTTCACTGTCTTGTACCTATTATCTGACATGGTGTCTGTCCCATAGCAGGTACTCAAGACACCCCTCCATCTGGCAGGCTGGAAATTGAGCAGGGAGAATGCAGGAGACTGTTTCGGGTGGCCGAGATGATGGTCTGGCTGCTCTTTCTACCCTGGCATGGGCAAAGCCCAAGTCCTACAGGTGGGGAATGCGTCAGCTTGGGCTCATGTACTTATGGTTCTTTTTTTCCACTGGGGGTGGGGAGGACCTACAAGATGTCAGAGGAAGTTGACCAGAGTCACCAGAGTGACCAGAGTCACCTATGCAAGTTCCCTTCACTGCCAAATGAATAAAAGGAAAAAGAAGATTGCAGCCAGGCACGGTGGTTTATGCCTGTAATCTCAGCACTTTGGGAGGCCAAGGTGGGTGGATCACCTGAAGTCAGGAATTCGAGACCAGCCTGGCTGGCCAACATGGTGAAACCCCGTCTCTACCAAAAATACAAAAAAAAAAAAAAAAAAATGAGCCAGGCGTGGTGGCATGAGCCTGTACTCCTAGCTACTCAGAAGGCTGAGGCGGAAGAATCGCTTGGGCCCAGGAGGCAGAGGTTGCAGTGAGCCGAGATTGCACCACCGCACTCCAGCCTAGGCCAGAGAGAGACTCCGTCTCAAAAACAGAAAAAAAAAAAAAAAAGAAGATTGCTAACATCTTTAGGAGACATGTAGAAGGTAAGCTGTAGAGGATTATGGATGGGCTTGGAAACTAGTTTGCAGACTACTGTGGTAATCCAGCAGAGACAGAGAGGATGTGCTTTGGATGGGGTAGTAGCAGTAGAGATATAAGAAGTGATTGTATTTGAGATGTACCAGAAAGATCTTGTAACGATGTTATGTCATTCTTGCTACTTAATTTGATTTTTGTTCTATGAACTGAGGACCCCCATCCACTCTGCCCTGATCGTCTATTTACATTCTCTGAGGTTTATATATCTACAGGACTCTTGAGAAAGTTTCTTTTTTCTTTTTTTCTTCTTCCTCATTCTGTTGCCCAGGCTGGAGTGCACTGGTGTGATCATGGCTCACTGCAGCCTTGACCTCCTAGGCTCAGGGGACGGTCCTGCCTCAGCCTCCCTAGTTAGTAGCTGGGACTACAGGTGCATGCGCCACATCTGGCTCATTTATGTATTTTTTGTAGAGACGGAGTTTCATCATGTTGCCCAGGTTGGTCTTGAACCCTTGGACTCAAGTGATCCTCCCGCCTCTGCCTCCCAAAGTGCTGGGATTACAATCGTGAGCCACCACGCCCAGCCAGGCAAGTTTCTTAAAACCTCCAAGGCTTAGGGTACTCATGTATAAATTGCAGCAATATTGTGGTGTGGATTTCCTGGCAATACCAATGGGTAGCTTGGGAGTTTAGGTCTCCCCCGAATAATCTTCACTGGGTAGGCTTATTCTTAGTTATAGACAACTGACATCTTCTCAATATTTTGAAATTGCTGTGCAAATACAGATTCAAACAGATAGCTATTTCTAGGCACTATATGGAAATTTGGAAGCAGCTATTGTGTGGATATGAAGAAAGTTATTTTAACACAACTTAAATCAACTAGCCTAGTGCTCTGATAGGCACTGGAAAATGTGACTTTCTAACACTTACACCTTATTAATTATTGAAGAAATAATTAAAATGAAAACCAGAATTAATTTCTCACCCAAATTAAAAAAGATAGAAAACAAAACAAAATGAACAACTACAGAAACCCATGGGGCCTTTGAGGCTTTGGTGAAATGACCACTCAGACAATGTTGATGGGTGTGTAAACTGGTATGAAATCCTTCATGTGAGTTGGTGATGTGTATTGGTCCTCAATGATATTCACACCTTTTGATCCAATTGCTCTGCTTCATGAGAATGTTATATGGAATAATCCTAAAGTTGAAGAAACCTTTGTGCTTACGAGGGATTTTTTGTTCCATTTCTCTGGACCGTGAACCATGTATTTCCAAAGTATAAATAAATTTGCTGTCTGAGAAAAGATGCTGCCCAGGTGATGAGGGCCCCAGCCTCTCCAGATCCCCTTCCCAGTTGCTCTGCAGTCCAAACCCAGTCCCCTTAGAAAGCTGCTAAGCCTCAGAAATGAGACTTGGCTGTCAGAGTCGGAGAAATAGTTGAGGAGAACCAGCCCACTCCCATCTCCTGCTGTGATTCTAGCACAGCTTGGGCCCAGCTCTGGCCAGGTGCTCACCCTCTCTGTTTGACCATGCTCCAAAGGGAGGGGCAGGAGCCACAAGTCCCTGACCTGGCCACACCACATGGTCATGCCCGGGTGACTCCTGGCCCACTGCTCCCAGCTGCCATGAAGAGCCAGCCACCCAGGTCCCCTGAGCTACTGCCAAGTGTTAGTGGGGAGTGGCCTGCTTTCAAGCTGCTCCCCTTGGCTGGTCACTGCTGCCTCTGGGCCATAAAGTACTCCTCCTCCCCATTGTCATCTTCCTCCTGCTGGCCGCTTCAGGGCAGTGGCTCCAGGTGGGAACTGGAGCCCAGCCCTTTCAAGGGTTCAGAGCTGTCATCACCTCTGGAGTGCAGGGCTTTGAGGATATTCCTGAGAGGCAGAGAAGGAAGCCCAGCCAGTTCAGGTGGCTGATCTGATCACCCAGCAGATGAGCTGCCAACAGCAAAGTGCAGACTTCCTTCCAAACGCCAGCAATGGAGAGAGTGAGGCTGGAGGGTCTGGAGACCAGGATGAACTCAGAGAAGTCCAAACCAAAGGTGAGATGCCCACCAAGGAAGAGGCTCCCAAGTACCCCAGGAGCAGCCCTGTATCCTGGAAATGAAATATTTCCCCACACATGGACAAATGGCGACTTTCACATACAGCAAAGAGAGGGAAAAGCCCCAGAAACGTGAGTGGCTGCAGGTGGAACATGCTGTCGATGGAATCCTGGAAGCCAAGATCAGCCTTCTGCAGGAATGTCCGGGTGAGGGTTCAGCGAATGCCACCAATGAGCAAGGTCCCCAGCACCAAGGCAAAGCCCTCCACATTGGGCTGTGTGGACTTGAAGGTGAACATGAAGAGACCCCCGGCGATGAGGAGGATCACAAGGACCAGTGTCATTGCAGCTCCTCCAGCTTGGAGATCAGAGAGAAGATTGATGATGAAGAGGACAGCTAAAGATTTGGTTATTGTGAAGCTCCAGTTGGACAACCCTATGTCAAGTGCTGTTGCCAGTGCTGTGGGAGCCACTCTTCTGAGGTAGTAGGTCCAGCTCAGCACCTCGAGGGTCTTGTGGCTGGATCATTCAACCAGCGCCCTTCATTGTGGAAGGCGATGCCTGCCAGTGCAGAAGCATAGTCAACATTGCCTTCCACCCAAAGGTCACAAGAGGGCCCACCTCCCTATCCATGGAAGCTGCTACGCCCTGGATCCTGGATCAGCGGGGGCAGGCACCTCTCTTAAAGACAGTTTGCAGGAAGAGCTGATTGAGGTAGACTATGGCTTTCAACAAGAACGTCACCTGGCTAGAGAAGTCCTCTTCACCTTCATGATTCAGAACCATCAGCGGAGCCCCAGGCAGAGTTCTCACCAAAGGGGCCGGTAGCCTGAGCCAACCCCTTCAGCAGTTAACTGGGTGCAGGGCTCACAGGTCCCCAGGTCTGCTCTGACTAGGGTGCCTACTCTTAAAGCTTTTAAAGGTTTATTACATCATATACCTAATTTTTCAACAACAGCGAAGGAATTATAGTTCATTTGCCAGATCAGATGGACTATTACCCAGCCATTAAACATGGTATATTTAAAGTGTAACATATACGAAAATATACTTTTTTTTTTTTTTTTGTAGAGACAGAGTCTTGATCTGTCGTCTAGGCTAGAGTACAGTGGCACGATCTTGGCTCACTGCAACTTCCTTCTCCTGGATTCAAGTGATTCTCCTGCCTCAGCCTCCCGAGTAGCTGAGATTACAGCCACCTGCCACAACACCTGGCTAGTTTTTGTATTTTTAGTACAGACGGCGTTTCGCAATGTTAGACAGGCTGGTCTTGAACTCCTGACCTCAAGTGATCTGCCTGCCTCAACCTCTCAAAAGGCTGGGATTATAGGTGTGAGCCACTGTGCCTGGCCGAAGATATACTTGTTTAATACAAATTAAAAAGCGGGCTGCAAAACTGTCCATATATATTGATTATAAACATATAGAGAAATCTGGGCAGATAAGATTGGAAATAGGCCAGGCGCGGTGGCTCACACTTGTAATCCCAGCACTTTGGGAGGCTGAGGAAGGCAGATCACTTGAGGTCAGGAGTTCGAGACCAGCCTGGCCAACATGGTGAAACCCTGTCTCTACTAAAAATACAAAAAATTAGCCGGGTGTGGTGGCGGGCGCTTGTAATCCTGGCTACTTGGGAGGCTGAGGTAGGAGAATGGCTTGAACCCAGGAGGCAGAGGTTGCAGTGAGCTGAGATTGCACCATTGCACTCCAACCTGAGCAACAAGAGTGAAACTCCGTCTCAAAAAACTTAAAAAAATAAATTGGAAATAAAAATACTAAAAAAGCTTATAGTAGTTATATTTAGGTAGTATAATTATGAGTGACATGCCTCCTTCTCTCTAGCATTCTGAGTTTCCCTAATGATTATGCATTAATACAAATGATTGATGTAGTATGCATTACTCACATATCTGGAGTGGGTGCTGGCTGTTGGCTAGAGTGATGAAGGTGACTGGATTACATGTCTCTGGAAGGGCATCCTGGCCTTGTCCACAAGGTGATGACTGCATGGGTCCCAGGAAAAACCCCAAAGTGCAAGGACTTTCTTTTTTTTAAATTATAGTTTTTAGCCGGGTGCAGTGGCTCACTCTTGTAATCCCAGCACTTTGGGAGGCTGAGGCGGCTGGATCACTTGAGGTCAGGAGTTTGAGACCAGCCTGGACAACACGGCAAAACCCTGTCTCTACTAAAAATACAAAAATTAGCCAGGCGTGGTGGCACACGCCTGTAATCTCAGCTACTGGGGAGGCTGAAGCAGGGGAATCGCTAGAACCCGGGAGGCAGAGGTTGCAGTAAACTAGGATTGCACCACTGCACTCCAGTGTGGGCGACAGTGAGACTTTGTCTCAAATAAATAAATAATAAATAAATAAATTATAGTTTTAGTGCTTAAGTCTTTCTTTATATATGTGTAATATATTTTTTTTTGAGACAGAGTTTTGCTGTTGTTGCCCAGGCTGGAGTGCAATGGTGCGATCTCGTCTCACTGCAACCTCCGCCTTCCAGGTTCAAGCAATTCTCCTGCCTCAAGCCTCCCGAGTAGCTGGGATTACAGGTATGCGCCACCATGCCTGGCTAATTTTGTATTTTTAGTAGAGACAGGGTTTCTCTATGTTGGTCAGGCTGGTCTCAAACTCCCGACCTCAGGTGATCCGCCTGCCTCGGCCTCCCAAAGTGTTGGGATTAAAGGCATGAGCCACTGTGCCCGGCCTATATGTATAATAAATTATATCTTATTCAGAAAAATGCATAAAATGTTCTGTTTTACATTTAGATAAACATCATATAAAGTTCTTTAGACTGGAGGCTCACAGTAATGAACAGACATTGTGCATTTCATAGTCTCCCTGTGGTGCTCTACCCTGACTTCATTTGCCTTCTGTCATCAGAGGTGACCACTATCTATCATTCTGTGGATATTTTTTATGGCCTTACTATCCACTATTTATCACCAAGCAGTGTTTTATTTAATGTTGCCTCATTTGCACTTTCCATGAAAGGAAGTAAATGGATTGGCATCCCTTTGTTTTTTTCCCCCTAGGATATTTCACACCTGCTGGTGTCTGAGTCTTGGACAACCCAATTTGCTCATCCATTCCATTTATTATAGTATTTGGCTTTCTTTGATTTTATGTTCTTCTCTTATGAAAAATGTTGCTCGAACCATACTTAAGTTTGCAAGTGCCTATACATAACAAATTTTCCACATTAGAGAAAATTTGCTGGGCTGTAGGTTCTGGGAAACTTCAAGATTACCAGTAATTTCTAATACAGTGTATGAGTTGACCCTTCCACCATTCTTGCACATGTGTCTATTTATTCCATATAATTGGCAACATTGGAACTATCTAATGTTTTAATGAATTATTTTTGTCTATCTAGTGTATGTGAAATGGGATCGTCTTGTGTTTTTATATTGGTTTTTACTAATTAACTATGAAGTTAATAAATTTTCATGTATAGTCTTTGAACTTCTGTGAAACAGTTTCCAGTCAATGTCTTACATTTAGTTCATTTGTTTGTTAGTTTCTCTCAATTTCCTTATGTACTCTTATTATTTCTGTGCAGGTTTGCTGTGGACCTGCTTTCAACTCATCAAATACAAAGGAGTCCTATTGCTGGATCATAGTGTATAGTGTCTTTATTACTGCAGTGCAAGCACTTTCCAAGTGTCATGTTTGTTATTTACCCACTGTCCAAAGCAAGTCACGTGGCCAAGCTCAAGAGTCAGAGTGGAGAGAACTACCCAACGCAGGGATATAGGGAGGGGGATGATGGTACCCATTTTGAAGAGATCTACCCAAGGCAGGGATATAGGGAGGGGAATGATGGTACCCATTTTGAAAACAATCTATTGCAGTAATCATAGACCATAGTAATTGCTCAGAATCAGGATGATTTAGGCTAGGAAATAAATAAAAATGGCCAGCCCATGGCTTCTGCGTCCCTCTAAGATAAAGTTCAAAGTCCTTAGCTGTGATACATGACTACCTGCTATATGTTATCTCACTATAATGCCTTCTCCCCACCTCAAAACTATAGAGAATGGGCACACAGAGCTTTTTTAATGGGGAATGCACCTTGCTATTTCACACCCTGTATCATTGCTCCACACCCTGTATCATTGCTCCTGCTGGTTCAACTGGCATATAATCCCCCACCCTGAGTCCCACAGACTAACCCACCATTGATCTTTGAACATCTTTAGAGACACAACAGGATTTACCTCCTCAAAGAAGCCTACCCTCTGCTTTGGATAGAATTGAACATTCATTTCTTTGGAAGTCATAGAGCCACATGCAGTTTTTTTGTTTTTGTTTTTTGAGACAGGGTCTTGCTCTGTCACCCAGGCTGGAGTGCAGTGGCGTGATCACAGCTCACTGCAGTCTCGACCTCCTAGGCTCAAGGGATCCTCCCTCCACAGCCTCCCGAGTAGCTGGGACCACAGGCACGCACCACCATGCCTGGCTAAATTTTTATTTTTAACATCTTTCTATGTTGCCCAGGCTGGTCTCGAACTCCTGGGCTCAAGCAATCCTCCCGCCTCGACCTCCCAAGGTTCTAGGATTACAGGTGTGAGCCACGGTGCTGGCCCAGATTTTTAATTTTACACCTAAATAACTTTAGTGCTCATTTGTTAATGTGCCCGTCTCCCTTTTGGTAGACTCTAAGATCCTCAAAGGTAGGGACTATATCTTTCTTATATTCATATTTTCCTTCCTTCCTTCCTTCTTTCGTAGATGGAATCTTGCTCTGTCATCCAGGCTAGAGTGCAGTAGCGTGATCTCGGGTCACTGCAACCTCCGCCTCCCGGGTTCAAGCAATTCTCCTGCCTCGGCCTCCTGAGTAGCTGGGATTATAGGCGCCCACCACCATTCCTGGTTAATTTTTGTAGAGACGGGGTTTCACCATGTTGGTCAGGCTGGTCTCGAACTCCGGACCTCAGGTGATCCGCCCACCTCGACCTCCCAAAGTGCTGGGATTACAGGCGTGAGCCACTACGCCCGGCCAGTATTTTCATGCATGGATAGTTGTTCAAATTGATGCTTTGGCAGAGGTGGTGGTGGGGCAGTCATTGGAGAGTCCTATTCCACCATCCTGCTCCGACTTCCCCCATTTTATTTGCTTTGTGAAACAACAAGCTGGAAATACTGAAAACTTCATAGCAAACTTTGTGAGAAAGAAACCTACTACTACTTAACACTGAAAACAGAAATATATAGCTTTGGGCCAGGCACAGTGGCTCACGCCTGTAATCCTAGCAGTTTGGGAGGCTGAGGTGGATGGATCACCTGAGGTCAGGAGTTCAAAACCAGCCTTGGCCAATATGGTGAAACCCTGTCTCTACTAAAAATACAACAATTAGCTGGGCCGTAGTGGTAAGTGCCTGTAATCCCAGCTACTCGGGAGGCTGAGTCAGGAGAATCGCTTGAGCCTGGGAGGCGGAGGTTGCAGTGAGCCGAGATCGCACCACTGCACTCTAGCCTGGGCAACAGAGTGAGACTCTGTCTCAGAAAAAAAAAAAAAAAAATTTTGCAGCCCTAACAGAAACAAAACTCAGCTTGACATATTAAATGTAGAAATCATTACCTAGGTAGAAAATTTTAAACTTTGTCAAGTTTCTTTAGAATGGACACCCATTAAGAGTTATAACAACATTTAAATTCAGAAAATCAATCATCTCAAAAAATTTTAACAGCTCAAATATTTTTCATAATTATGTTTGTGAAAGAAATGAAAACGAAAAGCCCAGGAAGCAGGGTGATACTATTGCTAGTTATAATTTCTATTTTTAACACCCTAAATTTCTTAGTTCTCATTTCTTCTTGCATTTCAGCTTGTGGTTGGCTTTGCAAAGCTAACATTTTCTTTGGTGACAGTTTTTAAAACGTAAGCCAGAAGACTTTGGTCAGGAGCTTCCCCATTCCATAGAACATCTGAGAACTTAAAAAAAATGGTATTTAAATTGCACTAAGAAGATAAAGTAGTGTGATATTTTGATAGGTGCTTATTTTTGTTTTGTTTGCTTTTAACTTCTGGACCTATCCCAATGTTTTCCAGGATCCTCAGAACATATGGGTGGTCTTTTCTTTTAAAAATATATATAAACCCGGCCGAGTGTGGTGGCCCATGCCTGTAATCAGGCTGAGGTGGGAGGATCACTTGAGCCCAGGAATTTGAGACCATTCTGGGCAGCATAGTGGGACCCTGTCTCTACAAAAAATAAAAAATTAGCCCAACATGGTGGCACATGCCTGTGGTCCCAGCTACTTGGGAGGCTGAGGCAGGAGGATCACTTGAGCCTGGGAGTTTGAGGCTGCACTGAGCTATGATCATGCTACTGCACTCCAGCCTGAGTGACGGAGCAAGATACTGTCTCCAAGAAAAAAAAAGTAGGGGGAGGGCGGTTTTTTTTTTATTACAGTCTCTTTCAGCAAGAAAATAAAAGCTTTCCCAGAAGCATCCTAGGAGAATTCTTCCCTTCATTTTGTTGGCCAGTGTTGGGTAATGTGGCCATTATTAGATGCAGGGGGTCTGGGAAAGTGGATAAGAGGAGCATAATAGCTAATGTCAGATTGTTCCCTAAATAAAATGGGAGTTGTATCAATAAACAGAAGGTTTGTGGAGGAGGTGGGGATGAGATGGCAGTTAGGCAGGCAAAGTACATCACCTGCCATGATGCAATATTTGTGTAGCTAAAAACTTGTAATGCGGTTAGATAGAATGAATATGTTCTAGTGTTCCATAGCACAGCAGGGTGACTGTAGTTAATGATATAGTGTGGATACTTGTTCCCACACAAATCTCATGTGGAATTGTAATCCCCAATGCTGGAAGTGGGGCCAGTGGGAGGTGATTGGATCATGGGGGCAGATCCCTCATGAATGGCTTAGGCCATCCCCTTCATGATACGTGAGCTCTTGCTCTGAGTTCACATGAGATGCTTTGTTTAAAAGCATGTGGCTGGCCGGGTGTGGTGGCTCACGCCTGTAATCCCAGCACTTTGGGAGGCTGAGGTGGGTGGATTGCCTGAGCTCAGGAGTTCGAGACTAGCCTGGGTAACATGGTGAAACCCCATCTCTACTAAAATACAAAAAATTAGCCGGGTATAGTGGCATGTGCCTGTAGTCTCAGCCGCTTGGGAGGCTGAGGCAGGAGAATTGTTTGAACCCGGGAGACGGAGGTTGCAGTGAGCCCAAATCGCACCACTGCACTCCAGCCTCGGTGACAGGGGGAGACTCCTTTTCCAAAGAAAGAAAAAAGCATGTGGCAACTCTCTCCCAACTCTCTCTTGCTTGCTCCTGCTTTTGCCATGTGACATGCTTGTTCCCCCTTCACCGTCTGCCATGATTGAAAGCTCCCTGAGGTTTCACTGGAAGCCAAGCAGATGTCAGCACCATGCTTCCTGCAGAACCATGAGCCAATTAAACCTCTTTTCCTAGTCTCAGGTATTTCTTTATAGCAATGCAAGGACAGCCTAATACAGTTAACAGTAATTTATTTTATACTTCAAAATAGCTAGAAGAGATTTGAAGTGTTCCCAATACAAAGAAATGACAAATATTTGAGGTGATAGATACCCTGATTTGATCATTACACGTTGTATGTATGTATCAAATACCTAAATACCCTGATTTGATCATTACATGTTGTATGCATGTATCAAATACCTAAATACCCTGATATGATCATTACACATTGTATGCATGTATCAGAATATCACATGGACCCATCCCATAAATAAGTGCAATTATTGTGTATCAATAAAAATGTTTTGGTTGGGTGTGGTGGCTCACGCCTGTAATTTCAGCACTTTGGGAGGCCGAGGCTGGTGATTCACTTGAGCACAGGAATTTAGGACCAGCTTGAGTAACATGGTGTAACAGTCCCTACAAAAATTACAAAAATTAGCTGTGATAGCATGCACCCAGCTACTCAGGAGGCTGAGGTGGGAGGATCACTTGAGCCCAGGAGGTGGAGATTGCAGTGAGCAAAAATCTCACCACCGCACTCCAGCCTGGGTGACAGAGCAAGACCCTGTCTGAAAAAAGTTTTAATGGTAAATTACATTGAATATCAGTCAAAATGGTGACAGCAATTATTCTATAGTCCCTTACTACTAAAGTGGGATCCCTGGTGAGCAGAATGGGTGTACCCTGAAAGTGTTAGAAATGCAGAATCAGGGTCCACCCTCGACCTACTGAATTAGAATTTGCAGTTTAACAAGAACTGCACGTGATTCCTATGCACACTAAGATTTGAGATGCTCTAGCCGAGGTGACTCAGTACAATATGCCTAAAATACTCTAGATCAAGCAATTTGCTATTGTGAAATAGGGACAAATTGGCATCAGTACTCAAAAGCACAGAAAATAAAAGTCCAAATATAAGAACAGTGAGCAAAAATCAGAAAACTTTGAAATGTTGTAATGTGAGCATAATACGATAGATACAGGAGAAGAAAAGAGATTATTTTTTCGGTCAAGTGGAATGAGACTTACCTGATGGCCATTGTATCACACCCTAATGTCATATTTATGATTACATTCAGTAATATTAAGTTCCTTACAGCATATAAAAGTGCCATTTAATAAGTCTTCACCAGCAAAGATGGAATAATCAAGCATTCAAACTGATTAATCCTTAAGTACAAAGATGAAGCTGGTGTCACCAGTGATAGCCAACATGAAAGTTAGATGAACTGCTGTAAACCTACCTCATAAGACCACGACTTCCTCTCTGTAGGATTTTAATTCTTTATTGAAACACTTTGTAGTGGGTGAAAATGAAGTTTTCTCATTATCTTTTAATGAGCTCTTACAGTATATTTTATGCCAATCATTCTAAAGTATTTTAAGACTCACTGATTATTAATTATTGATTATGCTTGTTGCCTCAGCCTCATTTTTTGAGAATGGAAATACTAATGATTTTCAATGTTGCCCCAGGCTAGAGTTCATTTAAAAGCAAATACATTGGTTTTTTTGAAACATTATTTATAATAGACCATAGTCTATAGTGGTCATGCTTGTGGTGAAAGTGCTTATAGTACATACATACCCCAAAGTTGGAAGTAAAACGCTAGAGTCAGCATTTTACTTTGGGAAGGTTATACCAATTTATGTGAGCAAGCATATTTGCTTTTTAATGGTGAAACTGGACCAGCATAGAAAACTATTTTAGCTAAATGTATTGCTTGAATTGATCTGTTTCATCACAGAACTCTTCCAGGCAGCAGACTTGGAGAACTGCTTCTTTAAGGGAAATTAATGCAGACTGTAAAAAAAAAAAGGCAGATAGAAGGCATTAAAAACAGACACTTCATGAAAGAAGACATAGGAATGTCCAAGAAGTACACGTAACAGTGCTCATCATCGTTAGTTAACGCGGAAATGGAATTAAAACCCAGTTGAGATACCACTATGTGGCTAAAATTTTGAAAAGCTGACAATGCCA
Organism: Homo sapiens; assembly: GCF_000001405.40. Classification (NCBI taxonomy): domain Eukaryota; kingdom Metazoa; phylum Chordata; class Mammalia; order Primates; family Hominidae; genus Homo; species Homo sapiens. Next base: position 16,907,436 of record NC_000023.11, read on the forward strand.
AGTAATGGCAACAATGTGGAGCAACTGGAATTTTCTTGAACTGCTGGTAGGAACTTAAAATGGTACAACATGGATCACCTGAGGTCAGGAGTTTGAGACCAGCCTGGCCAACATGGCAAAACCCTGTCTCTACTAAAAATACAAAAATTAGCCAGGCGTGGTGGTGGGCACCTGTAATCCCAGCTACTTGGGAGGCTGAGGCAGGAGAATCACTTGAACCCAGGAGATGGAGGTTGCAGTGAGCTGAGTTCTATAGTGCCACTGCACTCCAGCCTGGGCGACAGAGCAAGACTCTGTCGCAAAAAAAAAAAAGTACAACAATTTTTGTCAGTTTCTTATAAAGTTATACATACATCTACCCTAGGACCCATGAATTCCTTGCCTAGGTATTTTCTCATGAGTCATGAAACCATTTGTCAAAAACAAACAAACAAACAAAACAAACAAACAAAAAACCCCGCACAAAAATGTTCATTAGCAACTTTCTTCCTAAGAGCCCCAAACTGAAAACAACTCAAATATCCATCAGCGGGAGAATTAATAATCAAAGAGCAGTATATTGATACAATGGAATACTACTGAGTAATAAAAAGGAAATAAATAGGACACATGCAACAACATGAATGAGTCTCAGAAACATCATGTTGAATGAAAAAAGCCATTCTGTCAGAGTCCATGTAAGTGAAATTCTAGAACAAGCAAAACTAACCTATAGTGATAAAATCCAGAAAGTAATTGGAGGGACTTGCAGGGGTGGGGAGGGTAGGTACATGGGGATTGAACGGAAAGAGGTAAAAGGGACCTCTAAGATGGAAGAAATAGTCTATGTCAGCCTGGCCCAGTGGTTCAAGCCTATAATCTCAGCACTTTGGGAGGCCAAGGCAGGTGGAACGCTTGAGCCCAGGAGTTTGAGACCAGTCTGAGCAACATGGTGAAACTCGTCTCTACAAAAAATACAAAAAATTAGCCAGGCATGGTGGTATGCACGTAGTCCCAGCTACTCTGGAGGCTGAGGTGGGAGGATCACTTGAGCCCAGGAGGCAGAGGTTGCAGTGAGCTATGATGGTGCTGCTGCACTCCAGCTTGGGTGACAGAGCAAGACCCTGTCTCAGAAAACAAAAAATGAAATATTCTATGTCTTGATTTTGGTATTGGTTACACAAGTACATAATTGTCAAGACCCATAGAACTGTATACTTAAGATCTATGTAGGCCAGGTGCGGTGGCTCACGCCTGTAATGCTCGCACTTTAGGAGGCCGAGGTGGGCAGATCACTTGAGGTCAAGAGTTTGAGACCAGCCTGGGCAACATGGGGAAACCCCGTCTCTACAAAAAATACAAAAATTATCTGGGCATGGTGGCATGCACCTGTGGTCCCAGCTACTCGGGAGGCTGAGGTGGGAGGATCAATTGAGTCTGGGAGGTCAAGGCTGCATGAGCCGTGTTCATACCACTGCACTCAAGCCTGGGTGACAGAGCGAAACCCTGTTTCCAAACAAACAAACAAACAAACAAACAAAACAAAACAAAACAAAAACTATATGTTTTATATCAATTATACTTCAATTTAAAAAGTAAGACCCCCCTTTCGTCCCCATGCTGCCAAAGAGGATGTCTGCCCAGACAACCTAACTAGTGCAAAAAATTCTGTTTCAGCCAAGTCCCTCTAGGTAAGACATAAGTTCTGTTGGACTTGAACTCCAGGTAGGAATTAACCAACATGCACTATGGCTCTATCCTATCTGAACCTGAGGATCCTGTGGTTTAACTAACTTACTCTGGTGTTTTAGTAAAAGCTGCCTTTCCTACCTCAATTTTTATTTTCCTTTTCTGTCTTAGCTTTTCTGGTCTTTTGATTACAAACATTTGTTGACAAGGCATGATATATATGAAAAAAATGTGTTGTCTTTTTTGAGACTTATTCCATCTCTTTTTTAAAAAGAAAGCACAATGGTGTGTTTGACTTTTCTTTTCTTTCTTTCTTTCTTTCTTTTTTTTTTTTTTGAGATGGAGTTTCACTCTTGTTGCTCAGGCTGGAGTGCAATGGCGCGATCTTGGCTCACCGCAACCTCCGCCTCCCGGGTTCAAGCGATTCTTCTGCCTCAGCCTCCCGAGTAGCTGTGATTACGGGCATGCGCCACCACACCCAGCTAATTTTGTATTTTTAGTAGAGACAGAGTTTCTCCACGTTGGTCAGGCTGGTCTTGAACTCCCGACCTCAGGTGATCCACCCGCCTTGGCCTCCCAAAGTGCTGGGATTACAGGCGTGAGCCACCGCGCCCAGCCCTTTTCTTTCCTTTTTTTTTTTAGAGACCGTGCCTCACTCTTTGCCCTGGCTGGAGTGCATTGGTGCCATCATAGCTCACTGCAGCCTCGACCTCCCAGAGCTCAAGTGATCCTCCCACCTCAGCCTCCTGAGTAGCTGGGACCACAGGTATGCGCCACCAAGCCCAGCTAACTTTTTTTGTTTGTTTGTTTTAGTAAAGACGAGGTCTCCCTGTGTTGCCCTGCCTGGTCTCAAACTGCTAGGCTCAAGCGATCCTCCCTCCTTGGCCTCTCAAAGTGCTGGGATTACAGGCATGAGCCATTGTGCTTGGCCGTGTTTTACTTTTCCAACTGCCAAATTTGATCCAGTGCAGTTACTTAATTAGATTAGATTACTGTTTATATTAAACTCAAATAATGATTAAATTGAAAAATTTCGTGAAAAGAGCTCACAAATGAAATCAGCCGAAATCAGCTAGTGCTTGTCTTAACCTATCCTTGGCTGTGTATGCTGCCTTATCCTCAGAGGGCATACAAGGCTGAGCTGACAGATGAATGACCCCTGTTAATGGAGTACAGATAGTTCACAGAAGCCATATGTGATCAGCAGCACTTGCAAATGTCTCGCTTTCAATGCTGCCGCATGGCAAGAACACAGGTGGTGTCCTCAAGAGGTCTCCCTCTATGCTGTTTGACCTCCACAGCACACTCTTCACCTGCAGCTTCAGAATCCAAGGTCTATCCAGAAGACAGGATATTTTTTTAAAAAACTTTAAAAATAGAGATATAACATACATACAGTTGTGACAGCTAGTCAGCAAAGATGGCTCCAATCTTCATGCTGTGGCAATCCCCTCCCACATTGAGTCAGGCTGGCCCATGACTTGAGTTAAACAAGAGAATGTGGCAGAAGTGACCGTGGGCCAGTTCTGGGCCAGGCTTTTAGAAGCATTGGTAGGTTCTGGTTCCTTTCTCTTGGAACACTTGTTTTTGGGAGCCCTGTCAGTTTGGATCATCCAAGAAGCAAACACCAAGACTGAATTATATGTGCAGGAGATTTATTAGGGGAAATGCTACTGAAGGATAAAGGGCCCCCGGCCAAATGCACCAATCTTATGTGCAAAATTAATTGAAGTTTTTGCCATTACTTTCAACGGCAAGAGCCACAATTACTTTTGCATCAACCTAATACATACAGCTCAATGAATGTTTACATATACAAATCCATATATAAAGATCACTCGGGGCCAAGGGTGGTGGCTCACACCTGTAATCCCAGCACTTTGGGAGGCCAAGGCAGGTGGATCACCTGAGGTCAGGTGTTCGAGACCAGCCTGGCCAACGTAGTGAAACCCCGTCGCTATTAAAAATACAAAAATTAGCCAGGTGGATGGTGCATGCCTGTAGTCCCAGCTACTCAGGAGGCTGAGGCAGGAGAATCGCTTGAATCCGGGAGATGGAGGTTGCAGTGAGCCGAGATCGTGCCACTGCACTCCAGTCGGGGGGACAGAGTGAGACTCATCTCAAAAAAAAAAAAAAATCAATCTGATCAACATATAGAACATTTACAACAACCTAGAATGTTCCCTTATGGCTCCCTCCCCAGTCAATGCCACTCCCCGACATAGAGGTAGTCACTCTCCTGAGTTCTATTGCCATATATTAGTTTTACACATTCTTGACCTTCACTTAAATGGAATGATACAGTACATACTTTTTAGTGTCTGTCTTCTTTCACTTATTGTTGTGTCCATGACTCATCCACATGGTTGGGTGCAACAGGAATTTGTTCCTTTTTTTTTTTTTTGAGACAGAGTCTCACTCTGTCACCGGGCTAGAGTGCAGTGGTGAAATCTCGGCTCACTGCAACCTCTGCCTCTTGGGTTCAAGTGATTTTCCTGCTGCAGCCTCCTGAGTAGCTGGGGCTACAGGCGTGCGCCACCATGCCCAGCTAATTTTTGTATTTTTAGTAGAGACGGAATTTCACTATGTTGGTCAGGATGGTCTCGATCTCTTGACCTCGTGATCTGCCCGCCTCTGCCTCCAAAAGTGCTGGGATTACAGGTGTGAGCCACCGCGCCCGGCCAAATTTGTTCTTTTTTATTGCTGTATAGTTTTCTATTTGTATGAATATGCCATACTGCGTTTACCTATTGCCCTGTTGTAGATGTTTCTGGGTTTTGGCTCTTATAAATACAGCTGCTTTAAACATTCTTATATAAGTCTCTGGACAGACATGTGCACCATTTTCCTCGGGTCTATATCTAGCAGTTGGATTTTTGGGTCGTGGGATGGCACATGTTTAGCTTCAGTAGATAATGCTAAACTGATTGAGTATTTTGTAAACAGATTTCTATTTAGTTTAATAAATGATAATGACAACTCAGGGGCATTTAAGTAAGAGCCCCCCTGCTTACTTGTCTTTCTCACCCACTTGACTTAAAGCTCCATGGTGGCATGAATCGTATCTATCATCTTTTAAGAAGTTTTTATTTTTATTTATTTTTAATTTTTTTTCAGCTAGTCAAAATGAAGCAGTGGGAGTGGAGAAAGAACAAAGACATCCATAACTGATTGTGATCACGTCGTTGTAAACACCACTGCACTCGGACCAGCCTATCTTCTTCATGTAGTGCAGTGTATGTGGTGCCTATTTGTTGAAAAAAAAAAAAAGAGTATAGGCCGGGTATGGTGGCTCATGACTATAATCCCAGCACTTTGGGAGGCCAAGGTGGGAGGATCGCTTGAGCCTCGGAGTTTGAGACCAGCCTGGGCAGCAAGTGAGATCTTGTCTCTACAAAAATATTTTAAAATAAGCAAGATGTGGTGGTGTGTGCTTATAGTCTCTGTAAGCACTGTAAGCTACTAGGGAAGCTGAGGTGGGGGGCTTGCTTAAGCCTGGGAGGTCGAGGCTACAGTGAGCCGTGATTGTGCCACTGCCCTCCGCCTAAGCAACAGAGTGAGACCATGTCTCAAAAAAAAAAAAAAAAAAAGTATAAATAAGGTGTCATTGTTTAACACTGAGAAATATATACTTCCGACTGGATTTTAGGTACTATGGTGAGCAAATGGAGGAAAAAAGACTAATTTTTTTCCTGGACCTTCCAAAGGTATTATTTATAATCATTTTTTCCCAGAAGTGACAGTATTTATAACCATTTGACTAAACGTGTATGAATAGGGATTTTCTAAACTTTCTACTAGATTTCAGTATTGTGGAGACACGTCCAGAGTAAAATAATTAAGTCCTTAGAGTAGGGCTGTTTAATAATTAAGTCTTTAGAGTAGGGCTGTTTAATCTGAAGTTTGTGGATGGGTTTTGTGAGGGCCTGAAATTGCATGCAAGATTTTATGTGCAAATAGATATGTCACTCAGGATCCTTGGTTGCAAGTGGCAGAAGCTCAGCTAGGATTCACGTATGTAACAAAGGGGTTTCATGGCAGGGTCTTGGTTTGGCTCATGTAGTTCAAGGAAGACAGGCACAGCCATGCCTAGGCCAAAATCTCGGGGTTAAGCCCAGAACTTGGACTAAAAACAAAAACCAAAAAACAAAAAACAAAGTCAAAGACAAAAACAAAACAAAATAAAATCTGGGGGTGCCTCATGCCCTGCTGGTTTGGGGACATTTGGTTGGCAGAACCCAAAGCACATCTGAAACCCAAGTTTCAAGAGAACCTAGAAAATGTAGTTTTTAGCTTTCCAATTTCTGCAGGACAGGAAACACCCTAAAATAATGTTGTAATAGATCATGGGATTCTTTCTTTCTCTCTTTCTCTCTCCTTCCTTCCTTCTTTCCTTCCTTCCTTCCTTCCTCCCTCCCTCCCTCCCTCCCTCCCTCCCTCCCTCCCTCTTTCTTTCTTTCCTTTTTGATGGAGTTTCGCTCTTGTTGCCCAGGCTGGAATGAAATGGCACGATCTTGGCTCACTGCAACTTCTGCCTCCTGGGTTCAAGCGATTCTCCTGCTTCAGCCTCTCAAGGAGCTGGGATTACAGGCACGCACCACCATGCCCTGCTAATTTTTTGTATTTTTAGTAAAGACAGGGTTTCACCAAGTTGGCCAGGCTGGTCTCGAACTCCTGACCTCAGATGATTTGCCTGCTTTGGCCTCCCAAACTGCTGAGGTTACAGGTGTGAGCCACCACACCCGGCCATGGGATTCTTTCTTTAAGACCCCAAAAAGGTCTTCAACAATCCTTCTCAACTTAACACTGTGCCATCTATGGTGCAAAGTTGGATCTATTGGTGAAATCTATTTGTCATCCCTGTGCTATTTCATGTTGCTCACAGATCTCTTACTTTTGTTAAGAAAAATATATGCAAAACTTAGAAATAGACAAAATGCCGGCCACTTGTCCTTTCAATGTCATATTAGAGCACCGTTTATAGCATACTTTTCTATAGTGGATAACATAATGATCTGTTCTAGAAAGGCAGGCCGTAAACTTACAACAAAAACTGCTTCAGCCCAAATTGTTTTAGTACCAACCCATCCAAGCCATGTGTTCCAAGATTCAGCAACTTGTGTGGTTTACAAAATCTGACATATGTTCCTTCTCTACCCAGCCCAGCCTTAGAACCGTCTGAGCCCAGCCATCTAACTTCCTTCTTTTGAGTCACTACTGAGATGTTGTAAACTCAGGGCTCTCCCTTACTCAGCAAGTTTAATAAATTTAGCTTTGTGTCATCAAAGGGTGGCTCTGGTGGTCTTTGTGAGGTGCTTTGCAAAAGTCAATGGGTGCATTGCTGTATAGAAAATGAAGAGTGAGGTCGGGCATTGGTGGCTTATGCCTGTAATCCCAATACTTTGGGCGGACAAGGCAGGAGGACTGCTGGAGTTGAGGAGTTGGAGACCAGCCTAGGCAATATAGTGAGACATCGTCGCTACAAAAAGTTAAAAAATTAGCTGAGCATGGTGGTGTGTACCTGTAGTCCTAGCTACTTGGGAGGCTGAGGTGGAAGGATTGCTTGAGCCCAGGAGACAGAGGCCGCAGTGAGCTGAGATTGCATCATTGCACCCCAGCCTGGGCAACAGAGCAAGGTCCTGTCTAAGAAAGAAAGAAAGAAAGAAAAGTGAAGAGTGGGCAAAAAAGACAAAACAGGAACAACCATAAATACAACTTGAAGCAAGGTTTCATTAGGTATAAACTTCTTGGAATTAGCAATCAACCAATAAAATTAGCCATTGTCCTTGATTTGAGGAGAGCAGGCCTCTGCATTTGCAGACAGTGACAAACCATGATTGAATGGTGAAAAACTACTGTAGAAGAACATTAGGGAAGTGTTGAATACCAAGTGGCTACAATCTCTTTTCAAACAAATGACCCCCTACCTGCCAAAACCTATGGGATGATTTTTGGTCCTTACCTCTCTACAATATTTGATGATGTTGATCACTTCTTTCTCAAAATTCTTCTGTAGACTTTCATGACACTGTGCTTTCCAGATTATCTTTCATCCTCTCTGATAATTCCTTCTCAATTCTAAATGGGCAGAGAGAGATCAAGCAGGATAAAAAATAAGAAATGACGATTGAGTTAGTGGTTATGATGCCATCCATGCTGTTAGCAAAAGTCATGGAGCAGAGCAGACAGTAGACAGATTGTAAGGGATAGAAGGAAGGGTAGCAACAGCGCCTGTGAGCCTCTGTTTCTAAAATTTGGAGATTGTTGTTGCTTTTGTTTACTTTGGGTTTTTCTTTCTTTGATTTTTGCTCTTCCCTGTCTGCTTTATTAGTGCCAGTTTTCAAGCAGTTAGTGTGCATCTGCCATGCATAGGAGCTGTTCCTGGAGCTACTGGGATGCAGAGATGGCAAGGCCCCTCCCTGTCCTCCAGAAACAGATATCTGAGGATAAAGAAAAAGAGAAGCCAAGCACAATGGGCATCACTGAAGATGATGAATGCCCTATGAGCCCTGCTATATACTGAATATATGTATCCCTCCCAAATTCCTATCTTGAAATCCTAACTCTCAAGGTGATGGTATTAGGCGGTGGGGCCTTTGGGAGGTGATGAGATCATGACGGTGGAGCCCTCATGAACAGGATTAGTGTCTTTATAAAAGGGACCCCAGAGAGCTCACTTGCCCCTCCCATTATGTGAGGACACAGCGAGAAGGCATCATCTATGAATCAGGAAGGAGGCCCTCACCAGACACAAAATCTGCCTGTGTCTTGATCTCAGACTTCCAGCCTCCAGAACTGTAAGAAATAAAAGTTGTATGTAAGCCACCCAGTCTACACTATTTTATAATAGTCACTGGAATGGACTAAGACAAGCCCCCAGGTTACCTGGAGAGATTTGTTTTTAAAAGTTGAAAAGATTTGACCATATTTAGGTAGGAAGATAAAATCTAGAGGATTGTTAATGTGAGTTCATGTTGGTACTTTCTAAAAGTGAACTTTGCCACATTAAGCCAGAGGCATTCATTGTCTTGAAGATTTTTTTAAAGACTATTACAGCAGGAATGCAAAAACTAAGTAAATAACTTTTAATCACCAAAATAGGCTCTGGAACCCATTTCAGGGGCTGTGGTTGACAGTGAAAACAATTTCCACACAGCTTACTACTTGTATCAACATGCCTTTGCTATCCTAATTCGTGATTAGAAAGAGCCTAAATCAATCCCTTATTGTGGTGGGAATTGTACGATTTGAAATTCAGGAGCTCTGTCTCTCAGTAGCCAAGTTCCCTGCGACAAAGAGGGCTTATTAGTTGTGATTGTGTTCAGCTGCAAGCTAAAAAAAAAAAAAAAAAGCTAAGTAAGAACGGCTTTTCTTTTTATTATTATTATTATTATTATACTTTAAGTTTTAGGGTACATGTGCACAATGTGCAGGTTAGTTACATATGTATACATGTGCCATGCTGGTGCGCTGCACCCACTAACTCGTCATCTAGCATTAGGTATATCTCCCAATGCTATCCCTCCCCCTCCCCCCCCAACAGCAGTCCCCAGAGTGTGATGTTCCCCTTCCTGTGTCCATGTAAGAACGGCTTTTCAAAGAGATGTTTATTTCTCTTATCAAGAAAAAATAATGTGAAACATATAACAAGGCAAGAGGGTGACTGAAAGTCTTCCAAATGTCATATGACAGCACTATCCAACAGGCCTGCCCAAGGTTTATTTCATTCTTTAGGAGAATGTATCTTTGTTTGACCCTTTTTTTTTTGTTTTTTTTTTTTTGAGACAGAGTCTCGCTCTCTGGCCCAGGCTGGAGTCCAGTGGTGCGATCTGGGCTCACTGCAAGCTCTGCCTCCTGGGTTCACGCCATTCTCCTGCCTCAGCCTCCCGAGTAGCTGCGACTACAGGAGCCCACCACCACGCCTGGCTAATTTTTTGTATTTTTTTAGTAGAGACGGGATTTCACCGTGTTAGCCAGGATGGTCTCGATCTCCCGACCTCGTGATCCGCCCGCCTCGGCCTCCCAAAGTGCTAGGATTACAGGCGTGAGCCACCGCGCCTGGGCCTGTTTGACACTTTTAATTAGGGTTCATACTCTGTAAACTTACAAGTAAACGTGTAGATTTTTGACCAAGAGTAGTAGAAAGGATAACCCCAAAGTTATGGCTTTATTGCCCTGTAGGGTATTAAGGGTTTTGATGCTAACGTGCTTATATCAGCACTTTTTCTTGTTTGAATATATAAATTTCTGTTTCTCAAATGATCTTTGAAACAGCTTTCCTATGCTGCAGGTTTCTTCATGAATAAGTCAAGTAAATTTTTTACACACATTCATCTATATTTAGGACTATGTGGGGGTGGGACGAAGATCTGAGGTCTAGCTGTTCCTTTAAAGAATGTTCACCAGTTCTGTTTTTGGCTCTACCTTGCAACCCACCTTCAGCAGGCTCTCTCCTTCTAATTCCTAAGCTTTTCTGGGGTTCTGTGACACGAATCACCTTGCTTCTTCTTGGCTTCCCACCTTGTAGGCACTTAGCTTTTTCTGCTTTATTGTGTTATTTGCCACTTGGCCATCTACTTTTCAGCTTTCAAAATTTTGTTGTCATATCTCATCTGCTGTCATTTTGATGGGTGTTTTGATTCCTTGTGAGCTTATGCCTTAAAAAATTTCCTTTCAGTCTTTCTAGTGGGGTTTGAAGAGGGGCCTAAGATGTATACATATATGAGATCAATCTGCCTTGCTTAACTAGAACCGAATGTGATTTCAAAATGTAGCCCCAAAATACAGCAGTGGTTTCTTTCTCCACAAATGAAGAAATTCATAAAAGGTTGACAGAGAGCCAAATTCCTTGTGATTGAGCTGTTTGGACCTTGGTGTGATTTCCTTAAAAATATTTTTAAAAATATTTATGCCCAATATTTTATGCTGAACATTATAAATCACAGTATTTTGGATCTCAAGTGATAAATTCAGACTATTCAATGTATTAAACACAATACCACTATTGGGTATTTTTCCAAAGGAAAAGAAATCAGGCTGGGTGCAGTAACTCACACCTGTAATCCCAGCATTTTAGGAGGCCGAGGCAGGAGGATCGCTTGAGGCCAGAATTTCAAGACCAACCTGGGCAACATAGTGAAGCCCTGTCTCTACAAAAATATTTAAAAATTGGCCGAGTGTGGTGGCACGTGCCTGTAGTCCCAGCTATTCAGGAGGCTGATATGGGAAGATTGCTTGAGGCCAGGAGTTGGAGACTGCAACTGCTATGATCTTGCCTCTGCACTCCAGCCTGGGCAACAGAGTGAAACCCTTTCTCTAAAAAATAAATAAATAAGAAAATAAATAAAATAAGAAATCAATATATTAAAGGGATAGCTGCACCCCCATGTTTATTGATGCACTATTCACAATAGCCAAGATATGAAATCAACCTAACTGTCCATCAACAGACATATGGATGAAAAAAATGTGATATATAGAAAAATGGGATACTATTCAGTTATGAAAAAGAATGAAATCCTGTCATTTGCAGCAACATGCATGGAACTGGAGGTCCTTATGTTGAGTGAAATAGGCATAGAAAGACAAATACCGCAGGTTGTCACTCATGTGGGAGCTGAAAAAGTTGATCTCATGGAGATAGAGAGTGGAATGATAGAAACCAGAGGGTAGGAAGGGTGTATGGGGCAGGAGGTGATGAAGAAAGATTAGTTAATAGGTACAACCATACAGTTAGATAGAAGGAATAATTTCTAATGCTGGATAACAGAGTAGGGTGACTGTGGTTAACAACAATGTATTGGATAGTTCAAGATAACCTGAAGAGAAGACTTGAAATGTACCCAACACACAGAAATAATAAATACTCAGGTGATGGATACCCTAAATGTCCTGACTTGATCATTATACATTCTATGGATGTAACAAAATATCACATGTGCCTCAGAAATATGTGCATATATAGTGTATCAAATACATAAATAAATGCACCACTGAATTGCACTTTGGAAAGTAGCAAGCACTGGGACATGCAGAAATGGTCCTTGCTGGCATTATCACTGTCACACTTGTATGCAGTGTCAGCATCTTTTGCTTGATAGTTAATGCACTCTGGTGTGGAAAAGCCATCTTATGCATGCTCCTATGACTTTTCACAGTATGTTGAAGAAACATGCTCTGAGTAGTGGCAATTTAGTCAGATTACTTCCATACTGATTCAAGAAGCATATTGGTAACATCCAGCTGTCCTAAGTGAATAAAGGAGTGTGAAAAAAATTGTCATTTTACTAAGACACTAGAGTTGACATCTATTATTGGCCCATCTCCATCATCCATTCAAACTTTTCTTGGTATAATTATTTGATTTTTCTTTGGGATACCAGCCCTCCTTGCATGTCAGACTCTGTGCTTTGGGGAGAGTTGAATTAATCCCCTTCTCCTGGGGTGGATGGTGACTTAGGTGTGACCAGTCAAAGCATTGCCTTCCCTTGGCCATAGAAACTGGTTCATGGATGGGCATGTGACCCAGTTGGACTTAGCCAATAAATTCTCATAAATTTTAGTTGGGGCTATTGGAAGAGTGGCATGTTGGACTTCAACATGAGAGCATATGTGACTGGAATAGCGGTAAGACACTCTGCAGAGCCTGAAATTGAAGCTAACATGGCAGAAGGCAGAGAGGAAAGATGGAGACAAAACCAGTGTGATGATATTGCTTGAGTATCTGAATTCAATTGTGTGAGCGAATAAACACTCGATGGCTTAAGGCAGTTGCAATTATTTTTCTATCACTTGCCATCAATCTGACTCACCTAGCAAAGCTTGGCATTGCTGCTTGCATAGCGGGTGCTACCTCAGTACTGGCGCCCATAATAATTTTTACCTAAATAAAAAATCACTTTTGTAACCTGGGTATTCAGAGATCAACAGAAGAAAACACTGAGCACATCTTACTCACGTATGCTCATTACATATGCCAAAAGCAAACATATTTTAGCTGTAATGTAAAATATCTGCTCACATAAGCACCATAATAAGTACTTGTTTTTGCAGAATGCCATTGATATTAGATGATGTACAACACCATCATTTGATAAGAGAATTTTGCCAACAGACCATTCAATTTTCCTTCTTGCACAACATTTTTATTAACTTTGTGAGTGGTTTTACAAAGTTCTTGGCAGCAGTACAACTTGAACCTTTAGCATCCTGGAAAGCACAATTTTTAGCTTATTCTGGAAAATCTCAGTGGGTTCACCAGAGAGGTCATTGTGCATTGTTTTTGAAAAGCATAAAAAGGCTGTGGTGGCTTCCTGCCACTATTTGACAGTTTCATAATAGGTGAAGCACAGGCATCTATAGATAGCATCTAATTCTCATATAATTATTGTATTTCTCATTCTTATTCGTTTTTTTCTGCCACCACTATTACATATTCTTTTGCCCCACTAATACAGAGTCATACTCTATATTCACACTGACTTCTTATGTATTATTTATATTTATGAATTATCCTGCACTGCAGTATTTAGATAACTTTTTCTTAACCCCTTTTATACTATAATGAACTGTTGATCCATTTTTAAAAACTGGGAATATAATGGGGCACTATGGTTACAACAAAAAATTCAAATTGGACAAATGTAAGTAATAATATGTAAATGACAAAAATATATTAGCTGACATCAAACGTACTCTAGAAACTGAATATTAGCAAAAGGAACTGACTAATAGAGTCTTTATAGTGAATGCATAAACTTTAGGATTGTGATGATAATTGAAAACATAATGAAGTTTCTGTGAAAATCATAATTTAGGCCAGATGTGGTGCCTTATGCCTGTAATCCCAGCACTCTAAGAGGCTATGGTAGGCGGATCACTTGACATCAGGAGTTCAAGACCAGCCTGGCCAACATAGTGAAACCCTGTCTCTAGTAAAAATACAAAAACTAGTCAGGCATGGTGGCATGTGCCCGTGGACCCAGCTATTCAGGAGGCGGAGGCAGGAGAGTCATTTGAACCCAGGAGGCGGAGGTTGCAGTGAACTGAGATCATGCAACTGCACTCCAGCCTGGACGACAGAGCAAGACTCTGTCTCAAAAAGACAAAAAAAAAAAAACAAAAAATAAAACAACAAACAAACAAAAAAACACAGTAAGGCATCCCATGCTCATGGATTGGAAGAATTAATATTGTTAAAATGCCCATACTACTTTAAGCAATCTATAGATTCAATGTAATCTCTATCAAAATACCAATGACATTCTTTACAGAAATAGAAACAAAAATTCTAAAATTTGTATAGAACCACAAAAGACCCCAAATAGCCAAAGCAATTCTGAGCAAAAGGAACAAAATTGGAGTCATCACACTACCTGACTTCAAAGTATTCTACAAAGTTATAGTAATCAAAATAGCATGGTAGGGGCATAAAAACAGACACATAGACCAAAGGAACCAAATAAAAAAGTCCAGAAATAAATCCACACATTTACAGCCAACTGATTCTTGACAAGCCATCAAGAACATACAGTGGGGAAAGGACAGTCTCTTCAATAAATGGTGCTGGGAAAATTGAATATCCATATGCAGAAGAAAAAAACTAGACCCCCCTCTCTCACCATATACAAAAATCAACTCAAAATGGATTAATCATCAGGAAAATGCAAATCAAAACCACAAAGAGATATTGTCTTACCCAAGTTAAAATGGCTATTATCAAAAAGACAAAAAATAACAAATGCTGGCAAGAATGTGGAAAAAAGAAAACACTCATACTGTTGGTGGGAATGTAAATTAGTATACCCATTATGGAAAACAGTGTGGTGGTTCCTCAAAAAACTAAAAATAGAAATATCCTACAATCCAGCAATCCCACTGCCAGGTATATATTTAAAAGAAAGGAGATCAGTATGTCACAGAGATATCTGCACTCCCATATTTATTGCAGCAGTATTCACAATAGCCAAGATACAAAATCAACGTTAGTGTCCATCAATGGATAGATGGATAAACAAAATATGGTACATATACTACAATGCTATTCAGCCTTACAAAAGAATGAAATCCTGTCATTGCAGCAACATGGATGAGCCTGGAGGTCATTATGTTAAGTGAAATAATCCAGGCACAGAAAGATAAACATCGCATGTTCTCATTCATATGTGGGAGCTAAAAAAAAGATGGTTGCATGGAGGTAGAGAGTAGAATGGTGGTTACCAGAGGCTGGGAAGGGAAGAGGGGAGTGGGGGATGAAGAGACGTCGGTTAATGGGTACAAAACATACAGTTACATAGAAGGAATAAGTTCTAGTGTTTGATGGCACAGTAGGGTGACTATAGTTAACAATAATATGTTGTATATTTCAAAATAGCCAGAAGAGAAGAATTGCAATATTCCTAACAAAGAAATGATAACTGTTTGAGGTGATGGATATCCTAAATACTCTGATTTGATCATTACACATTGTATACAGGTGTCAAAATATTATGTATCCCATAAATGTGTACAACTATTATGTATCAATTTTAAAAAGTGATTGGGGACAGGAAAGCCTTGACAATAGGAGGAAGAACCATTGGCATCAACATTATGATTTGCCAGAATATCAGCAGCCCACAAGTTGGGTGGGAAGTATGTTTTTGAAAAGATTTTATTAAGTAAGAATTGGTATGTTTCGAGACATTTATTTTTTAATTAAACATTTTTAAATTGTGGTAAAATATACGTAACATAAAATTTACTATCTTAACTATTTTTAAGTGTAGTTCAGTAGTGTTAAGTATATTCACATTGTTGTGCAACCAATCTCCAGAACTTTTTCATTTTGCAAAATTAAAGCTGTACCCATTAAACAGTAACTCCCCATTTCCTCCCAGCCCCTGGCAACCATCATTCTACTCTCTGTGTCTATGAATTTGACTACTCTAGGTACTTCATAAGTGGAATCATACAGTATTTGTCTTTTTGTGATGGGCTTCTTTCACTTAGCAGAATGTTCTCAAGGCTCATCCATGTTGCAGCATGTGTTGGAATTTTCTTTTTTTTCTAGGCTGAATATTCTTCCACTGTATGTGTATATCACATTTGTTTATCCACCTCTGTTGATGGTATTTGTGCAACACATTTATTATTTTTTTAAATTTAGTTATTATTTACATGTATATATACCCTACTTAATTCTTACATAAGCTGATACAAGACACAAGTTTCATTCAGTTAAAAAATATAAATAAATAAATAAATAAATAAATAAATAAATAAATAAATAAATAAAACCTACCTACCTAGAGTTAGCCGTACTAAGTTTCGGATGTGTGGCTTCGAAACTTGTTAAAAAGAAAGCTTTACATTAACTTCACTATTTAAGATCTAAACCTAACTATTTTCTGGGCTCAGGAAGCTTTTCTCCAATGAATTATATATATATAATTATACATATATACACACATATATATAATATATAAATATATTATACATATTATTTAATATATATTATATAGTTATATATAACTATATAATATCTATTTATATATGGACACACACTCATTTATGTATCTGTAATATAGAATGTTTATATGTCTCCTGTTCTTTAAGTAAACCAGATAAATGACCCAACAAAGAAATAGAGGTGATTAGTCATTTACTAAAATGATTCATAATAAGATTTATTTTAAATCTTGTCCTGAATTTGTTTAAATTTCACTTATTTTTATAAAAATCAGGTTTATACAGAAAGTTTCATAGATGTATCTGAAACATATCCCATCATAGGGGTTATCAAGTGAAACACAACCCCCAACACAGGGTGGGAAAGAGAAATGGCTGTCAGGAAGCCTGGGAAAAGGTTGGAGAACTGCCCTCCCCAACTGGATATTCAGATGAAGATGCCTCATGTGGTTCTACTCTCTGGAGACAAGGAATTCTTTTGGGGGCCCTGATCCAGGCTAAGAGAGAGGCAGGGAAAGACAAGATTTAGAAAGGGCACCATTTGAAAAGGTTTACTCCTACTGCTCTCACTGCAGAGTCTTTATGTTTGCTTTTAATTGACGTAGTCCAATATGATCACGGCATTTTCACAATGCAATGAAGTGGTGAAAGGATGGCAACACCTCGTGTGAAGTGTTACCTCTTTGGATCAGTGTAGACTGATGTCTGGAGAGTTAAATTCCAAGCATGACTTAGGCAAAAGAGAGGAACTAGATTGTTCTCTTACCCGCTACACAGTGCTCTTCATTTGCTTCTACAAGGAAATAAATAGGGATGTGGTAGTGGCATGCTACGTATTTAAAAACACTTTTTTTTATTGAGACGTAATTCACATCCCATAAAATTCACCATTGTAAAGTGTAAAATTCAGTAGTTTTTAGTATATTTACAAAATTGTGCAGCCATCACTAATAATTCTAGAACACTTTCATCACCTCAAAAAGAAGCCCCCATTTTTCCTCAACCTACCCCCACCCAGCCCCAGGCAATCACTCTGTCTCTCCAGATTGGCCAGTTCTGGACATTTCATAAACAAGTCTATTTATATTAATATAGATTCATGCAATATGTGTCCTTTGTGTCTGGCTTCTTTTGCTTGGTATGTTTTCAACATTTATCTGTGTTGTAGCATGTGTCAGAACTTCACTGAATAACATTCCATTATGTGCCTATATCACATTTTGTTTATCCATTCATCAGTTGTTGAACATTTGGGTTTTTCTACTTTATGGTTATTATGAGTCATGCTGCTATGAACATCTGTGGACAAGTTTTATGCGGATGCATGTTTTCATTTCTCTTGGGTATATACCTAGGAGTGGAACTGCTGGGTGATACAGTAACTCTATGTTTAAATTTTTGAGGAACTGCCAGACTGTTTTTCAAAGTGGTTTCACCATTTTATATTCCCACCAGGAGTGTATGAGAGCTCCAGTTTCCCTGCATCATCACCAACACTTGTTATTGTCCCTCTTTTTGATTATAACTGTCCCAGTGAATCATGTTATATATTTGATGAACTCTCATATACTTGGCTAAATATGCAGTTTAAGCCAATTCTTTAAAACAATCCCTGGAGACATAACATGCTTGTAAAAAGTTTCTAATAGTGATTTTCTAAAGGATCAGAAGTCTGTTGAGGCATTGCTATGTGGGATCTGGCTCCAGAAACCATAGTTTTTTTTTTTTTTAATCTCTGTTGGCTTAAATGAAACAGCTGGTTTCAGTCAAAATTGAGGATGAGTTTTATGAACTACAAAATGTTTCCAAGTTTTCTGTTGCACAGGCCTTGGATTAAAGCCTCATTGTGCATTAAAGCCCTTTTCTGTCAATGCAAGTACAGTACTCTAGTTCTAAAATGGAAATAATTACAGAGGTGATCAACTTTTTAGTGTTTTAATCCAGTGTTATTATTTTCATAGTTACCTGATTGACATGTATAATAATACGGAAACTGTTTACAAACACATATTCTTCCAAGAGGTTCTGAAGCTTAAAAAAAATCCAGTTTATTTGCAGTGCTCCTGTTCTTAACTCCCATTTTAGTTAAAGGGTGGAGTCTCACAAAGATAATACATCACATGTGAAATAAACATTCTCTTCAAAATGAACATACACTTCTATTTCTTCCTGTGTGAAAGGAAAGCAGTCATTGTCATCCAGATGTGCTGAACTTTCTCATGAAGTCTCATTCTAAAACAGCAAAAAATTGGACTAGTTGCCAGGTATTTCACTATTTTTAAAGAGAAAGGCATGCCTTAATATTGTTATTTTGTTTCAAATTTCTGTTTAATGTTAACATTCAAAAGCACTTAGATACCAGAGTTGCACTGAGGGCTTACACATAGGAATGAACAAATGGGGCTGCAAATGGATTTAAGTTCTGGGATACATGTGCAGAACGTGCAGGTTTGTTACATAGTTATACATGTGCCATGGTGGTTTGCTGCACCCAACAACCCATCATCTACATTAGGTATTTCTGCTAATGCTATCCCTCCCCTAGCCCCCCACCCCCTGACAGGCCCTGGTGTGTGATATTCCCCTCCCTGTGTCCATGTGTTCTCATTGTTCAACTCCCACTTATGAGTGAGAACATGCAGTGTTTGGTCTTCTGTCCTTGTGTTAGTTTGCTGAGAATGATGGTTTCCAGCGTCATCCATGTCCCTGCAAAGGACATGAACTCATCCTTTTTTTATGGCTGCATAGTATTCCATGGTGTATATGTGCCACATTTTCTTTATCCAGTCTATCATTGATGGGCATTTGGGTTGGTTCCACGTCTTTGCTATTGTGAAGAAGTGGTTGATATATTTTTAAAATATTTTGTTACAAAAAATTTCAAACATAAAAAAATTGAGAGATTGATATAATACTCCTCCTTGTACCTACCACTCAGCTAAAACAGTGGTCAGCACTTTCAAAATCGTCTTTCAAACTATCCCCTTTCTGCTTTTTTGTTTTGTGCTTGAGTATTTTAATGCAAATTCAAGATATCATGTCATTTCACCCATAAATAATACAGAATGCATTGGTAAATGGTAAGGGTTTCTTTTTCTTTTTTTGAGACAGAGCCTCGCTCTGTCACCTAGGCTGGAGTGCAGTGGCGCGATCTCGGCTCACTGCAGCCTCTGTCTCCCAGGTTCAAGCAATTCTCCTGCCTCAGCTTCCCCAGTAGCTGGGACTACAGGCGCGCCACCACCATGCCCGGCTAATTTTTTTACAAAAATACATTTTTAGTAGAGACGGGGTGTCACCATGTTGGCCAGGATGGTCTTGATCTCCTGACCTCATGATCAGCCCGCCTCAGCTTCCCACAGTGCTGGGATTACAGGCGTGAGCCACCAGGCCCGGCCAAGGGTTTCTTTTTCATAAACACTATGACATTGTATGACATTATTACACTTTAAAAATAAACAGTGTTCTTTAACACAATTGAATACTCAGTCCATATTCAAGTTTCCCTCATGGTTAACAGATTTTATTTTTAACTTTTTTACTATTGGAAATTTTAGATATATACAGAAATGAAGAGAATAGTAGAATGAACCCCCATGTACCTATTACCCACCTTCAACAATTATCAGTTCAAACTCAATGTTTCGTCCATAACCCACATGTTCTTCTCCACTGCCCCTTATAGTTTTTATCTTTCAATCATAACATTTAAACAATTTTCTACTGTGGTGGCATTCACCTAATGTAAAATTAACCATTTTCAACATTTCACCCGTGTACAATTAAGTGACATTTAGTAATTCACAATCTTGTGCAACCATCATCACTATCTAATTCTAGAACATTTTCATTACTCTGAAAGGAAACTGCATACCTACTGAGTAGTCACTCCCCATTACCCACTCCTCCCAGCCCTGGTAACAATCTGCTTTCAGGCCCAGCATGCTGGCTCGCATCTGTAATCCCAGTACTTTGGGGGGCCAAGGCAGGAGGAGCACTTCAGTCCAGGAGTTTGAGACCAGCCTGGGCAATATAGGAAGACCCTGCCTCTACAAAAAAAAATTTTTTTTTTACAAAAATTAGCCAGGCATGCTGGTGCATGCTTATAGTCCCAGCTACTTGGAAAGCTGAGGTGGGAGCATCACTTGAACCCGGGAGTTTGAGGCTGCAGTGAGCCATGATCTTACCAGTGCACTCCAGCCCAGGCATTAGCGCGAGATCCTGTCTTCAAACAAACAAACACGAAAAACCAATCTGCTTTCTTTCCCTATGGATATGCCTCTTCTGGATATTTAATAGAAATGGAAAGCCCCTAATAATTTTGAAATGAATCTGAAACACTGTATAATTTCATCCGTAATACTTCAGTACATATCTTTAAAAGAACTCATTTTTAAAAAACATAACCACGAGACTATGATCACACCTGAATAATTAAATAATAATTACTTACTACCACAAAATATCCAGTCAGTGTTCAAATTTCCATTTGTGTCATAAATGCCATATATTTGTTTTAGTTAGTTTGTTTGAATCTGGGTCCAAACAAGATCCTCAGATCGTGATTGGATTATATGCATCTTAAACCTCCTCTCATGGAGAATTTCCCCAGCCATTTCCTTTTCCCCACTTGTAATTTATTTGTTAAAGAAATAAAATTGTCTTGTAGAGAATCCCACAGTTTGCTTTGACTGTTTGCTTCTCTGTGGCAGTGTCTAACATGTTTCTCTGCCTTCTGTATTTCCTGCACTTTGATGGTTTTGTCTAGAGCTGCACTGTCCTATGCGGTGGCCACTGGCCCCATGTGTTTATTGAACACTTGAAATGTGACCAGTCCAAATTGAGATGGCTGTAAGTGTAAAATACACATCAGGTTTCAACGGAATCTAAACTATCTAATTACTAATTAATTCATGTTGATTTCATGTTGATATGATGATATTTTGAGTTAGATAATTATTAAAGTTAATTTCAAATATTTCTTTTTAGTTGCCTTGAATGTTGCCACTAGAAGATTTAAAATTACATATGTGGCTTGCATCATATTTCTGTTGGACAGTGCTGATTTAGAGAGACTTGTTAAAATTCAGGTTTGCTTTTTTGGCAGTTGTACTTCGTAAGTAGTTTTGGGTGTGTCTGGCCAGAAGCACATAATGTCTGACTCCTTTTGTGATGTTAGCAGCCATTGATGATCAATGTTTGGATCTATTTATTCATTAGGAATTGCAAAATAGTGATATTTTAATTCTGTCACTCCTTTGGTACTTAGTTGCTGAAACATATAAAAACAAACCCGCCTGTAATCGCAGTGCTTTGGGAGACCAATGTGGAAGAATTGCTTGAGGCCAGGAATTTGAGACCAGCCTGGGTAACTATGGAGCTTCTGTATCTATAAAAATATTAAAATTAAATTTAAATTTAAAATTAAATGTAGGGGCCAGGTGGCATCCACCTGGAGTCCCAGCTACATGGGCTGAGGCTGGAGGATTGCTTGAGTCCAGGAGTTTGGTTACAGGGAGCTATGATCATGACACTGCACTCCAGCCTGGGCAACAGAGCAAAACCCTGTCACTAAAAAAAAAAATTTTAAAAAAAGAAACCCCCCTCACCTACCTCATCTATATTTGGTTCCCCAGTGGTAAAGATTGATATGGAAGCCAAGGTCAGTGTGTGATTATTTCCCTTTATTTACCAATTCTTAAAATTATCAGCTCACAAGCCATTGACAGACTAAAAATATTTAGGCTGGGCACAGTGGCTCATGCCTGTAATCCCAGGACTTTGGGGGGCTGAGGTGGGAGGATCGCTTGAGCTCAGCAGCCTGGACAACATGGCAAAACCCCGTCTCTACCAAAAATAAAAAAATTAGCCAAGTGTGGTGGCACATGCCTGTAGTCCCAGCTACTAGGGAGGCTGAGGTGGGAGGATCACCTGAACCCGGGAGGTGGAGGTTGCAGTGAGCCAACATCATGCTACTGCACCCCAGCCTGGGTGATACCGTGAGACCCTGTCTCAAAAAATAATTCTTTTTTTTTTTTTTTTTTTTTGAGATGGAGTCTCACTCTGTGGCACAGGCTGGAGTGCAGTGGCGCCATCTCTGCTCTCTGCAAGCTCCACCTCCCGGGTTCCTGACATTCTCCTGTCTCAGCCTCCCAAGTAGCTGGGACTACAGGCGTCTGCCCCCACGCCCAGCTAATTTTTTGTATTTTTAAATTTTTTTTAGTGGGGACGGGGTTTCACTATGTTAGCCAGGATGGTGTCGATCTCCTGACCTCGTGATCCGCTCACCTTGGCCTCCCCAAGTGCTAGGATTACAGGCGTGAGCCACTGCGCCCAGCCAAAAAAAATTCTTTAAAAACATTTAGGACTGCTTATTTTTATGTGTGTCTCAGGAAGATTTACAAAGCTTACAGAGGAATGAAGATGCAGATTATAAGCAAATTGAATACCATCTGCTCCCAAACTGTGATAAACGTTACATAATAAATGGCTTGTAGACATCAAGAATGTCAAGGTCATGAAAGACAAAGAAAGACTGATGAACTGCTTCAGATTAAAGGAAGCATGACCATTAAGTGCAATGTATCCTGGAGTGGATCCTGATTGAGGGAAAAAAAAGGTTTGGTTTTTTTTTTTCCCTTTTACTTGAAAGTACATTAGTGGGACAATTGGTAAAAATTGAATAAAATTTGTGGATTAGATGATAGTGACTTCTTTTATTTTGATAATCGTATTGTCGTTATACAAGAGAATATTCTTGTGTTTAGGAAATGTACACTGAAGTACTCAGGGGTAGAAAGGGTATTATGTCTGCAACTTATTCTCAAATGACTCAGGAAAAGAAAATAGATGGAACGTGGAAAGGCGAATTTAAAAAATCTCAGGATCCTCTAGATTTCTTGTGCAACAGGAAAGGTCATTGCAACACTCTCTTCCAAATGAATAGCTGTTACTAACATTAACGCAGCAGTCAGATCCCCGTGGAGAGGTAAAAGGCCTCACGTATCTGTGAAGGACGGCCTCCACAGATTATTCATGAGTAAATTCTTTGCTGACCTTCCAGAAACAAGGACATGCCAATGGTAACTTTAGGTCTACCTCATAAAACTAGTCTGTTCCATTCTGCACTGATAATGTCATCACAAGCTTATCTTCCCAGGTGCAGAACAAAGACAAGGCTCATTCCTCCTCCTACCCAGAGATGTCTGCATAATTGACTCTTCCTTTACTCCCTTTCTCTTTTCAGACATTCACTTCATTTTATATGAAATATAGTATTTGCCTAACTGCCTACCTGCCCCGTTCCTACACACCTGTCCTCCCTTTAAGGAAATGTAAAAACACAAAACCTGAAAACTGCAGAAAAACAGCAGCCGATGTGTCTGTGGCTTGTGTTTTTCCCAGAAGCACTCTAAAGTGGCTTAATAAACTTAGATAATTAAGACTTATGCCTCAGTCACTCACTTCAACTGTAGAGAGAGAGTGAGAGAGAGAGAGAAAAAAAAATAATAAATGTTTGTTGATAAAGCAAATGTGGTAACATTTGGAAATTCTGGGTTAAACGTATACAGGAGTTCTTTGGATTATTTTTGCAAATTTCTGTGAATCTCAAATTACTGCAAAAAGTTAATAAAATAAAATAATGCTCATGAATTTTTTAAAATCCTGTGTGTTCTAAGTTTATGAATAAATTGACATTAATTTGACCCCAAAATAATATTAAAAAGCACTTTGCAAATTTGAGAGAGACTCTGAGGAACAAGAGAGAAGTTAGGAACCAGTGTTATGGTTTAAAATGTACCCATAAAATTTCTTCATGTGTCACCTCTGAGACTAGGTCGTAAAGGCAATATGGTTGCAGAAGCATTTTCTCTTAGATCACTAGCTCTGGGTTTGGAAGCCAGCTGTCATGTCATGAGGCCACTCAGGCACCCTGTGGAGAGGCCCACATAAGAAGGAACTGAGGCCTCCTGCCAATATCCGTGTGAGTTAACTGTCTTGAAAATAGCTCCTTCAGCCTCAATCAGGACTTTAGATAACTACATCCCTGGTCAACAGCTTGATTGCAGACTCCTGAGAGACCCTGAGCCCAAGCTGTCAGAGGCATTTGAGCCAGATCGACTCCATCTTGAATAGGGGCTGGGTAAAATAAGGCTGAGACCTGTTGGGCTGCATTCACAGGAGGTTAGGCATTCTAAGTCACAGGATGAGACAGGAGGTAGGCACAAGATACAGGTCACAAAGACCCTGCTGATAAAACAGGATGCAGTAAAGAAGCCGGCCAAAACCTGCCAAAACTAAGATGGTGATGAAAGTGACCTCTGGTCATCCTCACTGCTTATATGTTAATTATAATACATTAACATGCTAAAAGACACTCCCACCAGTGCCATAACAGTTTATAAATGCCATGGCAACATCTGGAAACTACCCTATACGGTCTAAAAGGGGGAGGAACCCTTAGTTGCAGTGGTGGGGGAGGACAGCAGGAGTGGGAACTCCCCACTCCTTTCTTGGAAAACTTATGAATAATCTACCCCTTGTTTAGCATATATCAAGAAATAACCATAAGTATACTCAGTCAAGCAGCGCATGCCACTGCTCTGCCTATGAAGTAGTCATTCTTTTGTCTCTTTACTTCTCTAATAAACTTGCTTTCACTTTACAGATTTGCCCCAAATGCTTTTTTGCACAAGATCCAAGAACCCTTGCTTGGGGTCTGGTAGGGACCCCTTTCCAGTAACAGAGCCACCCAGCTAAGTCACTCCTGAATTCCTGAACCTCAGAAACAGATAATAAATGTTTGTCGTTCAAGCTGCTGTTATGCAGCAAGAAATGACTAATACAATTCCATATCTTAGGCACCTTGAACTCATACTGCTTGGACAGCTGCCTGAATATGAAATTAATCTTTTCCACCAGATTCTGCTATAATATGTAAATTAGAGTAGATGAAGAGGGGGACATTTCCAAGACACAACCAAATCTACATTGTCACTTTGGAAACTGTTATTCATGAGATTATAGTACTTGTTCAGAAGTCATCAGGAAGCAGCTAAACTAAAATTTAAGTTTTCAGTGACTGTCTGGAACTCCTAGAGAAGATAATTAAATAAATGAGAGTAAAAATGTGAAATAAGACATGAAGTTGGGAATGAAATCATGTCATGAAAGTAGGTTTAAACTAGGAGGGAATTTAGTTGCAAAGGAAAACATAAACCTCTTAAGAAAGGAAATCTCGGAAGGGTAGTTTACCACTGTGTTTCTAGTACTTTCCAGGTAATTCTGATTCCTCCCTTGATTTAAATTGACATCATTAAAAAAATTTAAGTTTCTATTTTAATTTCAGGGGGTACACGTGCAGGTTTGTTGCAAGGGTATGTTGCATGAAGCTGAGGTTTGGGCTTCTGTTGATCCCATCGCCCAGATAGTGAACATAGTACCCAATAGATAGTTTTTCAACCCTTGATTCCCCCTCCTTTTGGAGTTCCTAGTGTCTGTTGTTCCCATCTTTATGTTCATGTGTACCAAGATTTAGCTCCCACTTATAAGTGAGAACATGTGATATTTGGTTTTCTGTTTCTGTGTTAATTCACTCAGGATGATGGCCTCCAGCTTCATCCATGTTGCTGCAGGGGACATGATTTCATTCTTTATAATGGCTGCATAGTATTTCATGGTATATATGTACCACTTTTTCTTTACCCAATCCACCATTGATGGGCACTGAGGTTGATTCCATGTCTTTGCTATTGTGAGTAGTGCTGCGATGAACATGTGAGTGCATATGTCGTTTTGGAAGAACGTAAATCAACAATTATTTATCAAGTATCAGATGAGTAAGATATGCTCTTTGTCTTCAAAACGCTACTTGGAAATACCCTTAACTGTGAAAAAGGGTGTACTGGCCTCATCGTCCTCGTCCTCATTTAGTTCCTTTGTTTGTTTCTATGGTTCTGTATTAAGAAGCAGTTTTCTTTTTCTTTTTTCTTTACACCAATGTCACTTGCCAAAGCAGTTTTCTTATTTAAAATTTATCTCCAGAGAGAACTTGTGTAGCAACAAGAGGAAAGCTATGTGTACTAGAGTTATAGTTCACAGAGCAGGAATCACTGTTGATGTAAATCAGTTAACTGAAATTGTGATTTATGTACCTGCACTCTCCTGTGAGTTGTGACACCCCCAAGAAAGTGATAAATGCATCTGTGGCCTTACAAGGCAGAGAATTGAATCCCAGCTGACTCAGTAGCCACATCAACTTGGTCAAAGTAGAAGAGGGTAGGAAACAAAAATGAAGAATGAGACCACCATCTATATTTACAGTAAAAGGATCCTGTTCGCAGTGCTGGGATAGCAGTCTTTGTTTATTAAGCATAATGCTATATAGACTGTACTGAAAGCACTTAAATATTTACAGGTTGGCTTGTGCTGCACATGTTTTTTTGTGAGATATGGATCGTATTACTCTCTGATATAAAATCCTGGCTCAGGTTGGATTATTTGGGAGCAGAAACTGAGATGGGGGTTTTTTGTGTTGGTGCCTTGATGGGGAGGCACTCTCAGAAGAAGGGGTGTGAGGGAAGCAGGATGGGGCTGGAGAGGGAGCTAGGCAAGGAAGTGGTCTCTGCTGGAGACTTCCCTTAGCCTGAGCCCACGGGCCACTCCGGAGCATGATCAGAACCAGAGTCGGTCCCACTTTGAGTCAAGGAGCTGGCCTTTTAAGGGAGTCAGCCAGTCCTTGCCTGTGGGCTGTTTCATGGGAGGTGATGGAGGTGTAACCTCCCTGAAGTGACTAGTTTGGCTGAGGGTAGTGTCCAAAGAAGGGAGCAGCTGTGAACCATTAGCAGACAGCACTCACTGGTATGTCCATCATCTGGTGAAGGGAATCTTGGCAGTAAACCAACAGGCCTACCCTAGGTCTGAAATTTTCTCACAGTCATTATGGCAGAGTCTGGCCAGATATTCCCCAAACTCCTCACTTCTTGGGTACACAGTTTGATGATATTTCCTAGCCTTATTTGCCATATGACTGATTTCCAACCAATGGAAAGCAGAGAGGTGATTTGTGCCACCTCTGAGCCTGACCCCCACATAAACCCCCATCTTTCCAGCTCTTCTGAGTTCCCACTTGCTTTCTTTTTCTAACCACTAGATGCAGAAGATCTAGTGGAGGACTTTGAGGACCTAGGGGCTGGAGGAGCCAGTAGATGGTGTCCCTGGATGAATATGACTAAAACCACCCTTTCTACAGGGGTGACATGAGCAGGAAATAAACCGGCATTATGTTAACCCACTGACATTTGGGGATTGTTACAGCAGTTAGCCTACCCTGACTCATTTGAACATTCCATTTTTCAGAAACATAACCAGCTTTGGAAAATTTGATTTTCAGAATTCTGTCAATTTCATCAATTATAATCCTTGCTCTCAACTCTATGACGACTAAAATGCTGAATAACTGAAAAATTCTTTCTTAGTCTTTTAAAAAATAAAAAAAGCTCTAAAAATAAAGCTCTAATGATAAATTTGAGTATTATGGGCAATTTTTAAAAGCACAATGAAAAGATGTGGTCGCGATAATAATTATCCAAAACCCTGTTCTGGGAAACAAAGCAGGAAGCTGCTTTCCCAAGGTTAACAAGTAGTGAGAACTCTTGGCTCCAGTTTGTCTGACTTAACCATTGGGCTTTACCAGTGCACGGAAAGCTTTTAACATTTCTGCTCAGCCATTCCCAGGGATACCAAAGGCTTAATTCCACGGAGAGGGGTGAACTGTCTGATACTTTACATAAGAGGGCAGCAGGGCTGCTGGGAACAATTCTTTGTTACTTGAGAGCAGCCACCTTCTCAGTTTGTTGGGCTTCAGAGGACACAGTTGGTATAGGAAGAAAGAGGGCACATGATCACACATCTGCATGGGTACACGTACACACACACATGCACACACACACATACACACAAGGGTGGGTGTAAGATATAACTTCACCAAAATTCCAAGCTGGTTTTATGGTAGACAGTCATTTGTTTGTTTGTTTTTTTTAGACAGGGTCTTGCTCTGTCACCCAGGCTGGAGTGCAGTGGTGCCATCTCAGCTCACTGTAGCCTTGACCTCCCAGGCTCAAGTGATCTTCCCACCTCAGCCTCCCAAGTAGTTGGGACTACAGGAGCACACCACCATGCCTCGCTAATTTTTGTAGTTTTTATAAAGATGAGAACTCGCTATGTTGCCCAGGCTGGTCTCGAACTCCTGGGCTCAAGCAATCCATCGGCCTTGGCCTCCCAAAGTGCTGGGATTACAGGTCACCATGCCAGGCTGAGACAGTAACTTGTAAGATTTAATTGTTGGTCGGGTGCAGTGGCTCACCCATGTAATCCCAGCACTTTGGGAGGCTGAGGCAGGTGGATCATGAGGTCAGGAGTTCAAGACCAGTCTGACCAACATGGTGAAACTCTGTCTCTATCAAAAATACAAAAATTAGCTGGGCGCTGTGGCGGGTGCCTGTAATCTCAGCTACTCGGGAGGCTGAGGCAGGAGAATTGCTTGAACCTGGGTGGCAGAGGTTGCAGTGAGCCGAGATCATGCCACGGCACTCCAGCCTGGGTGACAGAGTGAGACTCTGTCTCAAAAAACAAACAAAAAAAGATTTAATTGTCATTAGTGGTTTGTGGGGCACATAAGGGTTCAAGAACTTTAACCCCTGTCTTTCTTGATGAGTTTAGAACTACCTGGGTAAGGTCCATGTGCACATCAACCTTGTTGTTGCTAGACTTGGGTTGGAGATGATGATTAGGATTGCAGCCACACTCAGGCTACTTCTTACATATTCTATCCCCTTACTTCCCCCACCTCAGAGTCTATAAAACAGACCTATACCTGGGAAGCTGCTAGGAAATTGCTGTCTTCTAATCATCAAGTCCTGCAGGTGGTAACAGAGAGGACCCAAATTACGTGTGCTTTCTAGATGGAATCGGGGTTAGAGTGGGGGTAGAGTGGAGTCCCCTCTGAGGGCAACAGAATTCAGAGGTGGTAGTAGGAGAGGGAGGTAGGAGAGAGAGAAAGAAAGAGACAGAGAGAGAGAGAGAAAGAATATTAGCCTGTTCTCACACTGCTAATAAAGACATACCTGAGACTGGATAATTCATAAAGGAAAGAGGTTTAATTGACTCACAGTTTCACATGGCTGGGGAGGCCTCACAATCATGGCAGAAGTTGAAGGAGGAGCATAGGCACGTCTTACGTGGCAGCAGGCAAGAGAGCTTGTGTAGGGGAACTGCTCTTTATAAAACCATCAGATCTCATGAGACTTAATCACTATCATGAGAAGAGCATGGGAAAGACTCACCCCCATAATTCAATTACCCCCCACCAGGTCCCTCCCATGACACGTGGGAATTATGGGAGCTAGAATTCAAGATGAGATTTGGGTGGGGACACAGACAAACCATATCATGGAGGAAAAGAGAGGGGGAGAGAGACAGAGAGAGAGAGAATGAACCAAGAATGATCAATTTCTTCTCCCTTTCATCACTTCTCTTTCCTTAGAGAAGAGTGAGGGGGACTAGGAGAAGTGCCAATGTTACTTCATCAATATTCCTTCCTGAGGAGTAGAGAGGAAGCTTTCTCATGAAAATAATGAGGCCAGGGGAATAGGATTCTCTCTCACACTGTTAAAGATCTGCCTTTTTTCACTAATAGCAGAAAAAAATATTAAAATCATTCAAACAGGTGATTATTTAGTGTTTATATTGGTCCATCCCTTAATAAATACCTTTCAAAATTCACCAATCTTTGAGATACACTCAATAGTACAGTCATGCGTTACCCAATGACGGGTATGTTCTGAGAAACACGTTGTTGGGTGTCTTCGTTGTTGTGTGAACATCACAGGGTGTACTTACACAAATCTAGATGGTACAGCCTACTACACACCTAGGCTATGTGAAAATTGTCAGAATCAAAATGGAGTCGCTTGTGTTAAAAAAAAACACACAAAAACCTGACAAATAGAGCTGAGGAAGGCTACGAAGAGAGGGTTCTCACACTTGTATGCCTGATAACAAAATTGCAACAAAAGACTGCAAAAACTGCAAACTTACACAAATGTCATCACAACCTTCTGTAAAGACATCTGACCAGCAACTGCCTGTCTAAACTTGAACTGGTGCCATCCTTGTTATTGATCCTTGTCACCAAAAATAACCATTTCAAAACAACTATGTAACCTTCATTTTTCCTTGAAAAATTTTTGTCTTCCTTTACCTCCACGAATATGCACAAGTTTACTGTGGCATACATATTCCCATTGCAATGCCCTATTCCCACATGAACAACATTTTCTTTTCTTTTTTCTTCTTCTTTTTTTTTTTTCTTTAGACAGAGTCTCCCTCTGTTGCTCAGGCTGAGTGCAGTGGTACAATCACGACTTACTGCAGCCTCAGCATCCTGGGCTCAAGTGATCCTCCCACCTCAGGTTCCCAAGTAGCTAGGACTACAGGTGCACGACACAATGCCCCACACCCAGCTAATTTTTGTATTTTTTTGTAGAGACAGGGCTTTGCCATGCTGCCCAGGCTGGTCGTCAACTCCTGGGCTCAAATGATCCACCCACGTTGGCCTCCCAAAGCACTAGCATTGCAGGCATGAGCCACCGTGCCTGGCCATAAACATCATTTTCTTTTAGAGAGCCTCTCTCTGACATTTAAGTTGACAGCTATATGGTACAGCCTATTGATCCTAGACTACAAACCTGCAAGCACAGCATGATTGTATTAGTCAATTCTCACACTGCTGTAAAGAAATGCCTGAGACTGGGTAATTTATAAAGAAAAGAGGTTTAATAGGCTCATGGTTTTGCAGGCTGTACGGGCAGCATCTCTTCTGGGAAGGCCTCATGGAGCTTTTACTCATTGTGGAAGACAAAGTGGGAGCAGGCATCTTACATGGCAGAAGCAGGACTGAGAGGGGTTGTGGGGAGGTGCCACACACTTTTAAACCACCAGATCTCATGAGAACTCACTCACCATCGTGAGAACAGCAACGAGTGGAAGGGGCTAAACCATTCATGAAGGATCCACCCCCATGATCCAATCATCTCCCACCAGGCCCCACTTCCAACACTGAGGATTATAATTGAGCATGAGATTTGGATGGGGACACAGAGCCAAACCATATCATTTTGCCCCTAGCACATCCTAAATCTGATGTCCTTCTCACCTTGCAAAATCCCATCATGCCTTCTGAATAGTCCCTGAAAATCTTAATTCATTCCAGCATTAACTCAAAAGTCCAATGTTCAAAGTCTCATTTGAGGCAAGGCTAGTCCCTTCTACCTATGAGCCTGTAAAATAAAAAACAAGTTAGTTACTTCTGAGACACAATGGAGAGATAGGTATTGGGAAAATATACCCATTCAAAAAAAAAGAAATTGGACAAAAGAAAGGGGCTACAGGCCTCATGCAAGTTTGAAACCCAGCAGGGCAGTCATTAAATCTTAAAGCTCCAAACTAATCTCCTTTGACACCACGTCTTGTATCCAGGACACACTGGTGCAAGAGGTGGGCTCCTAAGGCTTTGGGTAGCTCCACCCCTGTGGCTTTGCAGGGTTCAGCCCCCATGACAGCTCTCATGGGCTGGCATTGAGTGCTTGTGCCTCTTCCAGGTGCAGGGTGCAAGCTGTTGGTGGATCTACCATTCTGGGGTCTGGAGGATGGTGACCCTCTTCTTACAGCTCCACTAAGCAGTGCCCCAGTGGGGATTCTGTGTGGGGGCTTCAACCCCACATTTCCCACTCTGCACTGCCCTAGTAGAGGTTCTCCATGAGGGCTCTGCCTCTGCAGCAGTCTTCTGCCTGGAATCCAGGCTTTTCCATACATCCTCTGAAATCTAGGTGGAGGCTCCCAAGCCTCAACCCTTGCACTCTGCACACCTGTAGGCTTAACACGAGGTGGAAGCAGCCAAGGCTTGTGGCTTCTACCCTCTGAAGCAGTGGTCTGAGCTGTACCTGGGCCCCTTTGAGCCAGGGCTGGAGCAAGAGCAGCTTGGATGCAGGAAGCAATGGCCCAAGGGTGCACAGGGTGGCAGGGCCCTAGGCCTGGCTCAGGAAACCTTTCTTCCTTCCTAGGCCTCTGGGTCTGTGATGGGAGAGGCTGCAATGAGGGTCTCTGAAATTCCTTTGAGGCCTTCTCCCCATTGTCTTAGGTGTTAGCACTTGGCTCCTTTTTACGTATGCAAATTTCTGCAGCCTGCTTTAATTCCTCCCCTGAAAATGGGCTTTTCTTTTCTACCACATGGCCAGGCTGCAAATTTTTCAAACTTTTACACTCCGCTTCCCTTTTAAATGTAAGTTCCAGTTTCAGGTCATTTCTTTGCTCACATATATGAACATAGGCTGTTAGAAGCAGCCAGGCCATATCTTGAACCTTAGAAATGTCTTCTGCCAGATACCCTAAATCATCTCTCTCAAGTTCAAAGTTCCACAGATCCCTAGGGCAGGGGCACAATACAACAAAGCTCTTTGCCAAAATGTAACAAGAGTAGCCTTTGCTCCAGTTCCCAGTAAGTTCCTTATTTCCATCTGAGACCTCATCAGCCTGGCCTTCATTGTCCATATCACTATTAGCATTTTAGTCATAACCATTCAGTCAGTCTCTAGGAAGTTCCAAACTTTCCCACATCTTCCTGTCTTCTTCTGAGCCCTCCACACTTTTCCAATCTCTGCACGTTACCCAGTTCCAAGGTCACTTTCACATTTTCAGGTATCTTTATAGCAATGCTCCACTCCTAAGTACCAATTTTCTGGAAAAAAAAAAAAAAACCAAACAAAAAAAACATAATGTAAAGAATATCTCTGCAATGGGAATAATTGGATTCCATGAGAAACAATAAAAAAGAATATCTCTTGATGTCTCTTGGCTATTTCTGAAAATATGATCCTTCTGGCTTTTCTGGCCATCATGGAGCCAAAACAAGTGTGTAAGCTTTGAACCACAAAAAAGTTCTTGTTTACTGTCAGCCTTAAGGGATATGAGTGCTTCTAGTTTCTAAATTCTTATCTGTGTTTATTTTGAAGTTTGATAACTATTTCTTCTATTGAAAAAACTTTTAGAAATAAAGAACAGTACTTGGCATTCCTTAGATATTAACATATTTTTACAAGTGCCATTTTTTTTTCCTCCTGTGCCCTGGGTATTACTGCTGTTGGGTCCCCTTTGGCTGTGCCCCACATCTTTTGTTGAGCAGCTTCTTTCTTACATCCTGGAGACCTTCAGAGCTTCCCTTTCTTCTGACCCAGCCTGCTGTCCCTCACTCATTATTTCCAGGTTGCCAAGTCTCTGGGGCTCCTCTCTTTCTGTCGTGTCCTTTTACCTCCCCAGTTCCACCCACTCTCAGTCAACAGCCATCTCAGCCCCACTGATCAAGCCTTCCTGGCTGAGCTCTGGCTCATGAATTTTCTCTCTTGTTTCAACTCCCATGGCAGTTAACCCAGAGTATACAGTTTAGCACTTAATTGTATATTTTCTTTCATTTATTTTTATTTGTTGTGTTAGTTTTGTCTCTTCCAGTGAGGCTTCAAACTCCTTGAAAGCAACACATCTTCTATTAAAGAAAAATTCCTCTTAGTACTCTGGTAGGGATACAGTAAATACTCTCTTTTCTATCAATAAATGTCAATTGTCTCACTGATAGATTGATAGGCACAGATGTGAGACTTTCTACCTGTCTCCGTCATATCTGGTGCTTAATAAATATCTGTCAAATTTATTATACTTAGTTGAGTCATAAAGATCAGTTCTGAATCTGGTATTCAGTGGGACAAATCACACTGTCTCTGCATCCATTTTCTCATCTGCAAAATGGAGATTAAAAATGTCTTCCCAATCTACCTCAGAGAGTTACTATGAGGCTTAAATGAGATAATAGTTACAAAAGTGCTTTGAAAAGCTTTGCAGCTTTTTTCCTCTACTGCATGAAGATTAGGGATTATTATAGCTCACATTTCCTTTGACAGTAGTCACAGGGTAAAGTAGGGTTTGGTGTTTATCACACAGAGTGTGTCCCTTTCTAGCCTTTATTAGAATGGTTGGCCATTCTCAGGGAAACCTGAGTACAACCAGAAAGGTAGGAAGAGAATAAACATCTGGCTTCCAGTTTTCCTGAGAAGGTATCACAGCTATGGAAACTACAAAGGTGGTGAAATTTCTTTTCTTTTCTTCTTCTTCTTCTTTTTTTTTAAGACAGTTTCGCTCTGTTATCCAGGCGGGAGTGCAGTGGCACGAACTCAGCTCACTGCAACTTCCGCCTCCCAGGTCCAAGAGATTCTTGTGCCTCAGCCTCCCGAGTAGCTGGGATTACAGGTATGAGCCATCACGCCCAGCTAATTTTTGTATTTTTAGTAGAGACAGGGTTTTGCCATGTTGGCCAGGCTGGTCTTAAACTCTTGGCCTCAAGTGATCTTCCCATCTTGGCCTCCCAAAGTTCTGGGATTACAGGCATGAGCCACCATGCGTGGCCTTCTTTCCTTTTTTAAATTCTTTTTTTCTTTTTAAATTTTAAATAGAAGCAGGGTCTCATTATGTTGCTCAGGCTGGTCCGGAACTCCTGGGCTCAAGTGATCCTCCTGCCTCAGCCTCCCAAAGTGATAGGATTGCATGCATGAGCTACCACGCCTGGCCAGGTGGTGAGATTTTGAAATGGAAATTCCCAAGTGAAGTTAGTCTTTATTGCTCCTAATTTACATATCCTTTCTGCACTCTTGTTCCATTCCGAAGCTTTCTGTTGTTTTAGTTCCCTCCTGGCAGGTTGGATGCAAGACGTGGTGTAAAGAAAGCTTAGTGAAGAGGTGAGAACTTCTTCCTTCTGGAGAAGATCCTCTTCTCTGTTCCATTTTTCCAGATTCCAAAAGGAAAATATTACTCTGGTTATCACTGAGGTTGACATCATTTTTTATTTTTCTTCTTCTTATGTATCTCTCTTCACTCTCTCCCCCTTTCCTTTCCTTCTTTTTGTATTTACAATTTCATGATTTTTTCCCCTTCTCCTCTCTTCCTGACCTTGGTCCTTTAGTTGACCATAATACCAAAGTATATTTGTTATCGTCAGTGGTATTTCTTGAGATGTTTTTTGTCTCTGTTTTTAATAAAAATAAAACTATTTGGGGTGTAAGTTTTATATATCCCTTTATTAAAGCAAATTATAAAATGTATTAATTTTTTTATTGATACATAATAATTGTACATATTTACGGGGTATATGTGATATTTTGGTACATGTATACAATGTGTAATGATCAAACCAGAATAACTGGCATATCCATAATCTCAAACATTTATTATTTCTTTGTGCTCGGAACATTTCAAATCTTCTAGGTATTTTGAAATGTACAATAGGCTGGGCATGGTGGCTCATGCCTGTAATCCTAGCACTTTAGGACGCTGAGGCAGGTGGATCACTTGAGCCCTAGGAGTGGGCTAGCCTGGGCAACATAGCGAGACCTTGTCTCTATAAAAAATACACAAATTAGCTGGGCATGGTGGTGCACGCCTATAGTCCTAGCTACTCAGGAGGCTGAGGTAGGAGAATTGCTGGAGCCCAGGAGGTCGAGGCTGCAGTGAGCCGTGATTGCACCACTGCACTCCAGCCTGGGTGACAGATTGAGACCATGTCTCAAGAAAAAAGAAATACACAATAAACTGTTAATTATACTCACCTTACTTTGCTATCAAACACTAGATTTTACTCCTTCTAACTGTATTTTTGTATCCATTAGCTAACCTCCCTTCGTCCCCCAGCCCACCTTTCCCAGGTTCTGATAACTATTGCTCTACCTCCATGAGATCAACTTTTTCAGCTCTCCCATATGAGTGAGAACATGTGATATTTGTCTTTCTGTGTCTGGCTTATTTCACTTAACACAATGACCTTCAGGTCCATCCACGTTGCTGCAAATGACAGGATTTCATTCTTTTTTATGGCTGAATAGTATTCCATTGTGTATATATAACACATTTTCTTTATCCATGCACTATTGAGGGACACTTAGGTTGATCCATATCTTGGCTATTGTGAATAGTGCTGCAATAAACATGGAGGTGCAGGTATCTCTTTGATTACTGATTTACTTTCCTTTGAATAAATGCCCAGTAGTGGGATTGCTGGATCACATAGTAGTTTTGTTTTTAGTTTTTTGAGAAACGTCCATACTGTTTTCTATAAGGGCAGTACTAATCGTATTCTCAACAGTGTAAAAGACTTTCCTTTTCTCTTATATATGGAGTGAGATGATATCTCACTGTAGTTTTGATTTGCATTTTCCTGATGATAAATGATGTTGAGCATGTTTTCATATACCTGTTGGCCATCTGTATGTATTCTTTTGAGAAATGTTTATGCAGATCCTTTGCCCACTTTTTAATGGGATTATTATTATTTTTTTGCTGTTGAGTTGAGTTCCTTCTATATGCTGGATATCAGTCTCTTGTTGGATGAATAGTTTGCAAATATTTTCTCCCATTCTTCAGGTTATCTCTTCATACTGTTAATGTTTCCTTTGGTGTGCAGAAGCCTTTTAGTTTAATATATTTCCATTTGCTTATTTTTGTTTTTTTGGCCTGTGCTTTCAAGGTCTTAGCCATAAAATCCTTGTCCAGACCAATGTCCTGAAGCATTTCCCCAATGTTTTCTTCCAGTAGTTTTACAGTTTTAGGTCTTATGATTAAGTCTTTAATACATCTTCAGTTGATTTTTGTATAGGTGAGAGAGACATAAAGGTCTAGTTTTATTCTTCTGCATATGGATATCTGGTTTTCCCAGCACCATTTATTGGAAAGACTGTCCTTTCCCAATGTATTTCCTTGGTGGTTTGTTGGAAGTCAGTTGGCTGTAAATGTGTGGGTTTATTTCTGGGTTCTCCAGTCTGTTCTATTGGTTTATGTGTCTCTTTTCATGTCAGTACCATGCTGTTTTGGTTACTATAGCTTTGTAGTATATTTTGAAGTCAGGTAGTGTGATGCCTCCAGCTTTGTTCTTTTTGCTCAGGATTGCTTTGGCTATTCAGGGTCTTTTGTGGTTTTATACAATTTTTAGGATTGTTTTTTCTATTTTTGTGAACAATGTCATTGGTATTTTGATAGGGATCACAGTGAATCTGTAGATTTCTTTGGGTAGTATGGTCATTTTAATAATATTAATTCTTCCAATCCATGAGCATGGGATGCCTTTCCATGTTTTTGTGTCCTCTTCAATTTTTTAAATCAATGTTTTGTAGTTTTCTTTGTAGTAAAATATATTTTTTATTAGTGCTTAACCCTAGACTGATGTTTTCTTTTGGGTTATTGTTTCCCAGTGAGGCTTCATGCATATATTTCTGCAGGTCTTCCCAGGAAAAATGACATTTAAAAAGAGAATTTTTGGAAAAGAGATGCAGATATGTGGGCCTGATGCTGGAACTTCCAGTGCAATGGTGGGACAGACTTTTTTTCCAGTGGCTTCTTTTCTGGTCTCTCTTTCTCTCTCTCTCTTTGAGACAGAGTCTTGCTCTGTTGCCCAGGCTGGAGTGCAGTGGTGTGATCTTGGCTCACTGCAACCTCTGTCTCTTGGGTTCAAGTGATTCTCCTGCCTCAGCCTCCCAAGTAGCTGGGACTGCAGGCACTCACCACCATGGCCCAGCTAGTTTTTGTATTTTTAGTAGAGATGGGATTTCACCACGTTGGCCAGGCTGGTCTCGAACTCCAGGACTCAAGTGATCTGCCTGCCTTGGCCTCCCAAAGTGCTGGGATTACAGGCATGACCCACCGCGCCCGGCCTGGACTTTCTTTTAAAAGCGGCTAGAGGGCCAGGCGTGGTGGCTCAAGCCTGTAATCCCAGCACTTTGGGAGGCCGAGGTGGGGGGGTGGGGGTGGGGTGGATCACCTGAGGTCAGGAGTTCGAGACCAGCCTGACAAACATGGTGAAACCCCGTCTCTACTAAAAATACAAAAATTAGCCAGGAGTGGTGGCAGGCGCCTGTAATTCCAGCTACTCGGGAGGCTGAGGCAGGATAATCGCTCGAACCCGGGAGGTGGAGGTTGCAGTGAGCCAAGACTGTGCCATTGAACTACAGCCTGGGCAACAAGAGCGAAACTCCTTCTCAAAAAAAAAAAAAAAAAAAAAAAGTGGTTAGAGTACTAGCCAGGGGGAAGCAAGCACATTTGAAAAATATAGTGTGTATGCTTTAGGATAGGGAGGAATGGAGAGAGAGAGGAGGACATGGACCGGGGTGGAAAAATGTGGGGTTTCGCATTGATTTTTGGTGTGAGCTTGAACAAGTTTTGTACTAAAAAAAATGCCTGTTTTACTACTAAAATAAGTGCTTCCTTTGGAGAGTGAGGATCCTCTGTTACTGAGGTTTGTATTTTCAGGCCCTAGCATATAAATCTGCTACATACGAGATATTCAACTGGTTTTGGAGGAATGAAGGTGAACATGGCAGTTTCCTCATCTGTAAAAGCAGGGTTTGGACGAAATGATCTGCAAAATGGGTCTTTTTGTACTCTTACTACTCTAGTATTTACGAGTAACCGATGTTATTCCTTATAAAGTCTCAACTCCTGGTTTGAGCCATGTCTGACGAGGGGGCCTAACTCCAATACCACCCTGAACACTCTGGGGTCAGTGGGACCCTGTTTGTACAGACGTCTGCGTCTTCCGGCTCTTTAGGACATAAGCAGTACTGCTATGGAAGAAAGGAAACCTAATTTCCCATGCCTTGTCCCTTTCTGGAAAGGGCATGGCGTGGTGTGGGCACCACACCTGCCCCAGCCTTCTAGCAAGAAAACAACACAACCTTCCCCGCTCCCCGAAAAGAGCTTCTCTCCAGTTGGGTCTAGATGCCCCCTTCCCAACCAGGGCGGATGGCCAAAGGCTCCGCTCCCTTGCAGGGTAGGCTTGGAAAGGCACGGGGCCCGCCTTCCTGGGCACCGGAGCCTGTGACGGGCGGAGGGCGTGCGGCGCGCTGGGTTAGTTACCTGGCGCTGGGCGGGGCAAGCGGGAGGCGGGGGCGGGGCCGGGGTGACATCTCAGGCTGTGATTGGGCCGCGCCGCGCCTGTCTCCATGTGCCGCGCAGCTGAGGCACAACATTCAAGCCCGGGGGTGGGGCCGGCGCGCGCCGGGAGGAAGCGGCCGCGCGGCAGCTGCGGGGCGTGGGGGTGGTGGTGGCGGCGGCGGTGGTGGCGGCGGCGGCGGCGGCGGCAGCTGAGGCCGAGGAGGCGGTGGCTGTGGCGGACGCAGCAGCACCCCAGCTAGGGACAGGGCTCCGCCGCGCCCCCTTGCTGGCCCCATGGAGGCGGCAGCGGCGGCGGCGGCGGCGGCAGCGGCAGCGGCAGCGGCGGGCGGGGGCTGTGGCTCCGGGCCGCCGCCGCTGCTGCTGAGCGAGGGCGAGCAGCAGTGCTACTCCGAGCTCTTCGCGCGCTGTGCCGGCGCCGCGGGCGGGGGCCCCGGGTCTGGGCCCCCCGAGGCCGCCAGAGTCGCCCCCGGCACGGCCACTGCGGCCGCCGGCCCCGTGGCTGACCTGTTTCGGGCATCGCAGCTGCCCGCCGAGACGCTGCACCAGGTGGGTCCCTCCGCCTCCTGTCCCTGCGGGTCTGTGGGGCAGTGTGTGCGGGGGCGGAGGTTGCGAGTGGGGCGACAGGGCTGCCCCCAGGGACCCGGAGGCCTCGGCCAGTTCTGAGAGAGAGGACTCTGCAGCCGGGGATGGCGGCGACGCCCTTGTCCCCGGGGGACACCAGCCTCCTTCGCAGCTCAGCTCCTCGCCCAGTGCTGGGTGCGCTCTCCCCATCTTCCTTCCCTGAGACAGTCTGACACTCTCTCCCCTCCCCCGGCCATTTCTGGGGTTCTGCAGCCGCCCAGACCCAAAGTTTGTCCTGTTCTGGAAGTGGTGTTTGTTTTGGCTGCTGCCTGGTTTAACCTCTGCTCGCTGCTCCTGCCCCTCCCTCTCCTGAGTGGGTTCTCAGGGTGCCTTGCTGGGATTTCAACTTGAAGGGTGTGTGTGTCCGTAGGGTTCGAGGCCCAGGGCTGAATGTTGTCCTCTCTATGTAGTTGTAATATATAAGTATCTACTATATGTAATTGCCCATAACATATTTCTAAATATTAATATTAAATCGAAAACCTTAATGACAAGTTGCAGAACAGGGACACGGGACTGCAAGAGGACGTTTGTCAAGTCAAAACCAAATTTCCCATTTGAGATTAGAGGTGGACTTCAGAAGTCCACCATGGGAAACAGCTGTAGTTTCCCATCTATCATTACTTGGACTTGAAATAGAATTGAAAGGTAAGGGATGTCATAGCTACCACCTTTTGGCTGTTCTATACTTGGAAAAGTACTAGGGGATGATACATACCAGACGCTGTTTTTGTTTTGTGCTTTCCTTGGAGCTTGGAGAAAGACTACTTGATAAGCCTTTGTCTGTCATTTCATGTCACCAGCACTTCATGGTGATAAGACTGTTAATATCAGGTTCAAAACGTGAAATGAAGCTTTTCCTAAAAGCAATAGTATGAATGTTATTAACACCAATGGAATATTTAGAGTGGCGAGTGGTATTTTAAAATCTAGTTTCAAAGGAGAACTGAGGGTTTTATGGTTCACTTGCAATGTCATTGTGTTCATACGTATTTTTAAAAAAATTGCTTAAGACTGCGTTTTATACTGCTGGAGTGTTTTTACTGCTATATGTTTGTGAGCATAACTTTAGACACTTTGTAATCTTTCACCCTTTTGAATTTGGGATTTCTGAAACTGTAACTAGTATTCACAGAACTTAGCATGGCTGTTTATCCCTAAAGAAGTCCTTGATATGTAGACAGTTCTGCCATTGCTGATGAGTAGTTGAGCTGGATCAGGTAAAGAGAAAGTCAGTGTCTTAAAACACAAACCGTGGCTATTACATGAGGCCCTCAGAATAGTCCCGAGCATAATACATTTATTCAGTGCTGTAGCTGCTTCCCAGCTGAAAGAGGAATAATTGACTGAGGCTATGCAGCAAGTAAGTGACAGCTGGGTACCTATTAAGGCTTATTTTGTTGTCAGTAATGCATCGGATAAGAGGAGGTGGGCATAGTAAATCTGAATATGTTGGTTGATGCCTCTTTAGGAATTGGGAAGAAGGATTTCCTGATGTTAGAACCCATGCTTTCTTGAGGTACATATAGTTTTAAAAGGACCCAAGGCACAGTGGCTGTGCGTGAATGAGATTATATTTTTGATGTCCAGTTGAAATCTGCTTGCAAAAGACTGCTTCAGATACTGGCAAAAGGGGACATCCCTGCGAGATTGCTTGGAGTAAATCTCTCAGAGCTCGAAGCTCCCTTATTCAGCCTAGCAAAGCAAAACACATCATCCACCTTTAATCCAACAAAATTACCATAACTCAATATTCTTGGTACAGGTGAAAATGAACATTGAAGGCATCCTGGACATGTGATCCTAAGAGAGTCAAACAAAGTCAGCAACCAGCAGACACCTAATTTTCACCCATCACTTTGGTGGTGGTGGTGGTGGTGGTGGTGGTGGTGGTGTGTGTATGCTCCATCCACTTTAATTTGCATTACCCCATCAGTGTATTAGCCATTCTTTAAAACAAACGTAGATGTTTTTACCCTTTCTCTGTTAAACAGGAACCTGTAAGTTGAGATTTAAGTGCCCCAACAGGTATAACTGCTCAAATCTTGGAGGCACTAACCAGTCCTGATATTTTCTATGGTAACAACCAGGTTTTCCTCTTAATAAGCATACAATTAAGATTACCATAATAATGTTCCAGGAAGAGTGAGAATCTTGCATTCTTACCACAAGTAAATGGTCTATAAAAATACTTATTTTTTATTTATTTATTTTTTGAGATGGAGTCTCGTTCTGTTGCCCAGGCTGGAGTGCGGTGGCGTGATCTTGGCTCACTGCAACCTCTGCCTCCCGGGTTCAAGCGATTCTTCCGCCTCAGCCTCCTGAGTAGCTGGGACTACAGGCGCACGCCACCTCTCCCGGCTAATTTTTGCATTTTTAGTAGAGACGGCGTTTTGCCATGTTGGCCAGGCTGGTCTCGAACTCCTGACTTCAGGTGATCCACCCGCCTCAGCCTCCCAAAGTGCTGGGATTACAGGCGTGAGCCACCATGCCTGGCCTTAACATATTTTTTAATAGACTATTTTTTTTTTTCAGAGCAGTTTTAGGTTCACAGCAAAATTTAGCAGAGTACCCATATATCCCCTGCCCCGACACACCCGTAGCTTTCCTTACTCTCAACGTCCCACATCAGAATAATAGAGTTTTTACAATTGATGAACCTACATTGACACCTCATTATTCCCCAAAGTCTATATATTAGGGCTCACTCTTGGTGTTGTACATTCTGTGGGTTTGGACAAATGTATAATGACGGTTCCACCATTGTAGTATCATACAGAATAGTTTCACTGCTCTAAAAATCTGTGCTCTATTGATTCATCCCTCCCTCTCCACTAACATGTGGCAATCACTGATTTTTTTTTTTTTTTTACTGTCCCCATAGTTTTGCCTTTTTTAGAATGTCATATAGTTGGAGTCATACAGTATATAGGCTTTTCACTTTGGCTTCTTTCATGTAGTACTATGCACTTAAAATTCCTTCATGTCTTTTTATGGTTTGGTGGCTCATTTCTTTATAGTGCTGAATAATATTCCATTGTCTGCATGTACTACAATTTATTTATTCACCTACTGAAGGATATCTTGGTTGCTTCCAAGTTTGGGCAATTATGGATAAAGCTGTTATAAACATCTGTATGCAGCCTTTTTTGTTACATGCAGGAGATAAGCTTTTGACTCATTTGGGTAAATAGCAAGGGGCATGATTGCTAGATTGTATGGTGAGAGTAT
Source organism: Homo sapiens (assembly GCF_000001405.40). NCBI lineage: Eukaryota > Metazoa > Chordata > Mammalia > Primates > Hominidae > Homo > Homo sapiens. Next base: position 16,950,441 of record NC_000023.11, read on the forward strand.
ATTTAGTTTTATAAGAAACTGCCAAACTGCTTTCCAAAGTGATTGTACCATTTTGCGTTCCCATCAGCAATGCATTGGTTTCTTTACAGAGTATTTATTTTCCTTTGCTGACTTATTTTAACAGCAGGATTCTAGCACTAGGTGGAAAACGTATATGAGTTTCTGATGTGTGTCAGGTACTGTCCTAGGTGCTGAGGTTATAATAGTGAATCCAACACAATCTCTGTCTTCATGGAGCTTATGTTCTCATGTGAATGTTTTTACACTTCAGAGTTTTTATTTGGTTGAGAAAAGACTTGAAATATAACATCCAAAAATAAAATGTCAGCCTGGTGCTGTGGCGCACGCCTGTAGTCCCAGTGCTTTGGGAGACCAAGGATGGGAGGATTGCTTGAGGCCAGGACTTTGAGATCAGCCTGGGTAACATAGTGAGACCCTGTCTCTACACAAAATAAAATAGCCGGGCATGGTGGCATGCGCTTGTAGTCCTAGCTACTCTGGAGGCTGAGGCAGGAGAATTGCTTGAGCCCAGGAGTTCAAGGTTATAGTGAACTATGATCGCACCATTGCTCTCCAGCGTAGGCAACAGAGCAAAACCCTGTATCAAAATAAAGTAAAATAAGCCTGTCAAACCCAAACCAAATACATGTCAAACCCAGACCTGATTCTTACCACACACTATGCCTTCTAGTAAAATTCTGGCCTTTGAATACCAACAAAATACTTCATAACCTGGGAAACCAACTACTCTAACGTTTGTTGCTCTGTCTTGAAATACTAAACAAAACCATTTACCTGTTCGTAGACATATTTTCTTTTTCTAGTTTAAAAGTATCCCATTCTGCCATTTTCCACCTAGTGCTAGAATCCTGCTCTTAAAATAAGTCAGCACAGGGAAATAAATACTCTATAAAGAGACCAAAAGACCTTTCAAAATAGGCTATGGCCAGGCCCAGTGGCTCACGCCTATAAATCCCAGCACTTTGGGAGTCTGAGGTCGGAGGATTACTTGAGCCCAGGAGTTCTAGACTAGCCTGGGCAAGATGGCAAAACCCCATCTACACACACACACACACACACACACACACACACACACACACACACACACACACACACACACCCCCGCTACCTACCTCTCTCTGGGGCATGCCTGTAGTCCCAGCTATTCTGGAGGCTGAGGTGGGAGGATCCCTTGAGCCCAGGAGTTTGAGGCTGCAATGAGCCATTATGACACCACTGCACTCCAGCCTGGGTGAAAGAGCCAGACCCTGTCTCATAAAATAAATAAGTAAATAAATAAAATATCTACCTTAAAGCAGCAAGTTTTGTATTTGATGTAATGAATTAACAGACCGCTTTATAATATCTATCTTTTAGGATAGTGTCAGTCTCTTGGAATGCTGTGCATGAGTCATCATTAAAATTGGTTTTCATTAAAAAAATTTTTTTAACATATACACATCTTATTGGAGTTTTCTTTTAAAATTCAAAAATGGGAACATTATTTTTTCAAAGCCAAGTAACAGAAGAGTATATAAAAAAGTCAATTTTGTGCATATCTTTTTACATTTTCTATGCTCATGTAAAACATACATGACTTATGTAATTATACACATATGCTCCAGATCTCATCTGTATTAATTTTTTAAATTATACTTTAGTTCTGGGATACACTTGGAGAACGTGCAGTTTTGTTACATAGGTATATATATGTGCCATGGTGATTTGCTGCACCCATCAACCCATCATCTACATTAGGTATTTCTCCTAATGCTATCTCTCCCCTAGCCCTGCACCCCTGAATAGGCCCCGGTGTGTGATGTTTCCCTCCCTGTGTCCATGTTTTCTCATTGTTCAGCTCCCACTTATGAGTGAGAACATGCGGTGTTTGGTTTTCTGTTCCTGTGTTAGTTTGCTGAGAATGATGGTTTCCGGCTTCATCCATGTTGGTTTTCATTTTTGTGATAGTTAATTCTTGGACATTAAGGGGAATAATTATAAAACACTGTTGCTTCCATATCAAGGGAAATCACTGAATGATTAAAAAAAACCCAATAAGTGTTGTCTGATTGTTTAAACAGCTTTCATTGAGGTAAATAAGTAAAACAAAGCTGTGAGAAGTAGGGAATATTTAAACAATTTGTGCGCATGCCCTCACCTTTGGGGAGAAGTCTTTTCTGAAGGCTCTCTTCTGATTTTTTGAAGCAACTGTTTAATCATTAAAGAAAATTATAGGTAAAAGACAAATTCTTGTGAACTTTCGCTCATTGCTAGATTATTAGGCAGAACTATTTTTTAAAAATTTAAATGAAACAACTTTATATTTTTACATCTTTAGATCATATCATTTTGTAACTATACTTTAGGGAAATAGAGGCCAGCATATTAAAACAGTAACTAGGGGCTGGGCAGGGTGGCTCATTGCCTGTAATCCTAGCACTTTGGGAGGCCGAGGCGGGCAGATCAGCTGAGGTCAGGAGTTTGAAACCAGCCTGGCCAACATAGCGAAACCCCATCTCTACTAAAAATACAAAAATTAGCAGGAGAATTGCTTGAACCGGAGAGGCGAAGGTTGCAGTGAGCTGAGATCAGGCCATTGCACTCCAGCCTGGGAGACAAGAGTGAAACTCTGTCTCAAAAACAAACAAACCAAAAAACAAACACACACACACACACACACACACACACACACACACACACACACAAACACACAAACCAGTAACTAGGACTAACTATATGCTGTTTTAGATTGACAGTATTCTTTTTTTCTAAAAGAGAATGAATGCCAGCAGATGTAGGAAGTACCAGAGCTAAACCATTGCCTGGTTAAAAGGAGTACCTCTGCATAATAGTTACTTGTTGACTCTTTTGTAATAAAATATTTCAGGCATGTAAAACTAGACAGTTACCCAAGAAATAACTGTGTATCCACCACTCCGTATAAGTAAAACAGCCCAGCTAGAGTGAAAGCCTGCTATGTCCCCTTCTCTGGTCCCATTCCCCTCCCTCCCTACCCTGGAGTTACCAGAGTCCTGAATTTGGTGTGCATGATTTGAAGATTTCTTTCTACTTTTATTGTATGTATATGTGGATATATATATTTGTGTATATATAAATCACTAAAAAAGATATTATTTTGGATGTCTTTTCAACTTAAGGAATATCGTATTCTGTGTAACCTTCTGCAACTTGCTTTTCCTCTCATTGTTTTGTTTTTGGAATTCATCTTGTTGACACATGTAATTTCAGTTCATTTATGTTTCCTTTTAAAAAATCTTTACTACTTACGTTTACAATGACTCATTGTTACAGTGCGGTAGAGACCCTTATGCCAAAAGGAAGTAGGTGGCATTTTTCCTTATTTATATAGAATGTCACATGACTGGGGGACTGTTCGAAACGTGTATGAAAATTAAGAACACCTTCATAGATAGCAGAATGCACACTTATATTCTTGAGCGTGCTAGGGGATGTTTGAGCTAATTAATTGACTTTCATGGGCTTTCTTTTTTTCTCATCTTTTATTTTTTTGAGACAGGGTCTTGCTGTGTCACCCAGACTGGAATGCAGCAATCTGATCATGACTCACTGTACCCTCAACCTCCTGGGCTCAAGCAATCTTCCTGCCTCAGGCTCCCGAGTAGCTGGGAATACAGGTGTGCAGCACCAAGCCTGGCTAATTTTCTTTTTAAAAATTTGTTGTGGAGATGGTGTCTCATTATGTTGCCCAGCCTGGTCTCAAACTCTTGGGCTCAAGTGATCTCCCGCCTCAGCCTCCCAAAGTGTTGGGATTACAGGTGTGAGCCACCACACCCTGCCATTTTTCATCTTTTTAAAAATGGAACATCTCAAATAAGCAAGTAGATAGAATAATGCATTAAACCCTGCTGCACTTGCCACTCAGGCCCAACAACTGTCAATGCAAGGTTAATTCAATTCCATCTACATTTCTATCTTTGTTCCCTCTCACCTTTGTTATCCTGAAGCAAGTCGCAAACATCATATGGTTCATAGGGCTTATCTTTAAGGAAGGAACCAGGGTGGGCAGAAGGAAATGGAAACATGCAGGGGTTTAGGTTGGCCAGAAAAGGTACCTGTGGCCTATGGTCAAATGGCAAGACTGATGATGGTTCAATACTGTCAAGCCTTTGGCTGTCATGGAGATAGACGTGCTTGAGAACTGATTTAGAATAGTTGGGAAACCTGTAGGGAGATTGAAAAAGTAACCAACTGAAGACCAGGAATACAAGATGGATTTGAATATTGTTCTAGCTTCACACTCCTAAGTAGGGGCTGTCCTATTTTAAGGGTGTAGACAATTGGTTTTGAGGAAATCTTGGGTTGTTTTTGCTAATTATTTATAACTTTTTTTTTTTTTTTTTTTTTTTGAGACAGAGTCTTGCTCTGTCGCCCGGGCTGAAGTGCAGTGGCGCAAGGTCGGCTCACTGCAACCTCCGCCTCCCAGGTTCAAGCAGTTCTCCCTGCCTCAGCCTTCTGAGTAGCTGGGACTACAGGCGCCCACCACCATGCCTGGCTAATTTTTATATTTTTTAGTAGAGATGGGGTTTCGCCATGTTGACTAGGCTGGTCTTGAACTCCTGACCTCAGGTGATCTGCCCACCCTGGCCTCCCAAAGTGCTGGGATTACAGGTGTGAGCCACCGCGCCTGGCCTATTTATAACTTTAAAAAGAGGGTTTGGTTCCTTTCCAGGGTTTTTCAAACTTTCTGTTTGTTTCGTATAGGCAAGTTTCTCATGTTTTGTATTGATGGCATTCTATTATTCATACCTATCTGTTGGTGGGCAACTAATCAACCTGGGTTGCGCAGGACTGAAGGATTTCCTGGGGGCATGGAACTTCAGTCTTCAGACAGTCCTAGGCAAACTGGGATGGTCACCCCCTCTCTTGGTTGCTGCATTAGTTATCTATTGCTCTATAATGAATTACCACAAACTTAGCAGCTTAAAGCAGCACACAGTTATTATCTCCCAGTTTCTGTGGGTTCGGGAGTCTGGACATGGCTCAGTTGGGTCCTCAGCTCAGAGTTTCATAAAGCCACAATCAAGGTGTCTGGAGCTTGGAGTCCTCTGTGGAGGTCCAACACTTGGTTGCAGAATTCAGTTCCTTGTGATTTTAGAACTGAGGCTCTCAACTTCGAGGCTTCCTGCAGTTCCCTCCACATGGCCTTCTCCATAGGCAATTCACAACATGGCTCTTGGCTTCTTCAAGGCCAGCAGGAGAGTGTCTCTCTCCAGTTAGCTCAGACACCTTTGCCATAGTCCATTAGTTAGAAGCAAGTCACAGGTTTTGTCTGCTCTCAAGGGGAGGGGATTATACAAAACAACAGAGACCAGGAGGTGAGAATTTTGCGGGGGACACCTTAGGATCTTTCCACCACACTTGCTTTCCAGGATTTGTCTGAAGTAGAAAATTATTCTGTTGAGCCTTTTTGTGGCCAGAATATACATATGTTTTGCTCAGCCACTAATTTAGAATTCCTTTATCTTTTTAAGAAACATTTTCATGCGTAATTCATCCTAAGTAGAACTGGCAAATATGTAACTTCTTAGGTATTTTCAATTTTAGTCTTTAGGCAATTGTTTTTCCTCTTAACTAGTAGGAGGCAGGAAAAAAAAGTGGAAAAGCAGATGCAAATGCCCTGCCTGGCTACTCCTGCACGCAGTGCTCTAAAGCAGGCCTTCTCAGCCTGGGTTAGTTCAGGGGTCTGTGAATTTAGATGTGGAAAAGAACTACATCTTTTTTTTTTTTTTTACTAACTGCCCTTCCCCCAACTGAAATTGAGCACTTCCTTCTATTATGCATGTAAGCAAAAAACCACAGCAGTTTTTTTTTTTTTTTTTTTTTTTTTTTTTTTTTTTGAGACAGGGTCTTGCTCTGTCACCCAGGCTGGAGTGCAATCTCACAATTTTGGTTCACTGCAACCTGTGCCTCCTGGGCCCAAATGATCCTTCCATCTCAGCCTCCCAAGTAGCTGGGACTACACGTGCATGCCACCACACCCAGCTAATTTTTGTATTTTTTGTAGAAACGGGATTTTGCCATGTTGCCTAGGCAACAGGGTTCACTGCTTTCGGTCAAATGACAGCAATGCTGCTGGCAAGTCCATGGTCAGGAGTGAGATTCCCTCAGGCTGCTGTGGTCCCTCCTCCTCCAGTCTGTCCTGCAGGAAGCTCAGAGTGAATGGATGCTCAGCTGTTTCCTCTGAGACCTCACCAGGGACAGTTCCTGCAGTCCCGGCTCTGAGCTCTGCTCCTGACCGTTTTATCTGGCCCTCTCAGCTGTGCTTCACTGCAAAGGAGGAAGGACAAGGCCCTCTGGAGCCAGTGCCAGCTGCTTGTGGGGCCTGTTTTATTTACTACTGCTATCTCTACTTCAGAGACTTGGGCTAGGACATAGACTTGAAGAAAAAAGCCATTTTAACAGACTTGAGAAACTCAGCCATCCTCATAATACCATTCAGAACCAGGAGAGGCCATTATTAACACTAGGCTAGTAGGAAATGTTCACTTTGACTGAATTCATTTGTAACACTTTGCCACTGGTTTACAAGAAAAATACTTTGGTTCAGTCTCCTGGAGGTAGGTAATTAAATGTTTCACCTGTGCTAATTTTCCAAATAATTAAAGTGAATCCCATAAATGCCAGCAATTAAGAATTGTTGTTTTTGGCCAAGTGTGGTGGCTCATGCCTGTAATTACAGCACTTTGGGAGGTTGAGGCGGGCGGATCACTTGAGGCCATGAGTTTGAGGCCAACCTGGGTAAAATAGGGAGACGCTGTCTCTACAAAAAATACAAAAATCAGCTGGGCTTGGTGGAATGTGCCTGTAGTCCTGGCTACTTGGTAGGCTGAGGCAGGAGAATTGCTTGAATCCGGGAGGTAGAGGTTTCAGTGAGCCAAGATTGTGCCACTGTACTCCAGCCTAGGCGACAGAGGCGAGATTCTGTCTCAAAAAAAAAAAAAAGTTGTTTCTTAAGTGCAGACCTTCTGAGATGTGTAGTGCTTGCCCCATGCCTTCAAAAGAACATATTTAATACAATAATCTCTTTGTCTCTCCTTTACTTCAAAGTCAGCCTTGTGAAAAACAGATGATGATATACCAACAGTTTTTTGCTCTTGGAGGTGTTTGGTGTGCTCTGCTTTTTGAGTTTTGTTTTTTGGACTTCTTTAAAATTATTTTAAAATGTTTTAACTCCTCTCCTTTGCATACTCTCTGGTACCCTTATAGTCCCAATACTGAGTAAAGCATGTAAAATTTAGCATGCAGATGTTTTAGCCTCTTTTATTTTTTGTTCGAGATCCAGATTTTTTAGTCTCAGCATGACTGACACTTTGGGGCTGTATCATTCTTTGTTGTGGAGGACTGTCCTGTGCATTGTAGGTTGTCAAGTAACATCCCTGGTCTCTACCCACAAGATACCAGTAGCTATTCTTCTCCTGATTGTGACAACAAAAAATGTTTCCAGACATTGTCAGATGTCTCCTCGGGGCAAAATTTAGTTCTACATATATGATGATAAAAACCATGGTAGCAGCCAACATTTGTTCACTATCATCCCCATTTTGAAGAAAGCAAAAACGGAGGCACTGAGGGTGAGGTTCACTTACTTGCCCAAGGTCACATAGATAAAAGTCACTTCTTGAAATACTTTTCATAATATATATGGGTTGAATCTCAGTCTTAATTGAGGAGGCAGACTAAAAAAGAATGTAAAAACGGGGAGTTTCCTGATGATGTCTCAATTGAGAGGCTATTGCTTTCATAGTGATTCTGTGTAAATGCTGGAATTCTTGCTTAAACGGGGTGATTCCATGGGCATGTGTCTGAGTAAAGGACTTGGATCATTTCTAAGAAGCTTCTGTGGCATGGTGAAGCAGAACATAAGACAGTCTAGGATCAAGGATAACTGATCAAACTTTGAAACCAAGGAAGCCATAGGAAATTGGGGTAAGGCTATGTATCACTTAGGGTCCCACAGGAAATGGCATGCTCAAAGGGTTTTAGTGAAAACAGGAATGTTGAGGCACGAAGGGACTAGCAGCAGGAAGCTATTGCCATTCCTAGACCTGGTGGGGCAAAGGGAGGGGAGGGAATGTCGTTGCTGGAGCTGTGAAAGGTACTCCCTCTACAGGAACAATAGTCATGAAAGAATACAGCCTTTGCTAGAACTATGGCCAGAGAGGGGCCAGTGGGATGAGGGGATGGGAGAGAAGTAACCAATTTCTGTTTCCTGCCCTCTCATTTGCTGCAGTGCCTTTTGTTGTTCTAACCCAACTAGAAGCCACAGGTAACAGAGCCTGGGTGTTGAAGCTTATTGAGGTTAGCCTCTTGCGCTGAGTGGATGGAAAGGGCTGAGAGTGGTTCAAGGGGGCAAATAGAGCAACAGCCAGCACAGGCTATGAGCAGGAGTGGGAAACACTACCCTGGATCCTAGGAAGGATGGGGCATGGCCAGTGATAGGAGCAATGAAAGTCTTTTTGTGTGAAAAAGAGCCTGGGGATACAGACCTCCATGAAGGAGAAGAGAGGGTTGGATAGGAGTGACTGGTTCATCTGAGGTTCTTCCTATTTCTCCAAGGAAGCCTTGAGGAATGTGGGGTTGTCTGTTTGCATTTGGATATGGAAGTATGTGTGTGTGTATACTTTTATTTATTTTGAGACAGGGTCTTGTTCTGTCACCCAGGCTGGAGCACAGTGGCACCATCACAGCTCACTGCAGCCTCTACTTCCTGGGCTTAAGTGGTCCTCCCACCCAGGCCCCCCCAGGTAGCTGGGACCACAGGCATGTACCACTATGCTCGGCTGATTTTTAATATTTTGTAGAGACAGGGTCTCACTATATTCCCCTGGTTGGCCTCACTCCTGGGCTCAAGTGATCCTCCCACCTTGGCCTCCAGAAGTGCTAGGAATACAGGTGTAAGCCACTACACCCAGTCTGTTTGTATACTTTTTGGTCAGAGTGAGGCTTTCCGTGAGTTGGAGTGTTTGTCCTTATTCATGACACTGGGAAACATACAACAGTGGAGTGACCCTCTTGCAGATTCTGCTAGGAGTAGCTACATATGGTGGGAAAGGTTGCTATGGGAATGGAGATAAATTCAAGGCAGTAGAGAGTGCTTTATAATGTTTGGGGGTATGGCCAAGCATTAGTTTTGCTTTTTCCTTCCCAGTAGGATACGATTTCTGTAGCAATTCTTCCTTACCCAAAAATAGCTATATGTGCTCCCAAAAAGAAAAAGCCCAGGACCAGATGACTTCATGGCTGAATTCTACCAAACATTCAAAGAAGAGTTAATACTAATCCTTCTTAAACTCTTCCAAAAAACAGAAGTAGAGAGAGTACTTCCAAACTCATTTTTTGAGGCCAGCATCACCCTGATTTCAAAGCCAGACAAAAGATACCAAGATACCATAAGAGGAGAAAACCACAGGTTAGTATCTCTGTTGAACATATATGCAAAAATCCTAAATAAAATACTAGCAGACCAAATTTAACAACACCTCAAAAAGATGATACACCATGACCAAAGTGGCACTTATCCCTGAGATGCAAGATTGGTTTAACGTATATAAAACAATCAGTGTAATATGCCACATTACCAAAATAAGAGGTAAAAAACAAGCCAGGTGTGGTGGCTCACACCTATAATCCCAACACTTTGGGAAGCTGAGGTGGGAGGATTGCTTGAGGCCAGGAGTTCAAGACCAGCCTGGGCAACATAGTGAGACACTGTCTCTACAAAAAATTAAAAAAAAATGAGCTGGGCATAGTGGCATGTACCTCTAGTCCCTGCTACTTGGGAGGCTGAGGCAGCAGGATCGCTGGAGCCGAGGATTTTGAGGCTGCAGTGAGCACTGATTGTGCCACCGCACTCCAGTTGGGCAGTACAGCAAGACCCTGTCTTCAAAGAAAAAAAAAGAGAGAAAAACCCATGATCATTTCAATACATGTAGAAATAGCATTTGACAAAGTTCAACAGCCTTTCGTGATAAACATTTTCAACAAAATAAGTTTAAAAGGGAATTTCCTCAACACATTAAAGACCATTTATGTAGAGTCCACAGCTAATATCATAATCAGTGGGAGAAAACTGAAAGCTTTTTTTCTAAGATCTGGTACAAAGCAAGGATGCCCACTCTTGCCACTTTTATTGAACACAGCACTGGAAGTACTAACATGAGCTATCAGACAATAAAAAGAGATAAAAGGCATCTAAATTGGGAAAGAAGAAGTAAAATTATCCCTGTTTGTAAATGTCATGATCCTATATGTAGAAAACCCTGGACTCCACAAAAGCCCTCTTAAGACTAATAAATGAGTTCAGTAAAGTTGCATGATACAAAATCAGCGTACAAAAATCAGTTGGAAATCAAGAAAACTGTCCCATTTATGATAACATAAAAATAATAAAATATTCAGGAATACATTTAATGAAGGAAGTGAAAGATCTGTACATTCAACATTATAAAATATTGATGAAAGAAATTGAAGACACAAATAAATGGAAAGATATGCCATGTTTATGCATTGGAAAAATTAATAGTGTTAAATTGTCCACACTACCCAAAACAATATACAGGTTCAATGCAATCCCTATCAAAATACCAATGGCATTTTTCACAGAAATAGAAAAAACAATTCTAAAATTCATATGGTGTGACAAAAGACCTAGAATAGCCGAAACAGTCTTGAGAAACAAAAACAAGGTTGGAGGCATCACACTTCCTTAGATTATAATACAGTATAAAGCAGTAGAAATTATGATAGTATATCCTGGCATAAAAACAGACATATAGATCAATAGAATAGAACAGAGATCCGAGAAATATACAGTATATATACAGAAATCCAAGTATATACAGTCAACTAATTTTTGACAAGGCCACCAAGGAGACACAGTGGGGAAAGGATAGTCTCTTCAATAAATGATATTGGGAAAACTGGATATTCACAGGCAAAAGAATGAAGCTGGATGCTTATATACAAAAATCAACTCAAAATGTGTCTTTAAAATATACAACAAAACCTGAAAATGGAAAAGAAGACCTAAATGTTAATAACTCAAACCATTGAACTCCTAGAAGAAAACATAGGGGAAAAGCTCCTTGATATCGGCCTTGGCAATGATTTTTTAGACATCACACCAAAAGCACAGGCAACAAAAGCAAAAAGAAACAGGTGGTACTACATCAGACTAAAAAGCTTCTGCATGACAAAGGGAACAATCCGCAAATAAAAGGGCAGCCTATGAATTGGAAGAAAATATTTGCGACCCATATATATGATAAGGAGTTAATATCAAAAATATATAAGGAACTCCCAGAACTCAATGGTAAGAAAATGAATAACCCGATTAAAAAATAGGCAAAGGACTTGATTATTCATTTTCCCAAAGAAGCCATACAAATGGCCAGCAGGTTGTGAAAAGGTACTCAGTATCACTAATCATAAGGGAAATGGAAATCAAAACCACTATGAGATATCAGCTCACACCTTTTAGAATGGCTATTAGAAAGACAACAGATAACAAACGTTAGGGTGTGGAGAAAAGAGAACCCTTTTATACTTTTGATGGGAATGTAGATTGGTACAGCCATTATGGAAAATGGTATAGAAGTGCCTCAAAAAATTAAAAGTAGAACTACCATATGATCCAGCAATTCCTCTGCTGGATATGTACCTAAAGGAAATGAAGTCAGTGTGTCAAAGAGGTATCTACACTCCTGTGTTCATTGCAGCATTATTCGCAATAGCCAAGATATGGAAACAATTTAAGTGACTGTTGATGGATGAGTGGCTAAAAATATCGTGGGATACACACACACACACACACACACACACACACACACACACACACACACACAGATGACAGAATATTATTCAGCCTTAAAAAAGGAGATCATGCTATTTGTGACAACATGGATGAACTTATGCTAAGTAAAATAAGTGAGACACAGAAGGAAAAATACTTCATGATCTTATTTATCTGGAACCTGAAAAAAAGAGTCAAATATATAGAAACAGAATAGAACCACGGTTACCAAGGGTGGGAATGGGGAGGAAATAAGGCAATGTAGGTCAAAGTGTACAAACTTGCAGTGATGTAGGCTCAATAAGTCTAGAGATGTACAGCAGGAGGACTATAGTTAACAATATTGTATTGTATATGGAAAATGTGCTAAGAGTAGATTTTAGGTGCTCTTACCTCTTCTCCCCACAAAGGTAACTATGGAAGGTGATGAGTATGTCAGATTGCTTACTGGTAGTAATCATTTCACTATGGATATGTATATCAAAACATCATGTCATACATGTTAAAGTTATGCCATAAAAATAGCTATATGTGGGCCAGGCCAGGCATGGTGGCTTATGCCTGTAATACCAGCATTTTGGGAGGCTGAGGCAGGAGGATTGCTTGAGGCCAGGAGTTTAAGACCAGCCTGGGCAACGTAGTGAGAAACCTGTCTCTCCAAAAATGTTTTTAAAAGTTATCTGCGTGTGGTAGTGCATGCCTGTGATCCCAGCTACTTGGGAGGCTGAGGCAAGAGGATTGCTTGAGCCCGAAAGGTAGAGGCTGCAGTGACCTGCGATTGCACCACTGCACTCCAGCCTGCGTGACAGAGTGAGACCCTGTCTCTTAAAAAAAAAAAAGATTAAAAAATAGTTGTATGTGTATATGTATACGTTCAGGATTTGTTCTATTTGTTTTCTTTTTCTTTTTTTTCATAGGCAGTGGTCAATGGCCTAAGGATTTCTTTATACATTGCTCATATCCACTAAGGCTCTATTGAGCAAACCACGCCTTAAAAATCTTACAATCCTCTTCATATATTTTAAAGGCAAATGCAAAGAAATAGCTTTGTTCTGTTTTGCATTCTTCATGGGTTAACATATCTTCTGGAAAACTTGTTGCTATGGCAATGGGATATTATCTATCTTGGTAATGTACTACATAAAAATAGCCCTTTGTGTTTGAGAATGATGTTAGTGACAGGTGGTTGGGTGAATGTATAGCAGGCTGCTTTGTCAAGAATAGTTTCCCAACATTCCATTGTTTAAAGTTGTGAAATCAAAATGAGTATAATTTTTTTCTCTCTCAAAATGTAATTTTATCTGGAAAAGGCAGGCAGTGGTGCTCTGTTTAATTATGAATTACAAGCCTTCCTTTGCAGGTCAGGTCAACATGATGATTGAAGCCACCTCTCACTGTAATAAGTAAACGACTTCTCTATTCTTTCTGTCAGGGTGTGCAGCACAAGGTTGCGCTGGGGGGGCCAGTAGGGATAATTTTCCCATTCTTGAACACATCGTTCTTCCTAAGCACCTCGTACTTATAAACCAAGAAGTAGGAAGTGGTCAGGTGGAAGAGATGAGCTCTGAGCTGTTAATCAAATCCGAATTTCTTGTAGGTTCTTAGGTGAAACAGTTCCTTGGGAAAGGTCAGATTTCCATGTTGCTTTTAGTATTGAACTCACACATATAGCCAAGGATAGAATCTGACCCAAATCTTAATTTTTCCTTTGAAAAATCCTTTGGGCAATTTTTTTTTAATTTAATTTAATTTTATTATTATTATTATTATTTTTTATTGATCATTCTTGGGTGTTTCTCGCAGAGGGGGATTTGGCAGGGTCACAGGACAGTAGTGGAGGGAAGGTCAGCAGATAAACAAGTGAACAAAGGTCTCTGGTTTTCCTAGGCAGAGGACCCTGCCGCCTTCCGCAGTGTTTGTGTCCCTGGGTACTTGAGATTAGGGAGTGGTGCTGACTCTTAAGGAGCATGCTGCCTTCAAGCATCTGTTTAACAAAGCACATCTTGCACCGCCCTTAATCCATTCAACCCTGAGTGGATACAGCACATGTTTCAGAGAGCACCGGGTTGGGGGTAAGGTCACCGATCAACAGGATCCCAAGGCAGAAGAATTTTTCTTAGTACAGAACAAAATGAAAAGTCTCCCATGTCTACCTCTTTCCACACAGTCACGGCAACCATCCGATTTCTCAATCTTTTCCCCACCTTTCCCCCCTTTCTATTCTACAAAACCGCCATTGTCATCATGGCCCGTTCTCAATGAGCTGTTGGGTACACCTCCCAGACGGGGTGGTGGCCGGGCAGAGGGGCTCCTCACTTCCCAGTAGGTGCCGCCGGGCAGAGGCGCCCCTCACCTCCCGGACGGGGCGGCTGGCCGGACGGGGGGCTGACCCCCCCCACCTCCCTCCTGGACGGGGCGGCTGGCCGGGCAGAGGGGCTCCTCACTTCCCAGTAGGGGCGGCCGGGCAGAGGCGCCCCTCACCTCCCGGACGGGGCGGCTGGCCGGGCGGGGGGCTGACCCCCCCACCTCCCTCCCGGACGGGGCGGCTGGCCGGGCAGAGTGGCTCCTCACTTCCCAGTAGGGGCAGCCGGGCAGAGGCGCCCCTCACTTCCCGGACGGGGCGGCTGGCCAGGTGGGGGGCTGACCCCGCCACCTCCCTCCCGGACGGGGCGGCTGGCCGGGCAGAGTGGCTCCTCACTTCCCAGTAGGGGCGCCCGGGCAGAGGCGCCCCTCACCTCCCGGACGGGGCGGCTGGCCGGGCGGGGGGCTGACCCCCCCACCTCCCTCCCAGATGGGGCAGCTGGCCGGGCGGGGGGCTGACCCCCCCACCTCCCTCCCGGACGGGGCGGCTGGCCGGGTGGGGGGCTGACCCCCCCACCTCCCTCCCGGACAGGGCGGCTGGCAGGGCAGAGTGGCTCCTCACTTCCCAGTAGGGGCGGCTGGGCAGAGGCGCCCCTCACTTCCCGGACGGGGCGGCTGGCCGGGCGGGGGGCTGATCCCCCCACCTCCCTCCCAGACGGGGCGGCTGGCCGGGCGGGGGGCTGACCCCCCCACCTCCCTCCCGGACGGGGCGGCTGGCCGGGCGGGGGGCTGACCCCCCCACCTCCCTCCCGGACGAGGTGGCTGCCGGGCGGAGACGCTCCTCACTTCCCAGACGGGGTGGCTGCTGGGCGGAGGGGCTCCTCACTTCTCAGACGGGGCAGCTGCCGGGCGGAGGGGCTCCTCACTTCTCAGACGGGGCGGTTGCCAGGCAGAGGGTCTCCTCACTTCTCAGACGGGGCGTCCGGGCAGAGACGCTCCTCACATCCCAGACGGGGTGGCAGGGCAGAGGTGCTCCCCACATCTCAGACGATGGGCGGCCGGGCAGAGACGCTCCTCACTTCCCAGATGTGATGGCGGCCGGGAAGAGGCGCTCCTCACTTCCTAGATGGGATGGCGGCTGGGCAGAGGCTGCAATCTCTGCACTTTGGGAGGCCAAGGCAGGCTGCTGGGAGGTGGAGGTTGTAGTGAGCTGAGATCACGCCACTGCACTCCAGCCTGGGCACCATTGAGCACTGAGTGAACGAGACTCCGTCTGCAATCCCGGCACCTCGGGAGGCCGAGGCTGGCGGGTCACTCGCGGTTAGGAGCTGGAGACCAACCCGGCCAACACAGCGAATCCCCATCTCCACCAAAAAAATACGAAAACCAGTCAGGCGTGGCGGCGCGCGCCTGCAATTGCAGGCACTCGGCAAGCTGAGGCAGGAGAATCAGGCAGGGAGGTTGCAGTGAGCCGAGATGGCAGCAGTACTGTCCAGCTTCGGCTCGGCATCAGAGGGAGACTGTGGAAAGAGAGGGAGAGGGAGACCGTGGGGAGAGGGAGAGGGCTGGGCAATTTCTTAGAGCAGTAACTCTCAAACATTTTGTCGTCATCATCTCACTTTTCTTCTACTTATCAAAATGAGTATTGATTTAATTGTAATGAGTAAATAACAGCTCCCTGCTACTGAAATGAAATTTACTCTAGCTTTGAGAATTTGAGAGACCCTCTTAAGAAAATACCACAGCTGGAAATTTGAGACCTAAAAGTAATACAATTTGAGTATCTCATATCTGAAATGCTTGGGACCAGAAGTGTTTTGGATTTTGGATTTTTTCAGACTTTGGAATATTTGCGTTTACATAATGAGATCTCTTGGGGATGGGACCCAAGTCTAAACACGAAATTCATTAATGTTTTATATACGCCTTATACACATAGCCTAAAGGTAATTTTATACAATATTTTAAATAAGCTTGTGCATGAAACAAAATTTTGACTGTGTTTTGACTGTGACCTGTCACATAAGGTCAGGTGTGGATTTTTTCATTTGTGACTTCATGTCAACACTCAGAAACTTTCACATTTTGGAGCATTTTGGATTTCAGATTAGGGATGCTTAATCTGCAGCTCTAATTCTGATATGCACGGTACTACTGCAGAGATGGAACCATTGCCTTTGTCTTTTCTGTTGGAGTCAGTATAGATATCTTGCTACTAATAATATCAGAAGAGAGTGTTGAGTGGTTTGCTGGGTGCCCAATACTACTTTTAGAACATTTTATGTATTAACTAATTTATTCCTGTAAACATTCTTGACAGTTTTTGTGACTATTTCCCAAATGAGGCGTACTTGTTAGCATGTCTTTCTGTTTGTGGTGAGTAAGCATTCTTGTGTATTGGAAGACTTGCTTACTAGCATGTCACAGTGTTCTTCATATTGAAAGCATTCTTCTATCAGGAGTTGACGTAATTCAGCCTGTGGGCCAAATCCATCCTGCCACCCATTTTTTGTGTATTTTATAAGCTAAGAATGGTTTCTGCATTTTTAAATGGTTGGGAAAACATAAAAAGAATAATTTGTGACATGTGAAAATTACATGAAATTTAAATTTCAGTTTCCATAAACAGTTTTATTGGAACACAGCTTTACTCATTTGTTTACATATTGCTAAGGCTGCTTTTGAACTAGAGTGGCAGAGTTGAGTAGTTGTAATAGAGACCATATAGCTCCCAGACCCTAAGAAAAAGTTTGCCAATCCCTTCTCTATATTCTTCTGTATCTAGAATGGCAGATGGTCCTCAATAATAACAGCAGATTGGTCAGGTGTCATAGTTTATGCCTGTAATCCCAGCATTTTGAGAGGCCAAGGTGGGAGGATCACTTGAGCTGGAGTTCAAGACCAGCCTGGGCAACACAGTGAGACCTAGCTCTGCAAAAATTAGCCAGGTGTCATGGTGCACGCTGGTGGTCCCAGCTACTTGGGAGGCTGAAGTGGGAGGATTGCTTGAGCCTGGGAGGTCAAGGCTGGAGGGAGACGTGATCACACCATTGTGCTCCAGCCTGGGTGACAGAGCGAGACCCTGTCTCAAAAATATATAAACAGATTGGATTTATGTACAGGTTCATATATATATTAATTTTCTTTTGGTATGCAATATATTTTTCTTTCTTCCACTAAACGTTTCTCTTGTCATAAGCTTGATGTCATGTACTATGGCATATCTCAAATATACGTGATTTCAGCTCTTTGCATACCCATATTGGTTTTCTTTTTTTTTTTTTTAATTGATCATTCTTAGGTGTTTCTCGCAGAGGGGGATTTGGCAGGGTCACAGGACAATAGTGGAGGGAAGGTCAGCAGATAAACAAGTGAACAAAGGTCTCTGGTTTTCCTAGGCAGAGGACTCTGCGGCCTTCCGCAGTGTTTGTGTCCCTGGGTACTTGAGATTAGGGAGCGGTGATGACTCTTAAGGAGCATGCTGCCTTCAAGCATCTGTTTAACAAAGCACATCTTGCACCGCCCTTAATCCATTCAACCCTGAGTGGACACAGCACATGTTTCAGAGAGCACCGGGTTGGGGGTAAGGTCACAGATCAACAGGATCCCAAGGCAGAAGAATTTTTCTTAGTACAGAACAAAATGAAAAGTCTCCCATGTCTACCTCTTTCTACACAGACACGGCAACCATCCGATTTCTCAATCTTTTCCCCACCTTTCCCCCCTTTCTATTCCACAAAACCGCCATTGTCATCATGGCCCGTTCTCAGTGAGCTGTTGGGTACACCTCCCAGACGGGGTGGTGGCCGGGCAGAGGGGCTCCTCACTTCCCAGTAGGGGCGGCCGGGCAGAGGCGCCCCTCACCTCCCGGACGGGGCGGCTGGCCGGGCGGGGGGCTGACACCCCCACCTCCCTCCCGGACGGGGCGGCTGGCCGGGCGGGGGGCTGACCCCCCCACCTCCCTCCGGGACGGGGTGGCTGGCTGGGCAGAGGGGCTCCTCACTTCCCAGTAGGGGCGGCCAGGCAGAGGCGCCCCTCACCTCCTGGATGGGGCGGCTGGCCGGGCGGGGGGCTGACCCCCCCACCTCCCTCCCAGACGGGGCGGCTGGCCGGGCGGGGGGCTGACCCCCCCCACCTCCCTCCCGGACGGGGCGGCCGGCCGGGCAGAGGGGCTCCTCACTTCCCAGTAGGGGCGGCCGGGCAGAGGCGCCCCTCACCTCCCGGATGGGGTGGCTGGCCGGGCGGGGGGCTGACCCCCCCACCTCCCTCCCGGACGGGGTGGCTGCTGGGCGGAGACGTTCCTCACTTCCCAGACGGGATGGCTGCCGGGTGGAGGGGCTCCTCACTTCTCAGACGGGGCGGCTGCCGGGCGGAGGGGCCCCTCACTTCTCAGACGGGGCGGCTGCTGGGCTGAGGGGCTCCTCACTTTTCAGACGGGGCGGTTGCCAGGCAGAGGGTCTCCTCACTTCTCAGACGGGGCGGCTGGGCAGAGACGCTCCTCACATCCCGGATGGGGCGGCAGGGCAGAGGCACTCCCCACATCTCAGACGATGGGCGGCCGGGCAGAGACGCTCCTCACTTCCTAGATGGGATGGCGGCCGGGAAGAGGCGCTCCTCACTTCCTAGATGGGATGGCGGCCAGGCAGAGACGCTCCTCACTTTCCAGACTGGGCAGCCAGGCAGAGGGGCTCCTCACATCCCAGACGATGGGTGGCCAGGCAGAGACACTCCTCACTTTCCAGACGGGGTGGCGGCCGGGCAGAGGCTGCAATCTCGGCACTTTGGGAGGCCAAGGCAGGCTGCTGGGAGGTGGAGGTTGTAGCGAGCCGAGATCACGCCACTGCACTCCAGCCTGGGCACCATTGAGCACTGAGTGAACGAGACTCCGTCTGCAATCCCGGCACCTCGGGAGGCCGAGGCTGGCGGATCACTCCCGGTTAGGAGCTGGAGACCAGCCCGGCCAACACAGCGAAACCCCGTCTCCACCAAAAAAATACGAAAACCAGTCAGGCGTGGCGGCGCGCGCCTGCAATTGCAGGCACTCGGCAGGCTGAGGCAGGAGAATCAGGCAGGGAGGTTGCAGTGAGCCAAGATGGCAGCAGTACAGTCCAGACTCCCACGGCATCAGAGGGAGACCGTGGAAAGAGAGGGAGAGGGAGACCGTGGGGAGAGGGAGACCGAGAGGGAGAGGGAGAGAGGGAGAGGGAGAGAGGGAGAGGGAGAGAGGGAGAGGGAGAGATTTGGTTTTCATAATAATCATAACCCTTTCCAAATGAGGGAGAGTAATGAATTTTATCATTTTATTAGTTAGTGTGCTTCCTTTGCTAGATCAGGAATTATATCTCCTAGTAATTATAACCCTCTATTTATTATTTTTAACTATATTGCTTTCTACTTTTGGGCTTTCAGCCAACGTGTAAATATTGACAGTTTAATAATCTGAACCAAGCCACCTGGACTGATTGTAATATTTTAATTTAATAAATCTTGCATATGGTTAAGATTACATCTTCTACATTCATCAGATTGGATTTAATGCACTCACCATAATCAACTCTGGAACATTCTTGCAATTATTATTGTTATTTTTAAAGGTTTTCTCCTTTGTCTGTTGTTTTCCCACTTTTTTTTTTTTTTTTTAAGACGGAATCTCCCTCTGTCACCCAGGCTGGAGTGCAGTGGCGTGATCTCGGCTCACTGCAACCTCCGCCCCCTGGGTTCAAGCGATTCTCCTGTCTCAGCCTCCTGAGTAGCTGGGACTACAGGCGTGTGCCACCACGCCCAGCTAATTTTTTGTATTTTTAGTAGAGATGGGGTTTCACCATGTTGGCCAGGCTGGTCTCAAACTCCTGACCTCAAGCAGTCTGCCTGCCTCGGCCTCCTGAAGTGCTGGGATTATAGGCGTGAGCCACTGTGCCTGGCCTGTTTTCCCACTTTTTAAAGTAACAGCCTTGTTGAGATGTAATTCACATACCATATAGTCACCTATTTAAAGTGTACAATTCAGTGGTTTTAGTATATTCACAGAATTGTGCAACCATCACAACTATTTCCGGAATATTTTTGTCACCCAAAAAAGAAACCCCATACTCACTAGCAATCACCCCCAGTTCCACCATTCCTAGGCAGCCATGGATCTACTTTTTGTCTATGGATTCGTCTATTCCAGACATTTCATAGAAATGAAACCACATAGTGTGTGGTCATTTGTGATTGTCTTCTTTCTCTTAGCGTGTTTTAAATGTAGCACGTATCAGCACTTCTTATTGCCAGTTCTGCTGTATGGCTATACCACATTTTATTTATCAATTCATGAGTTGACAGACATTTGGGTCATTTTCACTTTTTGCCTCTTATGTATAATGCTACTCTGAACACTTGTGTATAGGTTTTTGTGTGGACATATGTTTTTATTTCTGTCGAATATATACCTAGAGGTGGAATTGTTGTGTCGTATGGTAACTCTATGTTTAACCTTTTGAGGAACTGCCAGGCTCTTTTGCAAAGCTGCTGTACTATTTGACATTCTTGTGAGCAATATATGAGGGTTCCAGTTTCCCCACATCCTTACCAACGTTTGTTATTGTCTATCTTTTTGATTATGGCTATCCTAGTGGGTGTATAATGGTATCTCATTGTGGTTTTAGTTGGAATTTCCCTGATGACTAATAATGTTGCATGTCTTTTCACGTGCTTATTGGCCACTTGTATATCTTCTTTAGAGAAATGTGTATTTAGATCGTTTGTCCATTTTAAATTGGGTTGTCTTTATAAAATGTTGAATTGTAAGAGTTCTTTATATATTCTGGATTCAATACATATGATACAATACATATAATACATATTTTAGTCATCTATCAGATAAATGATTTGCAAAAATTTTCTTCCATTTTGTGGGTTGTCTTTTTACTTTCTTGATGGTGTCCTTTGAAGCATGAAAGCTTTTAATTTTGATGGAGTTTATTTATTGTTTTCTATTGTCACTTGTGTTTTTGGTGTCATATTTAAGAAACCATTGCCTAATCCAAGATCACAAAGATTTCACTTATGTTTTCTTCTAAGAGTTTTGTAGTTTTAGCTCCTATATGTCAGTCTTTGATTCATTTTGAGTTAATTTTTGTACGTGGTGTGAAGTAGGGGTACAACTTCATACTTTTGTATATGGATATCCACTTGTCTTAGCATCATGTTTTGAACAAACTGTTCTTTTCCTAATGAATTGTTTTGGAACCCTTGTGCAAAACCAATTGACCTTATGTAAATGTAAGGGCTTATGTCTAGACTGTGTCAGTATCACACTGTCTTGATTTGTTTAATCTATTTTTGAGGCAGACTTTCGCTCCCTGATCTAAAATTAAAATGTTTCACAATTGATGATGTCTTATATGCATCAAAACTTGCAGACTGGGTGTAAGTGGCTTGAGAAAATATATTGGAGACTAAAGTGGGGCTGTTGGAGACTCATAGGAATCAAATAGTTAGAAGGTGGGGGAGTGAGAGAGGCAGTAAGTTGGATGCTTCCCAGGTGTTTAGCAGCCATCCCAAAGTGGCAGTCAAAAATAGGCTAGCTTTACATAATTTCAAAGTTAGGTACTGATGGTTCCAGTTTCTTTTTATGGATTCTTTTAAAAAGTGCTGTATCACCAAATGCTGTTGATGGCATAGAAGACAACACTGTGGAAAAATGTGGACATTGACCAGTCTGAGTCAAAAAGATGGACAGATATTCAGTTCTAAATGTGAGGAATTTTTAGGAAAACCTTGAGCAGTTAATTTTGCTTATTTCCCTTTCTATGTGTATATGAATGATAAATGAAAAGTCTAAAAGAGCTCCTTTAATAAGCCTGAGATAAATGCTAAGTCGTAGACTACTGCATCATATCTTATTTGGCTTTTTTTTAGTGCCACCTAAAATACTGGTGTTTTAGCTTTGAGATGCTCTTATCCTCCTGCTTCCAGCTCTATCTACACCTCAGAAGGAGCTGGGTCCTTTCCCAGAGTCTATTGTATAAATTAACCTTCTTCCTGTAGTCACTCTATGTCCATCTGTTTCCCAGCCACTTTAATTTTGTTCTTTTTCCTTTCTCTTGTGCTTGTAGATTTAAGTCTTAAAAACAAGCCAGGTATTATTGTTTATAGTGGAATTTTGAGTAGGAGTGGAGGTTAACCTGTACATCAATCTAGTAGGAATATTCATTCAATCACTCAAGGGATGAGCTTATGGAAAAGTTACAAAAATAGTAGCATTCCTTTATATTCCTCACCCTGCTCCCTTAATGTTAACATTTTATATAAAGGATCAAGAATAGGAAATTAGTCTTGGTACAGTATTATTAACTAAACTACAGAGCTTATTTGAATTCCATCAGTTTTTCCACTGGTGGTCTATTTCTGTTCTAGGATCCTGTCCAGGATCCCATATTGCATTTAGTTATTATTTCTCCTTAGTCTCATCCAGTTTGTAATAATTTCTTAATCTTTAATGACACCTTTGAAGAGTACAGATCAATATTTTGTAGAATGTTCCTCAATTTGTATTTGTTTGATGCTTTCTTATGAATAAGGTTGTTCATTTTTGGCAAGAATATAATGATGCATATTTTTCAGTGTATCATATCAAGGAGTTCATGATGTTGATGTGTCTTGTTACTGGTGACATTTACCTTGATTCCTTGTTTAAATTGCTGTCTGCAGGGTTTCTCTACAGTAAAATTATTACTTTTTCTCTTTATGGTTAAAATATCTTGGGGGAGATGCTTTGAGACTAGGCAGATATCCTATTTATCCTCAAATTTTTGTCCATTGATTTTTTTCATTCTTTGGTGGATCACTCTGTATCATAGAGTATTTGTGACAAATATTTGATTAGCAGAAATAAAGCTATGCCCTACAAGAAGCAAAGATCAATTACATTGAAATCCTATTGTATTGGTTAATATAACGCTAGCAGCTGTGTTCCTCAACTTTCAGGAGCTTAACACAACAGATGCTTTTCTTCTCAATATGGGCATTTCTGGTTGTGTAGGCAGTTTTCTGCCATGTTAATTCAAGTATCCAGACTAAACTTTTTATACTGAAGTAACTTCAAACTGACAGAAAATAGGGATGCAAGAATAGTACCAGGAAATCCTGTATACCCTTTACTAGATTTACTTAACATTTGCTACATGTGCCTTATGATTTTCTTTGTCTATTCATATATGTATATGTATTTTATATATATTTTATATATCTGTATTTATATATTGATTGCCATATACTAAATCACTTGAGATTAAATCACATACATCATGTTCTTCTATGCCTTAATAGTTTAAACTTAATATATTTATTTGTTTAAATCTAGTATACAGTTTCAGAATTGCTAACCCATATCTGTTTGAGAAACACTTTCACTAACTGGATTACAGCATTTATACAATTCTTTTATTCTTTAGTTTTGCAATATCTAGTCAAGATACGATTTTCCAGTTTCCCACTGAAGTATTAAGTTTGAAAACTGTACATAAGCACACTGTTATTCAAATTTAGGAAATTTAATATCAGTACTTTAGTATGCAGTCTGTATTCCAGTTTCATTAATTATCCCCAAAATGTTCTTCAGTGGAATATTTTTTTTCTCCTGATACAGTATCAAGTCCAGGATCATGTATTGAATTTATTTGTCATGACTTTTTAGTTTCCTTTGATCTGGAACAGATCTTATAAGCCTTTCTTTGTCTTTCATGACATCGACATTTTGAACAATGACAAATTTATGACATTGTTTTGTAGAATGTACCAAATTTGGGCTGGGTGCTGTGGCTCATGCCTACAATCCTAGCACTTTGGGAGGCTGAGGCAGGTGGATTGTCTGAGTTCAGGAACTCGAGACCAGCTTGGCCAACATGGTGAAACCCCATCTCTACTAAAAATACAAAAAACAAAAAAAATTAGCCATGGCACCTATAATCCCAGCTACTCAGGAGGCTGAGGCAAGAGAATCGCTTGAACCCGGGAGGCAGAGGTTGCAGTGAGCCGAGATTGCACCACTGCACTCCAGCCTGGGCGACAGAGCTAGATGCTCCATTTCAAAAAAAAAAGGAACGTACCAAATTTGGGTTTGGTTGATGGCTCCTCTTGTTTAGATTGAGATTATGCATTTTTAAAAAAACTTTTAGGTTCAGGGGTACATGTGCTGATTTGTTGTATAGGTAAATTCTTGTCACGGGGGTTTGTTGTACAGATTATTTCATTACCCAGGTACTAAACCTAGTATGCAGTAGTTTTTTTTTTCTCTTCTCCCTCCTGCCACCCTCCATCCTCCAATAGGCCTCAGTGTCTGTTGTTCTTCTCTGTGTGTCCATGTGTTCTCATCACTTAGCTCCCACTTACAAGTGAGAACATGCAGTATTTGGTTTTCCGTTCCTGCATTAGTTTGCTTAGGATAATGGCCCCCAGCTCCATCCATGTTCCTGCAAAGGACATGAGCTCATTCTTTTTTATGGTTGTGTAGTATTCCATGGTGTATATGTACCACATTTTCTTTATCCAGTCTATCATTGATGGGCATTTAGGTTGATTTTATGTTTTTGCTATTGTGAATAGTGCTGCAATGAACATACGCTTGCATGTGTCTTTATGGTAGAATGATTTATATTCCTTTGGGTCTATACCCAGTAATGGGGTTGCTGGGTCGAATGGTATTTCCGTTTTTAGGTCTTTGAGGAATCGCCACTCTGTTTTCCACAATAGTTGAATTAATTTACACTCCTACCAGCAGTATGTAAGCATTCCTTTTTCTCTGCAACCTCACTGGCACCTGTTTCTTTTTGACTTTTTAGTAATAGCCATTCTTACTGATGTGAGATGTTATCTCATTGTGGTTTTGATTTGCATTTCTCTAATGATCAGTGATGTTGTGGTTTTTTTTTCATCTGCTCGTTAGCCACGTGTATGTCTTCTTTTGAAAAGTGTCTGAGATTATGCATTTTTGTCTGGAATACTGCATAAGTGACATGTCCTTCTCAGGCAATGCATCAGGAGGCACATGATGTCTCAACCCCTCATTGGTGATTGTAATTTTGATCATTTGGTTAAATTACTGTTTGCTTAAGTGTTAACTATTTTTAGATATGACGTATCAGAGTGATCAATACTGTGAAGCCTCTTACAACAGTGTTTAGATTGAAAAATTATGAGTGAAAAGCCTTTCACAGTCATTCGGATTGAATATGCCTAACATGAAATCCAAACTGTTTCAACATTTCTTTCAAGTCATTTTCTACTATGGAAATAATAATGCATGATTTAGCCATGCCTGAGTTTTATTTCCTCACGCAGGCATTTATTTCTTTAAAAAATTTAATTTAAAGTTCACTATAAAACTTACCATTTTAACCATTTGAAGTGTACACTTCAGTGGCATTAAGTACATTCACAATGTTGTGCAACCATCACTACCATCCATCTCCAGGACTTCTTTATCATCCCAAACATAAACCATATCTACTAAACAGTAACTCCCCAATTCCTTCTCCAGCCCCTGGTAACCTCATTTTATATGCCATCACAATATTTTAGAATAAACGCCAACTTCCTGGGGTAAGATCATTTGACTTTTGCTCCCAGATCAGAACTATGATAAAAATATTATTTGCTATATACTAACAGGGAAATTTCTGGATTTTGGCATGAGTTACTGTATTATAACTCTAAATCCTGGTAAGGGAAGCATTTTTATTCTGAAAGTAAACAAAAATAACCATTAGTATGATAATCTTTACCTCTGGGGGTGGGGTATTTTGGAGGGGGTGAGTACAAAGAGAGGTGAAATTATTCCTCTAGGGTGGCAGACCAGAGTTTAAATTGTTTCTTATGTTTTTCATCTTGGTTGTCTACCAATTGGATATAGTCACTCAGATCATCCATGTTTTTGTACCTGGTTTGATAGGTATAAATACCTATAAATTGGAATAAATTCTAGCAATTAGAGGTCCATGTTCCTTGGTCTGTAAAGTGAATATAACAAAACTGACTTCTCTCCAAAGGGTGCTTTGAGACAAAACTATAAAACACTTTGGAGAGTAGAAGGGGGGTCCTTATTTTTAGTAACATTCCTCAGTGTTCTTCAAGAACTCACCTACTGCCAATCATTCCTCTGAGTTAAGAATATATATTAGAACTAGTTTTAATAGCACTATAAACTATAGATAGCATGGCCATATGTCCCTGTTTGCCTGGAGCTGAATAAATTACAGGTTCAAAAATACTCAAATAATAAAATTGCCTAGGTGGTGACCCACCTAGTTTGTTGCTGTATGGTGTTGGGTATCTCTTTTTTTTCCTTGACAAATTTGAAAAGGCCTTGAAACCATGAGCAGATTCCTTGGTTCAGATGGTCTGTAATAGGAGACACCAGGACAAGCCTGAGTCTCCTGCTCTTGAAAGATTAGCATATTGATAGATTGCGTACCCATTATCAGTTAGGTATCTGCCAAACCATTTGCAGCGTTTCTCTGGAGTTCATACAGTTGGGAAGACTTCCTAGAGGCAAGAGGTCTTTTACCTGAAGATTCAGCAGTTACTATAGGGGCCTTCTTTTGGCTTCTTGCTCTTGGGACACCTTTACTTGAATGAGGTAGTCTTTTGCCATTAGTGCCTGTGGGGCCTTAATGATTCCTATTGGGATGAGTTGGCCAGAAGTGAGGCTCTCCACTTCATGTTGAAACTAACTTCTGCCTGAGTATTAAGGATGGGTGATTCTGAGGTCCTGAGCCAGCTGGAAGGACTTTCATTCACTTTCTACTCTTGTCTGAAGAATGCTTAGGCTACCTTACTGTTACTTCTCTGGTGGTACCAAAGGCCATGTAATGACATGGCTGGATGCGATCACTCACGTCTGTAATCCCAGCACTTTGGGAGGCCAAGGCAGGAGGATCACTTGAGCCCAGGAGTTCAACCAGCCTGGGCGACATAGGAAGACCCCCATCTCTAAAAAATTTTTAAAAAATCTAGCTGGGCATGTTGGTATACTCCTGTAGTCCCAGCTACTCGGCAGGCTGAGATGGGAGGATTGCTTGAGCTTAGGCGATTGAGGCTGCGGTGAACCATGATCACACCACTGCACTCCAGCTTGGGCAACAGAGCAAGACCCTGTCTCTAAAAAAAAAAAAAAAAAACAAACAAAAGATGTGATGATTGCCTCTTTCGGTTATATCCTGCTGCCTAAGAGCCCACCCCAGAATTTAGTGGCTTAGGATAACCATTTTCATAGTTTTGTCAGTGAGGGATTAGGGAAGATGTCAGCTGAGCTCTTCATTTCTGCTCCAGATGGCATTGGTTGGGCAATGGGACTGGAGGTTCTAATTCTAAGATAGCTTCTTCACTCTTATGAATAGCTCCTCAGTGTCTGTGGCCAGTCTCTCTCCATGTGGTATCTCATCCACCCTGGCCTTTCCACATGCCTTAGGCTTCCCACATCATGGTGGTTCCTGGGTAGTTACTCTTCTTACAGAGTAGGGATGAAATGAAAGCCTCTATTCTAAATTCAGTTAAATACTGGTACAAATATTTAGTACTGGGATTGTGGGATCATTTTCTTATATCATAATTATAACCCAATCAGGGTAGAAAAGTGAAAGAAAGAAGGACACTTCATTTTCTTTGCTCTTTGTGTGGATGATGGGTTGTACAAATAGCAGGAGGTTCAACTTTTGGCTTGTTTTGGATTACTGAGTACTATCCTTCAGAAATGATTTCCTAATACTTTCCCGGCCATCTGGCATGAGCACAGAAGACCTTTTACTCAATAAAAGTAAGCTAATAATAATAAGTTGAAACATCTTGATAATAAATATATTTGTACAGCTTTTCAAATCCCAGGTTATTGAAATTCTGTCAGCCTTGGCTGGTTTCCATGCTCCTTCTGTGCCCTTGTGTTTCCTTTTTTTCTTTTTTTTTTTGTTGAGCCACTCCTGCTGACTTCCAAAGGATGCTCTGAGCTCTAAAAGGAGGAGCAGTTTTGCTGGCATGCAGAAGTGGTGAAGGTAAGGCTTGGATTCAATTACAGTAATCTCAGAAGTTCTTGGTAGAAGAGGGGCACAGAATCCCAGCCTCCATTTTGCAGGTAAGGAAGAAGAATTATAAAAAGATAAAATGGCTTTTCTTAATGTCAGCATCTGATTCTTTACCTTCTTTCACCCTAGCAAAGATTGTTAACATAAAACAGATGTTCCTTGGACAAGAGAAAAGTAATAGAGCTGGATCTTTTCATGATCCTGCATTTATTATTTGTAGCACTGGATCTCTAAACTAGGAAAAGCAATGTCGATTCTAACTAGAAATTATGGGGCATTTAATAACACGTGAGGCAAAATTATGAGGAAAGGCAAGAAACCAAGTGGCTCCTAGCTTCTAACACCTTATTTTCTATGGTGTAAGTTAATGAATGATCCATTTTTAATGCCATAAAAAAGGAAATTTCCGATAGGCTTTACCTTAACTTCACGTTGCTGTTTATATTACAGACAAAATGCTAAAGTTAACAAGTGTAAAATGCCCTAGGTCAGGGTTTCGAGTGCCCATAAGCAATTCTCTAGAATTATTTTGAGTGCTCAGATTATAGATTTGCCCCCATACCATATACTGTATTACCTATCACTGCAAGATTCTTTATAGGGTGTCAAGTATGTGGGAGGATTTAAACTAATTGTCTTAAATGCTTCATGGGATAGGAGATGATCCAATGGGAACTGAATGTTTTCAATTAGGATGTTTCCATGGATACTATTAAGCATGCCAAGATTCATAGCCACAGGAGATTTTTACTTACTTCAATATTGATTAAGAAATCTGAGAACAATCTCAAGAAGTGTAGGATGTAGGCGGAGGATAAATTTTGAGGATAGTCTAAAATTTGCTTTCTCTTCCATAGTTAAGGCCTAGTCCAGAAAAAGTCTAGGCAGTCAGCCAAGTCTAACAGCAGGATTTATGTCAAGAGAATGTCCAGAATAAAAGTGAACATGGGTTGTTTCATTTACCCCAGGTGTATTTATTAACATTTATTTAATGTTACTTATTATTTGTTTATTACCATTAGCTTTCTTATGTACTCGGTACAAAGCATTAGAATTACAACCCTTTGTATCTTTGTTGTTTATGAGGAAAACATCCTAAATAGTGTCTACAGACATCTTAAAATTCACATTCCTCTGAGAAAGGTTTATCCCTTAGGTTATTACTTTTTTTTTTTTTTCCACACATGGGTTTTTTACCTGGGTTCTCAGATCTCCAAGAAATCGGTGGATAGAATTCAAGGTGACTTCTTGGATGGAGAAAAAGTACGTCTTTATTTTGACCAACCATGGATATTTAGCATTTTCATCAATTAATGAATGCAGGTGACAAATCACAGTACTATTGGCCCCATCTTTGAGTTTGTCCTCAATAGCTCACAGATATTTTCATATTGTATCACAGTTGTTGCAGATATCTTGAAATATTGTTTATTCTAATCACTCCTTCAAAATTTGGGTGGTTATTGGCATTATCACCAGTTTTTTTTTTTTTTTTGAGGCAGTCTTTCTCTGTTACCCCCAGGCTGGAGTGCAGTGGTGTGATCTTGGCTCACTGTGACCTCTGCCTCCCAGGTTCAAGTGATTCTCCCGCCTCAGCTTCCTGAGTAGCTGGGATTACAGGCACATGCCACCACGGCCCGGCTAATTTATTTATTTATTTATTCTTTATTTTTTATTTTTAAATTTTTTTTAGATGGAGTCTCACTCTGTCGCCAGGCTGGAGTGCAGTGGTGTGATCTTGGCTCACTGCAACCTCCGCCTCCCAGGTTCAAGCGATTCTCCTGCCTCAGCCTCCCGAGTAGTTGGGACTACGGGAGCGTGCCACCACGCCCAGCTAATTTTTCTATTTTAAGTAGAGATGGAGTTTTACCATGTTGGCCAGGATGGTCGCGATCTCTTGACCTCGTGATCCACCTGCCTCGGCCAAAATGCTGGGATTACAGGCGTGAGCCACCGTGCCTGGCCACATTACCACCAGTTCTTGATACTTAATGCCATAACAAAAGGCACATGTATCACTATATCACAAATTAGCATTTTATAATATTTTAATAACGTTTTCAATATAAGTGGCTTCCCTTGTAATCATATATTTTATTTTTGCACTTAAAAATATAATTCCTAAAAGGGATCCATAAAGCTTCACCAGACTGCCAAAGCGTCCATGGCACAGGACGTTAAGAACCCTGTTCCAAATGGAATGAAGATTAGAAGCACTATCATATGTTCATTTTCTGATCGCAGTTTAAGAAAGAGTTTCCTACTTAAGTGCTTTTCACAGAAAATCTAAACTTAAAGGTTAAAAGGGAATTCTTTTGTGCTGGCTCATGTGTGGGCCCTACAAAGTACTTTGCAGTCATATCTGACTTTCGTTTGAGAGTTTGTCTTCAGAAATGGAAGAAGAAAAGGCATTCAGGTATATGACAGGTTGCATTCTGTAGAACATTGTTAAATCTATGGGAGGGGAGAAAAGTTCCATTCAGTGTCTTGTGGATTGTGGTAGGAGTCAGTTGTGTTCTTGCAGAAATTTCCCTAGACAGTGCCTCTTGCCTCCTCCTTTCTTGTCCCACAGTACTCCATGGAGCAGATGTGGGAACTTGGATGCCTGATGGGAATTGTAACCCCATGCTTTGCCTTATCCTGGTGGGGACTGATCTGAGGTTTATCCATTAAACTGTATCAGTTCATGGCTGGGAGTAGGAATGCAGAAAACACAAGCAAAATGACTGCAGGAAGGTTTAAATAAAATCTCATATGTGGCTTTTCCTTAACACATTATTTTGCAAAAAGTGGCAGAGTGAATTTGCTGTGATATGATAGGATCATTCTGGACTTTTACTTAATTTACGTGTTCTCTAGCAGAATGCTGAAGGAGCACACATAAGGAGTGGGGAGTTGGTATTTGGTTCTGTGACAAGTGCTATCTTATAACAGAAAAATACATATTTTTGTGAAACTTCAAATGCATTTTTATTCCCCAGCACATCTGTGATTCTGGATCCACTACCTTCTTCCAAGTGTGATCAAGCACTGTACCTGACAGTATCGATTATCCTTACCCGTAGGCAAAAATTGTATTACATTTATTTTACAGTGATCTGGAAAAAAAAGGATGACAACAAAAACCAGACACACTTCATTTCTATTCCGGTAACATTTTTTGGTAATAATTTATTACTGTACAAGTCACACACCATATAAGTCACACATTTAAAGTGTCAAATTAAATGGTTTTTAGTATATTCACAGGATCGTGCCATCATCACAGTCAAATTTAGAACACTTATTACCCCCAACAAGAAACCTCATACGCTTTAGCAGTCACCCTCCATTGCCCCCCAGTTTTCTAACCCCAGGCCCTAACAACCACTAACCTACTTTCTGTCTCTATGAATTTGCCTCTTCTGGCCATTTCATATAAATGGAATTACACATTTTGTAACCTTTTGTGACTGGCTTTTTTCACTTAGCATAATGTTTTTTAAGGTCTACCTATATTAGAGTATGTATCAGTACTTTATTCCTTTTTATGGCCAAATAATATTCCATTTTCTGGATATACCAGATTTTGTTTATCCATTCATCTGTTGATGGACATTTGAGTTGTTTCCACTTTGTGCTATTATTATGAATAATGCTGCTATGAACATTCATGTTTACATCATGTATACATTTTAATGTGGACATATGTTTTTAGTTATCTTGAGTATATACCTAGGAGTGGAATCATATATATATGTTTTTAAACCAAAATCAAATTTTAATGTTGCAGAATCCCTGAAGCACTTTTAGGAACTGTTCACTTCCATAGAACAGTTTGCAAATCAGTGTTAAAGTGGAGAGAGTGTTGATTTTTTTGTGCATGTATTTGGTAGACATCGTTTGAATCTTGATTTTATAGGCTGTGTGAATTTTGTCAAGTTACCTGTGAACATCTTTCTTCTAGTATAGAATGTTAGTACCTCTGGATGTTTCACGAGTTGATAGACTGTATTATTGCTTGAAAAATTCACTGTCCATTTATTACCATCAACTTTGGCCACGGATTTGCTTTGGCTAGTGGCCTGTGAGGGGAAGTGATGTGTGCCTTCTTCCAGGCAGAAGCTGGTGGTTTGCCTCATCTCTTTTCCTTTCTGCCATGATGACCATTGATGTTCCAGTTGGACACAGGCTCCATCAGCTTGTGTATCAGAATGAAAATGATGTGGGGCAGAGCCCTCATAGATTTTGTTGCATGAGTATGGAAAAAGTGTCATTTTAAGCCGTCAAGATTTGGTGACTATTTGATACTTTAGCACAGTGGTCCTCAAGCAATGGCAGTTTTGCATTTCTCACACTGAGATATCTGGCAATGTCTGGAGACATTTTTTGGTTATCACACATGGGGAAGTGCTCTTGGCATTTAGTGGGCAGATGCTGCTAAGCATCCAACACTGCACAGGACAGCTCCCACAACAAAGAATTATCTGATCCAAAATGTCAATAGTGCTGAAGTTTAGAAACCCTGCTTTAGTATAACCTAGTTTATCCTGGTTAAGATAGGGTGTTGAGAAGATTAAATGGAAAAAAAATATATAA
This sequence comes from Homo sapiens, assembly GCF_000001405.40. Lineage (NCBI taxonomy): Eukaryota > Metazoa > Chordata > Mammalia > Primates > Hominidae > Homo > Homo sapiens. Next base: position 16,983,210 of record NC_000023.11, read on the forward strand.
AATACAGCACACAGGGTGGTCTTTTTTTGGTAATTATGTGACAGAGCTTGGCAATGGCTCTGAGGTCTTCCCTTGCATTTGTGGGTCTTTTCCAACTTCCCTAGGGTTCAGTATTCAGTTTAATTGTAGTTGTGTTTATAAATCAAGGCTCGTTTTTAGCAGAATCATATACCCTTTAAAAAAGGGGGAGAACTAACATTAGATGCCTGTTTGGCACCAGGCTCTTTGTATGTGTTTTGAATTTTTACAGATATTCTCTGAAACTGATATTCCTTACCTCCATTTTGTTTTGTTTTGTTTTGTTTTGTTTTGAGACAGGATCTCACTGTGTTGCCCAGACTGGAGTGCAGTGGTGCGATCTTGTCTCACTGCAACCTCCACCTCCTGAATTCAAGCAATTCTCCTGCCTCAGCCTCCTGAGTAGCTGGGATTACAGGCATGCGCCACCATGCCCAGTTAATGTTTTGTATTTTCAGTAGAGATGGGATTTCGCTATGTTGGCCAGGCTGGTCTCTTAACTTTTGGCCTCCTGTGATCCCCCAGCCTTGGCCTCCCAAAGTGCTGGGATTACAGGCATGAGCCACCATGCCCGGCCCTCCATTTTGTTTTTGATGAAGACATTGAGGCACTGAAGTTAAGTAATTTGACCAAGATCACATGGCTTATAAGTGGTGGGCCTAGAATTCGAAGCACATCTGTTTGCCTCCAGAACCCTCTTCTTTCCACACTGCTATACTACCTCTTTAGCAGTGACTTTAACATAGAGAAATGAAGGTAATACCTGATTTCTAACAATTATGTGTTGTATTAGTTATCTATTGCTGTATAACAGGTTACCTCAAAACTTAGCACTTTAACACAACAAACAGTTATTGTCTGACATAGTTTTGAGAATCAGTAATTTAGGGGAAGCTAAGCTGGGTGGTTCTGGCTCAGGATCTCTATGGAGATTGCAAACAAGTTGTCTTCCAGGGCTGCAGCGATCTGAAGACCTGATTGGAGCAGGAAGATCCACTTCCATTGTGGTGCACTCACAGGGCTGTTGGTGGGAGGCCTCAGTTCCTCACCATGTGGGTCTCTCTTTAGGGTTGCTTGATTGTCATCATGACATGGCAGCTGGCCTCCTTCAGAGTGAGGGATCTCAGAGAGACAGCAAGGCAGAAGCCACAATATCTTTTGTGACCTAGCCTTAGAAGTCACAGATGATCACTTCTGCTCTTTTCTATTGGTCACATACACAACCCTGATATAATGTGGGAGAGGATGATACAAGGGCATCAAGAATACTATGAGATGGAAATCACTGGGGGCCATCATGGAGGCTGGTTACTACATGTTAATGATCCTCATTTGCCATAGTTACAAAATTATGAATTATATTTCCTTTTCATATTCTAATATTCCAAACACCTGTTTTGTACTTTAAGATACTTAAATCATTTAGAATGTGAGTGAAAATACAAATTGGCTTTTGTAAACACTTACTGAATGGGTAAAATAAAGGCCGTGGTACAGATACTTCATTGGGGAATTTTTTTTTTAAATAGGTTTGACTAGCTGAGGCTTCTTGAATCCTGAAAAGTTTGGTCTGATGTACTTTTTTTTTTTTCCTGGAAAATCTCCTTGTACCAAACACTGAATTCTTCATTTGCCAAAGTCCACCCAACTTTCTGATGTTTTTATTGCTGGTTTGATGTGCTTGAATGCCAGCCAGAGTATAAGGTGAATGGTAGATGCAAGGACTGTGCAGTTTCCACGGAGACTTCTTTCAGGAGCCCTTCATTTTTTCATTCAGCTATTGCTGGGAGGCATCCCCTTCCAGTTAATGTGTGGTACACATCAATTTGAGTGGCTCTTAGAAAGGGGCTCAGTTTATACAAATTAAGAATTGAGGTTTTTTTTTTCTCTGTATATCTTCAACGTTAAATTAGATTTCTATGAAACTTGAAGATGTTAACAGGAAATCTTCCTGAAACAGTTTAACTATACTTTTGTTTATTACACTTGATTTTGAGCTTTTGGGAATAAAAGTAGGGTCCTGGCTAGGTACAGAGGTATATGGATTTACTGTGTCTAATCGTGCAACCATGAAATAAACGTTTGCACTTCAGGAATCAACCCATCACTTTTTAACCACTGTTGTTTGCATTGGCTTAGAGCTTTGTGCTTCCTTCAACTATTTTCCTTTTTTCTTTCAAAACTGTGTTCAGTTGGTTGTGACCAATTTTACACAGAGACTGGCTCACTCACTTATGTTCTTGACTCCTGCTGTCCCAATATCATGCTTCATTTACACAGGGATAGCTTTTCCTGGCTTTATCTGTTGACTTGACATCCTGTGCATCATATTTCTTTTCTTAGATATAGAGAAGACTGAAAAAAATCCACGATTTGAAGAAAATTTGCAAAAGTGCAGAGCAATGTGAAAGAGATAGCTTTAATTTTAATTTTCACTGTAGTCAGAATAGGTGGCCTCCTGATGGGCAGACTTGCTTTCTCATTTTACTCTGTCCAGTGTAGATACCCAGATCAATCAAGGTCAAGCTGGTCTGGTCATTAATACAACTTTTGGTTTTAAACACAGCTGTGTACGGGGGTTCTTAGCATTATTAATAGAGGTTATAATGAAAACAAGGTATAGTCATACAGTTGTCTGTGTGGGTAGTGGCATGGAGGTGGAGTTGTTGCTTAAGATCTGAAAGTCAGGAAGCTGGAGGTTTTTGTAATTTTATTCATTATCAATCTTAAGAATTTATTTTGATC